>NC_000024.10:17769601-18379149 GCF_000001405.40 Homo sapiens
AGATGAGTTCCACTTTTCGAAAACTCCAGCCATGGTGTCAACAATAATACAAAATATATGATTAATAGAAAGTGTAAGCTCCCCTGTTTCAGAGATGCAGGGAAGAATGCCAGAGTCACTACAGGTGAGATAATCACCAACGAATGCCATATCATGAGATAGATCAATTTTATCACCTGTAGCTTAATGGCAGCAAAGTCGTTGCCAGTGCGGATGGCCAGTATATTGCAGTGAATGGCACCTACACAACTGATAAGAGGGAATATGTCATCAGCAATGCTATTAAAGATAAACATGAAAATGCTAGAGAATAATTTTCATTAGTAATGGCCACTTTCTCTTTTAAACTTGCCAAGTTAAGATATATTTCTCCCAACCCACCTCCTTCGGAAAATAATTTACATACAAAAAAGAAAGAAAAAAAAAGATTTGTTATCTTTCCATTATCAGGGATTTAGTGAATATATGCATGCAAAACATATAAAATAAAGAATAAGTGAATACACACATACACAAATTTATAAATGTATATACACATTCCCTTAAAATAAAATAACTGGAACTCATGAAATTGGATAGAGACATTTGTATCTGACGTTACAAGGTGTGACAGCACCTAGAAAGAAGTCTCAATTAAGAACAAATAAAATTGCGTGAATTAGATCTTGAAAAGGTAGTTTCTTTTTTATATAAAGTTAGAGTGTAAAGTAGGAAATTACGGTGTAAAATAGGAGGTGAATGCAATATAAACTGTGTTTTAGACTCTGGTGATAACAGGAAATCGGAAATAAGCTGTGGAGTTCAAGTAAATTCTGGAAGTGGAGCTGCCAGATTTTGCTGTGTGATGGAATACAAGGTACTAGAGAAGCAGAAAAATTAAAAGTTTTAGAAATTAAGTGATTTGTGTGGGCATGTTTTTGTTTGTGTGTACTTAGGTAATTTTATCAGAAGTTTTTAATACGAAAATTAATTTAATTTTGACATTGTTATCCCAATAATTAGACTAATATGCACAAGGAAGAAAAACAAAATTATGTAGTAGCTGTATAATCAGTTTAAACAATCTTCTACTACATTCAGTTGAAAGAGTAAAAATTCATTTCACATATACAGAAGGGTTAAAATAATACAGTCTTCATACACAATGAAATGAAGCCAGAAAACAAAAAGAGGCCAAATAGTCTTTACTCATCTAAAGTAACTATTCATTTTCTAACACCATTTAGAAAATGAATATCGAGAGTCCATTTATTCCTTCAGGGATACCCAAAGAGAAACTCTAAAGCAATAACATTCTTAACTGCATTTATGAGAAATAAGACTGAATAAAAAGAAATGATCTAAAAGTTAAATTTTAGAAAGTAAATTTTAGCTGGGTGTAGTGACTCATACCTGTAACCCTAGCACTTTAGCAGGCTGAGGTGAGTAGATCACTTGAGCCCAACAATAACAACAAGAAAACACCAAAAATGTTATCCAGGCATGGTGGCACATTCCTGTAGTCTCAACTATTCAGGAGGTGGAGGTGGGATGCTCACTTGGGCGAAGGAGGTAGGCATAGTACATTTTGCCTTGGGACATTTATTTGCCTGTCCCCTTGCCCCAGCACTTTGGGAGGTTGATACCCAGGGGTAATCATGTAGACCAACCCCGGCAACAGATTAGAAACTATGATCTCCGCAGAATGGAGCTGAGTTCCCGTCAATATTCCCACTGATTGACTACAGTAACCTCAGACACTGAATAAAGATCAGAGGGCAGACCATGGAAGTTACAGGCCTTGAGTGCATCCAGTGCTCAACTGTGTGATACAGGTGCAACCTGGCACTGAGTCGACTTTGTCAGTCAAATTACTCCAGCCATGAAAGTCTGCTCATTAATGTTTCCCCTCGTGCTACCAGGGCTGAAGCTATCATAGGCTAAAATACCTTAATTTCCTCCTCCTTGCCCTGAATCTCCGGACAGCCTTACTGTGGAAGAAAGCTTCCAAACAAAGGCAAACTACAAACACTGCATTAGGCACCTACATCACTGCACAGACATTGATGCATAGTCACAAGCATTAGGATCAATGAGAGAAACATGACGGCATCAAGTGGTCAAAATAAAGTGCTGGTGGTGACTGACCCAAAAGAGATGGGCATGGACACAAGGCCTGACAAGGAATTCAAAATACTTGTTTGAAGACAATGCAGTGGACTTCAGCAAAACACAAAGAATTCTGAAATTTATCAGAGAAGCTTACAGAAGAGATTAAAATACGGGAGGAAAAAACAAACAGAAATCTTGAAGAATAAAACACAACAAAATAAAAAATGCAATTGACAGCAGTGACAATAGAAGTGGTCAAGCAGCAAAACTCAAAGGGAGGTCAATTCAAAATATACAGTTAGAGGAGAAAACATAAATAAGATTCATGAGATTAATGGGATAACATCCAAAGAGCCAATGTGTCAGACACTGGCATTCAAGAGTGTGGTAGAGCCGGGTGTGATGGCCCATGCCTGTATCTTCAGCACTTTGCGGGGCCAAGGCGGGTGGATCATATGTTGTCAGGAGCTTGAGAGTAGCCCGGACAATATGGTGAAATGGTTTATCTATTATAATACAAAAATTAGCCGGGTGTATTGGTGGACATCTGCGATCCCAGCTACTCAGAAACCTGAGTCAGGAGAATCACTGGAACTCAGGAGAATCACTGGAAACCAGGAAGTGGATGCTGCAGTGAGCCACAATCACACCATTGCACTCCAACCTGCGAGACAAGAGCAAACCTCCATCTCAAAAAAAAAAAGTGTAAGAAAAGAGTAGAAAGCTTATTTGGATAAATAATAACAGAAGCCTTTTCAAACTTAAATAAAATATAAATATTCTGCTATAGGAATCTTGAAGGCTTACAATCACATTCAATTTCAATAAACATATCCCTGTGACTTAATATAATCAAACCACCAAACATCAGAAACAAAGAGAGGATACAGAATTAAGCAGCAGAAAAAAAATAACATATTATAACGGGAATACATCCATACAAATAATATATGCATATATATAATACAAATGTTAATAGATCCAAAGGAAGAAAAAAATGCAAGATAATATTAGAAAAATTCAGCACCTTACTTTCAGCAATGAATAGATAATGCAGACAGAATTTAACAAGTAAACATTGGATGAAAATGCCATGTAGTGAAAATGCTAAAAACAGTTACTGAACTATCCATCCAAGAGCTATAGAATAAACATTCTTCTCCACTGCATACATGAGATATCTTTCAGGATATGTCATACATTAGGTAAAAAATCACATCTTAATGAATTTGGAAAGATCAAACTCACATAAAGTATCTCTTCTGAAATCACTAATTCATAAGTACATCAAAATTAAACAACATGCTCCTGAATAACCAATGAGTCAGTGAGGACATTAAAGAGAAAACACCATATTTCTTGAGACAAAAATAGAAACACAACACACCAAAACCTATGAGATTCAACCAAAGCAGTTTTAAGAGGGAAGTTATGACAATAAATGCCTTCAACTATGAGAAGATATCAGATATACAACTTGATGTTTCAATGAAGGAATTAGAAAAACATAAATCTAAACTCAAAAGTAAAAACAAAAAACAAAAACAAAAAACAACAAAAGAAAACAAAGCCCCTGATAAAGGAAATCAGAGCCATAAAAGAGATACCATAACTGATACCCAGAAACAAATTAATGGTAAGAAATCAAATCAGCAATAAAAGATCACCTATTAAAGAAAAGCCCAGGACCTGATGTATTCACTCTTGCATTCTACCTACCACAAAAAATAAACTGCTGCCAATTTTTTTTAACCTAGTCAAAACATAACACAAAAAGGAAGATATGGGAACTGTTCCAACTCATTCCATTGGGATGGCATTATTCTGATTACAAAACCAGACAAGGATACAAGAAAAAAGAGAGAACTATGGGCCAAAATATCTGATAAACATAATGTAAAAATCCTCAATAAAATACTGGGAAAATGACTTATAATGCCCATTTAGAAAATCATTCACCGTGATCAAGTGAGATTATAGGGATGCAGGAATGGTTTAATACACTAGAATCATTAAATGTCATACATTATATCAACAAAATAAAGAACAAAATCTATGCAGTCATTTCAATAAGTGAAAAAAGTTTTGACAAAATTCAACAGTTTCACAATAAAATCTCTTAACAAATTATGCGTGGAACAACCGTAACTCAACACAACAAAAGACACAGACCCGAATAACCAGATAACACCACATATACAAGCCCTTAGCTAATATCACACTCAAAGGGAATTAAAAGTTGAAAGCTTTTCTGTGAAGATCTGAAGGAAGACCAAGATGTTCATTTTCACTACTTCTATTAATGTAATAATAAAAGTCCTTAGCCGGAAAAATTAGACAAGAGAAAGTAAGAAAAGCTACCCAAATTAGAGAGGAAGAAATAAAATTGTCCATACATGCTAATGACAAACTATGGAAATCCTTAAACACACAACTAAAAAGTAGTTAGAACTAATACAGAAGGTCAGTAAAGTTTCAGTTTACAAAATCAACATATAAAATTGGATAGCATTTCCATACACTAACAGCAAAATACCAAAAAAAACAACAACAACAACAAAGATTAAGAACACAATCTCATTCACAATAGGTATGGGGGATAAAAGGGAATAAATTTAACCAAGGAGATTTAAAAAATCTGCATTCTGAAATCTATGAAACACTAATAAAATGTTAAAATGACATAAATGAGTGGAAAGATATTTATGTTCATTGATTGGAAAAAGTAATATGGTTAAAATGTTTATATGATCCAAAGAAGTGCACAAGTTGAGTGCAGTCTCTATCAAAACACCAATGGCATTTTTCACAGAAATTGAAAAAAATCCTAAATAAATATGAAACCACAAAAATAAAACCATGAATAGCCAAAGCCATCCTGAAGATGTCAATGGGGTTAGGGATTGAATCCACAGAACTGGGCATGCCACAATGCTATAAACCAATACAACAGAACACAGTGAGCAAAAATAAATCTACACCTGTATAGCCAACTGATATTCTGCAGAGGTGGCAAGAAAACCAAATGAGGAAATGTCAGTCTCTTCAATAAGTGGTGCTGGGAAAACAAGAGAGCTACATGCAGAAGGACCTAATTACAACCCTATCTCTCACTGAATACAAAAATTAACTCAAATGGATTAAAAAGCCCGGTACAGTGATGTGCCCCTATAATTTTAGCTACTCAGGGGTCCCAGAAGGGAGGATCACCTGAGCCTAGCTGTTCAAAGCTATAGCGTGAAACACTTATGCCACTGCACTCTACACTAGGTAATATTGTGAGACCTCACCTATAAGAATACATACTTAAAAACATTTAAAATTAAAGATGTAATGACAACAGCAATCTGTCAAACTAGTAGAATAAATCACAAAATATATTTAATGACCTTGGTCTGGGCAAGAATATTTTTGGATAAGACTTCAAAAACACAAGCAAAAAAAATGCACAAACAGAAAAATAAGGTTACATCATACTAGAAAAATTCCTTACAGCAAAAAATAAAAATAAAATAAAATAAATCACCAGACTAATGTAATGAGAGCAAATATTTGCCAACTGTATATCAGACAAGGGGTTAATCAAAATGTACAAGGAACTAAAAACAGATTCAAAAGAACAAGAAAATAATAACCCAATTAAAAATAAGTATCTTCTGTTTCCCAAAGAATGTATATACACAGCTAACAGGTGTGTGTGTATGTGTGTGTGTGTGGCTGTGTATATATACACACACACACACACACACACACTATACATAAATATCTCAACATTTCTCATCATCACAGAATTGCAACCTCTACCTTCCAGGTTCAAGTGATTCTACTGCCTCAACCTCCTAAGTAGCTGGGATTACAGGCGTGTGCCACCACACCCAGCTACTTTTGTATTTGTAGTAGGGGTGGTTTCACCATGTCCTCTAAGCTTGCCTCGAACTGCCATCTTCAGGTGATCTGTATGCCTTGGCCTTTAAAAGTGCTGGGATTAGAGGTGTGAGCCACCATCCTCAGCCTATTGTAAGAAATTTAAGAAATGTATAAAATTTCTTAAATTAACCTTGTAACAAAGACAAATTTTGCCATGCACGATGGCACATGCCTGTATTCCCAAAATTTTGGGAGGCCAAGGTGGGTGGGTCACGAGGTCAGGAGCTTGAGACCAGCCAGGCCAATATAGTGAATCCCCATCTACACTAAAAACACAAAAATTATCTGGACTTGGTGGTGTGCGCCTGTAGTCCCAGCTATTCGGGAGGCTCAGGCAGGAGAATCCCTTGAACCTGGGAGCTGGGGGTTGCAGGGAGGTGAGATCACACCACTGCTCTCCAGCCTGGGTGACAGACACTGTCTCTAAACAACAACAACTACAGCAACAAAACTAGATGTGTTTCTACTACACGGAGATTTATTGGTTCTAATATTTTCAGGTGTTTTATTTATTTGTTGAGTTTTCTGGCTAATGTATTGTTCATTTTTTGTTGTTTCTGCCTAAGTCCTTTTCTTTCAGGAGATTCAGTCAATTAAACTTAAATTATCTCCAGAGTATGGCCCAAAATCACTTCATGCATTATAACTGGTATTAATTCTTTGGCTTTGCAGGAGTATTTATTGCCCTGCTAGTGCCACCAACTGCCCTCGCTATTACTAATTTTTATTTGCATAGAAGATTAAATCGTGAGATTGCACATTTTTGCATGTGTTTATAAACTTCTGCACTTACCTTTTAAAGAAAGGTAACACTTATCCCCAGTGACTCCTAATTCTATAAAATGTATATTTTTTATATATTTTACTATCTTGGAAGTCTAAATGCAGATCTGAATGAAATTAGTTCTTACAAAATTTACAGTACTCGTGAAAATCAGTATAGTAACAGACAAGTCATATGGAAATGAATTGTTTAGCTACATTTTGATATTCCAAGTCACAGCTCCAAATTTAAGGATGAGTAGAAAATCTACCACTAACATGTTAAATCACATGAGTTGACAAATAAAACTTATGAGATTATTTTTGAGCCATACTTTCTTCTGTCTCACTCTACCCTCATTCCTTAATTTAAGGTTATATTCATATCCCTCATTGCTATTTAGAATGCCCATTAGGCTGAATGAGAATAATATTAAAAGGAGCAGAAAAAAACCACTAACTAAATTCCATTTTCATTTTTTTTTTTAAAAGCTATCATTATCTTATGACTGATAAAAATTGAATAGGAAAATTTTCAGAATTGTGAAAACTAAATAAAACTAAACAGGGATGTATTTCAGTTAGAGGAACAATGATTATCCCATCCTTAATCTTGTTAGGGAACTATTTGTATTCTATTTACTTGTTGGAAACAGAATGAGAGACATTTGTGTCGTCACTTACCTCACCATAGATCCTAAAGGAAGAACGTGCCAAAAAAAGTAATGTAGCTTTATTTCTTCTAAAGTCTTTGTTGAAAAACATTAGGGTAATTTGATCCAAAAGTACTTACACAGTAATAAAGTTCACGGCAAATGACATCAGAATCTGTCAATAGCTTTTCAATTAATTTCAAACATATACAAAGCATAGGTGGCCTCACCACAACAGAGAACAGTTGAGCAGAGAATTCTGAAAGTAAAGCTCACATGGGGTCTGTGCCCAAGGACCATTTTTTCTTCCAAAGATAAAACTCCTCCTGTAATTTCTTTATCAGTCTCTTCAAACGCTGTGTCCATTCTCAGCATGCTGCTAATTCAAACTCTTCTTGTCAGTGAATCCAGTATAGTTCTGTATCAAATCCAAACAGAAGAAAACAAGATTCTGTATAATTCACTATTCATGGAAAATGTAAAAAGGTAAGTATGGATCACTAATCACAATAAAACATATATATCTGGTTTAGGAAATATTGAACCACCACTTGACATATGCAGTCAATTAAAGCATTTGACATAATTTAGTCAATATGTCAAATAACTTGACATATTATTTCTTCAGCAAACAATGTTTCAAGGAAATAGACAATAAAACTTCTATGATGCCTTAACTACCTCTTAACACCAAGATGATACTCCTGTCTTCAAGTAGTAAGAAGAAAGGGATATATTTCTCATAAGTTTTCTTTTGGTGCTCTACAGTCAATGTCTGCTGCTGACATTGACTAAAACAAAATGGCACAAGGTCTAAGCCAAGTCCAACCATGATGACACTAAGAAAACTATCTAGCAGATATTTCTGATTTGGAAAGGAATACAAAACAGTGAGCCCTTTAAGTTCCACTTATTGTTAGATGTTGGTCATTTTGCATTTAAAATACTGTTTCTTGGCGTGATGCTATGAAGTTATTAATCAAGTAAAGTTTCAATATAAATAGAATGGAAATCCAGACTTTGCATGGTTATAGAAGATGTAAATTCTATTTTGTTGGGGGGTATGAAATAGCTCATATTAGGTTCTTTCTAGACAAACTGTCAGAGAAATTAATGATATATTGTGAAGGTCAATTAGTCATTATGGGTGGGAAGCAATCAATATTCAACAAAAATGGCTAAAAAGGAAGATAAAAGGCAACAGTACTTTTAAATCCAGTAAATATTGGAAAGGAATTTAGACAGCTTTTCTGAATAAAAATTCTGTTAATATAATAAAAAGGCATGAAATGTGTAAGAATATAATGCAAATTATCAGAGAGAGAACATAATATTTCCCAAGAAGATGTTGGTCATTTGTTAAAATATATCAATGGGAAAAATAGAAGTAGCAGTTTAAAAAAGTGGGAGGGAAGAATCAAGAAGTTACCTATTTTGTTTTTATTTGATAATATGTTCATTTCCTGAACTTTCTTTGCATTGCTTTTATTCTCATAACTTATCATAAACATCCTTTCCTCCAATTTGTTAAGTTTTATACTGTACAGTATTAAATTCCTCAACTTCTGTTGTTTGTTATTCTGATCTAAATCACACCTTTATCTATATGCACGTATTTATTCAAAGACAAAACCTTTATCACGTTTTAAAATACATCCTCCTGGACCCAACCCATCAATGTGATTGATCTTTTCCTCTTTCGTGTAATTTCTTTTGTTCTCTTCTTCACTGCCCTGATTTCCTTATCACACATATATAAAAACTCCATATTTTATGATCCACAACAGAAACTGTCTCTTTTGGTACTGACATTTTTCTCTGCTTTTAATATCAACAGAGAATTTCTATTAGTGATTTTCTTTCCATCAGTTCATATACTGTCTCAGGTTTTATCCCACAACAAGGAAGTCACAGTCCTTTCTCAAAGGCCATCGGTGACACCCTAATTGCTAAATTTAAAATGTTACATTGAATTTCAGGTGAGTATTTTTTCCATTGGTAATATGCTCTCATTTGAAAATTCCACTTACCTTACCAGTCAGGCACTCATCCCCAACAGTCTACCAAATATACTATACTTAAAATAATCACCTTTTTTTGGCCAAATATTTATATATATATATATATTAATTTTAATTTCTTGTCTTTGGTTTTTTTTTTGTTTGTTTACTGAGACAGGGTCTGCCTCTGTTGTCCAAGCTGGAGTGCAGTGGTGCAATCAAGAACTCACTGCAGCTTCAAACTCCCATGCTCAAGTGATCTTTGCACATCAGCCTCCTGGGCGACTTTGACTACAGGCCACCCAGACTAGCTAATTTTGGTAGAAACAGGGTCTCTCCCATGTATCCTAGGCTGGACTTGAGTTTCTAGGACCAATCCATCTGCCTGCCTCAGGCTTCCAAAGTGCTAGCATTGGAGGTGCAAGCCACCAGGCCTGACCAAATATAAGTTACTTCTTAGACACCCTCTTCCTTGAACAATTCCTGATGAATTTGCTCCCAATCTCCCAGTTATCTCTGCCTGTATGATGGATTTCTGAATGGTACTATGAGTCCCACATGGTTGTCTCCAGCCAGTCTCTTACCAAACCCAAATCATATATGACTCTATTGCACATATTCATGTTTAACAGGCAATTTGATCTCAAGGCTATACACTGAATTCTGATGTTCCTTCCAAACAACTTCCCTCCCCCAAGTGTTTCCCATTTCACCTGATAGTAATTACATCCTGTTGCAAAGGCCTAAAACTGAAAGGTCATCCTTGATGCTTTTCTTTTCATCTCCTCATTTCTATTAGTCCTCAAATTCTTCATGTTTTCCTTTTAAAACAGGTCCAGAATCTAACCACTTTTCCCTATTTTTCATGCTGTCATCCAGATACAGGTTATCCACATTTCTCATCTGATTAGCTCAGCCTCTTTACTGATCTCCTACCTTCCACTATTACAAGTATTACACTATTACCACTATTACAACTAGGTGAATTATATCTCAGATACTATAAAATTAACCATTTTAAAGTACACATTCAGTGATTTTCAGGATATTCTCAATGTTATGCAACCATCACTATTATTTAAATATAGAACGTTGCCCTTACCTTAAAAAGTAACTCTACCTATGAGCATTCAATACCAGCTTCCCTTTTTCCTAAGCTAAAACCATGGTCTTTATAATGTAACAAACAACCATATATTATTTTCTTCTTATTCTCTTTTGCATGTCTTCTTCTACCATCCTCTTTCTTTGCTCAAATCTCCTTTGAGCTTATACTATTCACATGCTTATAAATGAACCCCAAATCCTTATCCTTCTTACATAAAAATAAAATCAATAGACGTTGTCACTACTTTCCACTAAAGTGAAAATGTAAGTTCCATCAGTACCTGGATTTTTGTCTTTGGTCAGGTGAACTGGCATAAACAATACCTGATGTATTCACAGTTAATTTGATCTTTTCTTATTTATTTATTCTTTTTTGGCACGTGAGTGGGGTGTGATTAAATCTTGCTCTGTTGCTCAACCTGGAGTGGCAGGATCTCAGTTAGCTGCAACTTCTGCCTCTCAGGTTCAAGCAATTCTCCTGAGTCAGCCTCCCGAGTAGCTGGGACCTCAGGCACCTGCCAGCCCAAACGGAAGTTTTTTGTTGTTGTTGTTGACATTTTTAGTACCGACTGAGTTTTGCCATGTTGGCTCGGCTGGTCTCAAACTCCTGAATTTGAATGCAATATATTCCATAGACAAGGCA
Source organism: Homo sapiens (assembly GCF_000001405.40). Classification (NCBI taxonomy): domain Eukaryota; kingdom Metazoa; phylum Chordata; class Mammalia; order Primates; family Hominidae; genus Homo; species Homo sapiens. The sequence continues at coordinate 17,780,785 of NC_000024.10, forward strand.
ATACTAGTGAGTTTTTAAATTATAAAGCTGTTTTTGTTCATTAATAATAGTTTACTTTGAAAGTCTATTTTCATTTAGAAAAAGTTAACTCATGTTTTTTTTGTCTGTTTTTGATCAACTAGTTTAAAATTTTGTAGCTATCAGGTACATATGTAAAATCATTTATGTCAGACAATATTAAATTAAAAGCATATGCATTTCTTGTTTTTTTTTTTTTTTTTTTTTTTTTTTTTTTGAGACAGAGTCTTGCTCTGTCACCCAGGCTAGAGTGCAGTGGCGCGATCTCGGCTCACTGCAAGCTCCGCCTTCCAGTTCATGCCATTCTCCTGCCTCAGCCTCCCGAGCAGCTGGGACTACAGGCGCCCACCACCACGCCTGGCTAATTTTTTGTATTTTTAGTAGAGACGGGGTTTCACCGTGTTAGCCAGTATGGTCTTGATCTCCTGACCTTGTGATCTTCCCGCCTCGACCTCCCAAAGTGCTGGGATTACAGGCTGGAGCCACCGCGCCCGGCCTAATATATGTATTTCTTAAGTGTTCCCCTATATTTGGTGTTGGTAACTAAACTGAGTTTTATTGAATCATATGTTTCCTTAGTGTAAAAAGAAGCCAAATTTAATGGTACAAAATGTTTATATTTAAAATGTATTCATGAGAAATATTTTAATAAACCAAGCCTTGAAGTTGCTTAACGTTATTCTATTTAAATTCTAAGAGAGGTATGGCTTTAAAAATCATAATGTGAGAAGAGAAATTTTGAGTGCATTGTATGACTTCTAAATGTCCACCTCTGTCCAACAAAGTAAGTAGTAATGTTCAAATCTTACACGGAACTGAAACTCAGGGTGGGAAGTCATGTAAGTAAATTAACAAATTATAACAAAATTTAGTTCATTTCAAGAGAAAACTGAGGGCTAAGAATACAATTAGCAACACATTCTCTACAGATCTTTAATTGGAAAGTGTGAAATTATATTTGTTTATGTTTTTATCTGTATGAGTATATTTTCTAGTGCATTGAAGAAGTTTCTAGTTAAACTCACCACTTAAAAGGTCAGATCTTTATTTGTCTTGTGGGATCTATGTAGAAAGAAGAGTTTCCTTTATAAAAACACCTTTTTTGTTAATTTATTTACAGTTGCATTGACACAGTAAATGTATATAATCAAAAGATTTTTTTAAACAAACACATTTTTTAAAAAAACAGACAGATATAATGTCATTAAAATATGGACCTAAGGGGTCTGTAGTTAAAAATCTGTATAGTCACTCAATTTGTTGTTAATATCAAAATTTAAAATACTCCTTCAAAAATGGCTGCATTGATAAATGAGTTGTTGTTAATATTAATTTGTCACTTGATGGAAAGACAAGTGGACAGAATTATTTTCATACTACAAGCATTATTTTTTCTTCTTATCTCAGGTTGTGAGCACTTTTTGAGTGGGAATATCTGCTCCCTGTTAGATCTCACCCACCAGAAAAACTTGTGGTACTCAAAAATACTGGTACTACTTGTCACATGAATTCTGTGATCCAACAGCCACATATGTATATATATTATATAATATATTATATATAATTATTCTTATATATTATATAATATATATTACATATAATTATTCTTATATATTATATTATATATTATATATAAAATATAAAACATATAATATATATTATATAATATAAATTATATATTTTAATATTATTTATTATTTATTATTATTTTAATAATATATTAAAATTAATTATTTTAATAACATATTATATATTTATTTTATATTATATTATATATTATATATTACATTATATTTAATATTTATTTTAATTATAAATAATATATATTTATATAATATAATATATATTATTTATATAATACATTATATATTATATATAATATATAATGTAAGAATATACATAATATAATAATATATAATATAAGAATATTATATATAATATATTGTATATAAATATTATATATTTATAATTTATAAATATATAACATTTATAATTTATATATAAATTTTATATAATATATATAAGAATAATTTTATATAATATATTATATATGAATTATATATAATTTATATAGTTTATATATTATATATATAATTTTTATATGTATATAGTTTCCACCAGAAACAGTATTCCTGCAATTGAATGCATAGGTAAAAATATAGACTATGATTTTTCAAACATGAGAAGCAGAACAGTTAGGTAAATTCTAATTATTCATTATTATTACTTTGAAGATTCTGATAGCAGCTACTGTTTTTCTCTCAGAAATTAGTGTACTTTAAAAGAATTATGCAGGAAGTTCTTCTTCATAATATGGCTGAAATCTCTGAGTTACTGTGACTGACATATTTATGTTATCTGTTTCATAAGCTGTGCTTTTTTTAAAATTCTCTATGTATTTTTCTCAAATGAGAGCTTTTTCTGCTAAAGAAACAAATTTCTTTTTCAAATTACGTTATGTGAACTTGTAAAAAAAATTAGTTAAGAACTATCATCAAACTGCCTATGGAAAGTATTCATTTGAAAATAAAGTGGTAAAAAAGTTATATCATATTTGTAGGTCACCTATTTAGGATAAACCTCCAAATAAGAGAATATGGGATGCTTAAATTTTGGTAATGTTTATACTCAAGCTCTTTATTATTATTATTTTTTTTTTTTTACTTTTCTGTATAGATATTGATAGAAACTAAATTTAAAAATTAGAATATTTTAACTGTAGTAAATGATTCTCCTAGAATTTCTTCATTTTTTTTCCTTTCAGTGGGCAGAAATAGTTTGTCTTTCAGCTACTAGTTTCTCAGCACTTATCATTTATAGGATTACAAAACACACACTTTCTTTCTCTTTCCTAGATTCAGTAAATTATGTCATCCAAACATCGCGGTCACGGTAGCTTTACTTTTAGTAGAGTCTTCATATGGGATGTTCACCAATACTTGGTTAACAGCCACTATTGGAAGAAAAATTGTAATGTAAGTTCTGGTACTATAGCCCATATGACCCCTAGGGTGTTGAATTTAACACATATAGAGATGGTTAATCACACCAGTAAGAAGCAAATGAAACAGACAGAATATAAAATTGCAAATTAGGTATCTTACCTTTGTACTTGGTTGCTTGTGCTTTATGTTGTCTCGGCAATGTACTGAGGCATGTATATCTGCCTTGTTTCTTTTTCTGTGCAATCAGCTTCTCCAGGGCAGGAAGTGGGTATTCTTTCTTTCTTTGTCACAACCCTAAGACACGATTAAAAGCATACAGAAATGTCTTAGATACTTGTAAACAAACTGTATTTTGCTTTATGGCTACAACCATGTTTTGACTTTTGGAGCTTCTGTCTATGCTCCTCTTTCTTCCACAACTATGGTTAATAGGTATATTTATTGAGTGTTAATAATTCTGATTTAATCATGTAAATAATCTTATGTAATTCAGAAAATGCATTATTCTCAAAAGAAGATACTGAAGCCTAGAAAGACTAAGTAACTTATTCCCCAAAATGTACTTATTTCCCCAAAGTTACTCATGGCAGAGGACTCACTTGTCTTTACTCCTGCCTACTTGACCAAACTTTACCATATTACATCCAGTGTATATTATTATTTTATTACTCTTTTATAATAACTTTTCTGTGAACTCAGTTATAATACCCCATGTTTGAAATAAGCAATAATCACAAAAATTAAAAAGAAATTAACTACTTTGAAAATTAGGAGTATAAACGGTATATCCTTTTATTAAATAACTTTTGGTATTTGTTGTAACTTCTTTCTTTGTATTTATAAAGTTAAATTTGTGCATTGCTGATTTCTTTTGGTCTTTAATGTTGGTACCCAACATAATTTACTAGAATATTTTTATTAATTTGAAGACAAACCAAAGTTAAATAACACAGGAGATAGAAAAGAGTACAATATTCATGTCCTAAGACAGCTTCAAGACATCTTTGTTCATTTAGCTGTTTCCAAACTACAGTCCTATGTACTGAAGGAATTTTGGTAACAGTTAAGGTAAATTTTAAGCAAGTCATTATTTCAGTTTTATAAAAACCTCAATACATTAACTAAACATTACTCAGAAAAGGGCTTCATATAAGGGACATTATGTTAAGTGAAATTAGCCAGGAAATATAAAGGACAAGGATTGCATGTTTTTATTCATACGTGAGAAATAACAAAGTTGATCTCATGGACGTAGAGAATAGAATGACGGATTATTATAGGCTGTGAAAGATATTGAGCGAACAAATAAGTAAGTTAGTTAATGGGTAAAAAATACAGTTAGAAGGAATGAGTCCTAAAGTTTGATTGTATAGGAGGGAGAATATAGGTATGAATAATTTATTATGGATTTCAAAATAACTAGAAGTTTGGATGTGGAAAGCTGTTTAAACAATTATGTCATGTATGTCTGAAATTACTAATACAGAAATTACCAATAGGGCATTTAAAAATTTGGTCATTACTCATTGTGTGCATGTATAAAAATAATAGTTCTACTTTGTAAATATGTAAAATTATAATTCATCAATTTGAAAAACAATAAATTGTGGTCTATTTAAATAAGAAATTTCACTAAATCTGGCCATTTCTGAATGGTAAAATGCTCCTTCTGTCTACACATTGGGCTTTTGTGATCCAAATTCTGATTTAGAAGTACTTTCAACATGTTCTCGGGCAGACTGAGGCCATGGCAGAAAGCCCACACATGCCCCTCTTCATCATTAGCTGGAAATTGTGATCCAGGGCACTCCTGGATGCCATGAAACAACAGCTGCCATTGGAAAGATAATTACTAGCTTGTCTTGCCTTGGTGTTGAGACTGCTTCTTTGACTGAAGACCATAAAATAATTACAAAACTTGCAACACCTATAATGTGTTGGGGAAATTAAGGAAATAATCTAATGAGGAAGTGCTCAGAAGGCTTCCAAAATATCATAAAAGATGGCTTTATAGAGTAAAATGTTACCAGGGAAGTACAAGGAGATGCTCATCCTGTTCAACAGCAAGTAGTCTGGTATTTTCTAGCATCAAGTTTGGAAACACCTCAGGAATTACCGGATCTCACTCTTACATGGGCAATGCCCTTTGAAGAGCTCCTGATTAACAACAACATGCCTGGTTGACGAATGGCAGTTTCAAGGTGGATGAACAATGTCTTCTTGGCAGACTTTCATAGAGACCAGAAATGAACGGACAAACCTAAGATGGAATGAGCAAATTAGCTCAATGATTAAACTGCATGCTGTTTTTTTAAATGAAGCAATAAAAACATTAAATCATTATTTTATAAAGGCAAATATTTGAATTCATGGGTAGTAAATAGTCATTAATGTTCTGGTCATGTGATCAATAGAAAACTGGACTTTCAAGCAGATACCAGTATGTGACATATGGACTTTCCATGGGCTGAGTCACATCCTGACATCTGCTTAATAGTAATAATTTAAGGGGTCCATTAAAGAAGGACATGTTGATTTCCATTTGAAGAATCCTCTCCAGGATGATTGGGAGGTGATTAGAACCAGGACAACATGATGCATTCACTTGAGGTGGCAAACTTGTAGAGATGCAGCAGTAATGCAGAGCTAGGATTAATCTACACATATTTCTCTTACACTCTCTAAGGAATAGAAATTCCAAAATCTAAGTCTAGGCCAGAAGAGAAATGTAGACTGCAAATAACAATAGGCCAAATAGGAAGGGCCATAACATAGTTGGATTACAATGTACCAATATCAGTAGCCCTGATGGTATATTTATAGGTCTTGACTAACGTAGACTGCATTTTGCATTCATAGTGGTCGATGCTACTGCTTATGTACTATAAAAAGATAAAAACATAGTATATTCTAACCAATTTGAACAAACAAATTGCTGTTCCTCAAGCTATGCAACACACTTCATATCCTATTGTTTCCAACAATGGGCATTGAGATATTACATCAAATAAAAAATTACATGTATTATTTAAAATCAGAAGGCACTTATATCTTCAGTAAACCCTACATCTAACAACAAAAGCTTTAAAATAATATAGAAATAAACTAGAAGACTTACTGCTTTCAAGGAAAATTGTCACTGGCTAGCAAAGCTGTCAGAAATCTTGGCGCAATGGTACTTCAAGGTACTGTGGATTCTGATAATATGCACTTCACTGGGGTTAGATGAAACCAAATTTTAGAAGCATCACTTAATACATTCTACCACAAAAGTGCCCCAACACAAAAACATAATCTACTATGCTCCACACATTGTGACATATGAAAATTGTGCATATTGATTTTAATATTTTATAATTTCTATTAAAAATATGTCCAGATTCTTTATCTCAACAAGAAATTAAACTATCAAAGATTAAATGTGAAGAACGTTTTAGAATTAAAATATGCTTGTTTTTTACATTTTCCCGTTTTCTATTTTTTCTGGTGATAAAAAATAAGGTTTCTGAGCAATACAGCTGCTATTCTGGGCAACTACTGTGATTTAGGTAATTCCATCCCTTGGCTACATGAACTTGATGAGAAGTCATGCTAAATGTTACAGCACAAGACAAGCTTTAAATGATTAACCTGGCTGGGTGCAATGACTCACCACCTGTAATCTCAGCACTTTGAGAGACCAAGGTGGGTGGATTGTGAGTCCAGGAGATCTAGAACTATCTGACTAACACAGAGAAGCACTGTCTCTACCAGAAATACAAAATTAGCCAGATGCATGCCTGTAATCCCGGATACTTTGGAGGATGAGGCAGGAGAATCGGTTGACCTCAGGGGGTGGAAGTTGTAGTGAGCCAAGATCACAACCATTGCACTCCAGCCCAGGCAACAGGAGTGAAACTCCATTAAAAGAACAAATGAAAGAAAAGAAGAAAGAGAGAAAGAAAGGAAAGAAAGGAAGAAAGGAAGGAAGGAAGGAAGGAAGGAAGGAAGGAAGAAGGAAGGAAGGAAGGAAGGAAGGAAGGAAGGAAGGAAGGAAGGAAGGAAGGAAGGAAAAGAAATGGAAAGGGAAGGGAAGAAAAGAGAAAAGAGGGAAGAAAAGAGAAAACTGCATTACTCACATTGTGGCTAATCTTCCCAAAATATTGTAACACAAATATTTGTTTTAACTTAGCATTGCTCATACATTGATTTTATTTACATTTTTGTTCAGTACTTTTTGTAGTAAATTTTGTATTAAAGCTGGTAAAATTGTTAAGTTTTACTGCCACTGGATTTTGAGAAAGACTAAATAAATTGCTTTATGCTTCTATTGAAATATTGCACATTTTTATGAACTAAGACAAGGTAGTACCTAATTACAAAGAAAATATCACAAGGGTAAAATAAAAGATGACCCCACTTAAACTATTCTTCTTCTGATCGTCTTGCCAAAGCTGTCCTAGAATTTTTTTTTTAGTTTGCAGTCACAGCTGATACGTTACAAAATATGTAATAAAATAATAATTGAAGACCATATAAGTAAATCATCAAAATGAGTTTTGAAAAATTATTATTATTATTATTTAACCTGTTGATACATAGAGCCTGTTGAATGAGGATATAATGGAGTATCTTCTGTTGGAGAGGTCTTATGCCCATCTAAAGCATCGTGGTCAACTGGCTCCAAATTCTAAATATTTAAAAAGATTGAAAATTTGATTATAAAAGTAACTTTATACCTTATATTTTATTTTCTTCATTAGAATAAACTTTTAAGAAATACAAGAAAGCTGACATCTATAACATGTTTACACTTCCTCAAATGATTTATAATTTAGGGAAAAAATCTGAATTATTTTAGCTACATAATTTTCAGGCCATTTCACACAAGTTGCTTCCAAAAGGAAACTACTTTTTAAGAACAAACAAACCAATGCTAATCATTTCACAAAGTAAATATTTTTAAGGGCAATATTAATACATAAACATTGGCTTATGCATTTAAAAATTACCTCTGTTTTTCCCAGATTTATCTGCGGCCTTTTGGGGGCTTCCCCCAGCCACCTCATCTAGACAAAGTTCTCAAGCATTTGCGAGTGTCATCCTAGCACTATTTGATGTTTCTAAGAAATAACCATTTGATGTTGTATTGTTTTGTACTGGAGGACACCAATTTTTGTAGGCATATTGAATTGTTTCCAGTATGTGGTTTCCTTTCAATTTTCTATATCCACTAAATGACTCAATTTTATTTTCTCTCTCTTTTTTTTCCCATGTGAAAGCACAAACACAGTCCTTCACTTCCACCAATTATGCATTTGAGTGTCCCACATTTGGGGAAATCTCACGGGTCAGCACATCTAGAGTGCAACATATCGGCCTTTCCCTGGGAAAGCCACCTTCATGATCACGGTATCTCCCCTGGCAGGGAAGTATCCATTTTCTTTTTAAGACTTCCATTAGCCTTTGAAAGAAAATACAAATAGAAATGTAATAGAATTTAGAATAATTTTCAGTATCAGCTTAAAATGTTAATTTCAATCATCCATGATTATTCTCTTCTAAAAAAGTTCTTAATTCTGACACAGGCTTCTACAAAATTGTAAGAAAAAACACTACGGTAAACAATGAAATAACTGCTAAACTACCACACATTTTATGCACTGATATGCTCATTTTTGATAGTGACTCTTAGAGCATTCTATTGTATCTAACAGCCATTCTCGGTCTTCTGGAATTTTATCGTGTGCACTATGAGCTTTAAAAATAAGCAGATGAAAATAATTGATAATATGTAGTAGTAGCTAATGTTTTACTGTCTAATATGTGCCATTCAGAACAAGTTTTTGAGGTAATCTAATTAATATCAGAGTTAGTTTCCTTAGAGGGTAGCATTAGTAAATCCACAAATAAAAAATCAATTACAGTTAGGTCAAATACTTTGCCAATTATTACAGATTTAGCCAGTTGAGGAGCTAGCTAGCAATCTGACCCAAACATCTGACCTCTTGGTGTATTGCCAATTTAAAATGTTTTGGCTAAATATACTATCCATGCATTACTACTAGCGAATTAAAAACTGTAATGCTATATTACTTTTCATGGTTCTATTTTTTGTTCTATACTTAGGATTATGCTCCATGGCCCAGGCTGGACTACAGTGACAAGATGATAGCTCATAACTCAATGAGGCCTCACATCCAGGGTTCAAGGAATACTCCTGCCTCAGCATTCTACCTAGTTGGGATTAGAGAAATGCACCACCATGTCCCACTCGCCTCATTACTTTTACTAAATATGAGTAGCATTTTATGACTACCTTTTTAAAGAAAAAACAAAACTTACTTGGTGTTCACTCATTTTTCAGAGACAACATTTTAGAATGTAAAGCAAGAATCTCATGATAATAAAACAGCAATATTAATTGGCAGTACAAAATTGATTTCAATTCTGATAGTAAATGAACACACACGATGGGTAAAGCAATTTTCAATGGCAACAATAAAATTTTCCTGATTTGCTAATGATCAGTCATTTTCTTTCAGAGCTGGCTAAATTGCAACATATTTACATTGCCAACTTTTTACTGTTCTTAGGAGTCAATATTAAAAATCACAAAAAAAGACTTCTGTCTTTTTTGTCATTACCATGACAGATAAATAAAATAGTTTGTTTCTCTCTACCATGTATCTTACTTAATAAAATGATATTAGATTCCAAGTCAGAGGCCAGGTTTTTTTTCTTTTTGCCATAGGAACATTTATAATATAAATTTCTTTTGAAAAAGGTAATTTTTATAATCTAATTTCAGGTAAAGAATAACATGGAGAGGCTTCTTGTAACACTTAAACAGTACACATTTCATTATCTTATTCTCTTAAAAATTATAATAAAGTAAAAATCATGTCATTTGCCACATTATTAATAGCATCAAAAGTTTTCATGTGAAATTTGGATTAATATTGTATTTGCCTATATTGTTATCTGCTGCCTTGAACAGTGTTGATCTCAGTTGAACACTGCCTATTGAATAGACTAAATGTTCATCAGAAAAAAAGATTCCAAGCTTATCTTAATAAGGAGAATAATAAATTTATACATGAAACCCACATTAATCCACATCAACTATTTTCCACATTAACCCAACATGTATACCTTTACTGTAATCACCTCCTTGGATGAGATGAGGCTAAGATGTGATTTAGCCTTACTTTAGAGCAAATACAAGAAGTTACATAGTAAACAATATATGACTACAAACAATTTTTTAAATGGTATAAATTAATTTCCATTGATAGGAACTCAATGTCATTCATACAACATTAATTATCTGCTTGAAATCTATGATGGTGGACCAAAGAACAATTAGAAAATTTTAATTGCTAAAATCTAATATTTCAGTTGTTTAAATTTAAAATTATCTTATGCCTTTAATTATTTTGTTCTACAGCTTCATAGTAACTTTATTTTATTATCAGGCTTTCATTGTGCTTATTATAATGTCTATTGAGTGAAAACGGTGTGTTTGTGTGTAGGTGTGTGTGTATAGAGTTTCCAGATATATAGTATGATTGTCTCTAGAATCCTATAACAATAACACTTTGAATCTCCTGGCAGAGTTGGGAAACTAATTTTGGTGCAATTCTTAGGCTTATTTTACTGCAGATGACACAACTAAGAATTCTAGAAGAATGCTCAAGATCTGTGTTTAGCATAAACATAGTTCTTTAAAATTATCATTTTTCTCAAAACCAGTCTGGCCACAATTGTGAAACCCCATCTCTTCTAAAAATACAAAAATTAGCCAGTCATGGTGTCAGGCACTTGTAATCCCAGCTACTCAGGAGGCTGATGCAGAGAATTGCTTGAACCCAGGAGGCAGAGGTTTCAGTGAGCCGAGATTCCGCTCCTGCACTCCTGCCTGGGTGAGAGTGAGAATTCCTCTTACACACACATGCACACACACCCACAAATAATAGTAATAATAAATAAAAAAGAAAAACTCTTCTCTTACATACTGATTAAACTAACTACTTAGAGGCTACGGACTGCTTTTGGATAACTTAATGTTGTCTGCCATGATAACATCAACTTTTTAAAAAAAGTTTCCATTCTAGTACATTACTTTCTATGACTGTTTTTCATTGTTACTTCTGTAGTAACACATGTATGCTTTTAGATGATTCCAAATTCTGGACATTTGTATCCATTGCAATTTTTTATTTGGTGTCCCGTATGTTTCTAAAAGGCAATCTGCTCAAACAGGTTCACTTTTTTCTATCAGTAAATTGCATTACTATTCTCTCAGCTTATCAAATCACACCCAGGACAGAGGTGTTAACATCTCTTTCCTACTCCACTTTCTCAAATATCCAGTTGGTAACCCCTGCCTATTCTAACTCATTAAGAGCTCATACATCTGTCCACACATATGTTCTACATTGCCAGCTTTTCTAATGTAGAGCACCCACAGTCTTTTTCTACAGATAATTTTGAATACTTCCTTACTGTGGTATATTGTGAAATTTTCTATGCTATAGCCAGTGAGATGTTACTAATATATGCCTTTTTTTATCCTCTGATGGTTTATCAAGTCACACTGAATATCTCACATAATTGCTAAAAAGCCAAGTTATGTCAATACTAAGTCTGTACCCACTGTCTACTTAAAAAAATCAACTTAACAAAGCAACCCTTTTCAACTGCAAGATGCTTTCTACTCTCCAAATCTAAGTCACATATGCCCTATAATAGGCAGAAGATCACCCTGTATTGTATTTTTTTTGTTGTTCATTATGATGTTTTGTATCCAACCTGGGCTGTTATTCTGTACTGTGTTTTCAAAATCATAATTAAGACAGATTCAAAATACTTTATCTGAAATTCAAAAAGCTCAATTAAGCAAGACTTTTTAAAAATGAGATTGGTATGTAACTCAATTTCTGATGTAATAAAGCCTTAATTGAGGGAAGCTGTTTCAGTCTGCATTCATGTAACATTCAGGCTTAAAGGGAATATCCATTTCTCTTCATAGAAATATTAATATGTTTGATTCTTGAGTATTTTCGGGGGCCTTACAGGGAATGGTACACAAAATGATGCAAATGTGTTGACTCAGTTTTCTCAAACGCAAGAATTCCTAAAACCTAAAACACAGTGCCTAAATGCCTTAAGATGTATAAATATATACTGAACCTTGGCAATTAAAATTAAACTTAGGTTATATCATAAACCAACCATGTGTCATGTATGAGCAACTAAAATCTCAAGTTAAATTGTGCAAAACAAAATTTTTGTGAATTCTTAGGTTTGATACTTTTACATTTAAAATAAATATGGTATTTATGTTTGTATAATATATGCTCCTACTCTACTAAAATTATCCCAACATCTCAGATGTAGTCAGGCTAGGCTGAGAAAAAGAAAGCACAGGGGTGGTCAGAGCAGGAAGAGTAAAGGGTAAAATTTATTTTCTCCCAAAGGTATATATTAATAATACAAATAACACTTTCATTACAGGAATGTGTGGCCATAGAACTTAGTTTTAGATAGTAAATTATTTGTGATTTTACCAAGTTCCTTAAAATGATCTGTTAATTGTCTGAGTCAATCATTCATATAAATGTGACTTCTAGCTCATCTTGCTGTTGAATGTTAGAGATAAGGCAGATGCATTCTAACCAACTCACACGTATACACAAAATCAACATGGACATGGAGAAGAGAATTAGTGTTTGTAGCAGTGTATTACTTACTAATAAAATTCAATGAATGGATATGGCTGTGTGATTAGTTGATGGGAGATGGGACAAATCCACTCATGGAGGAATATATTTTCTCAATAATGGCATCTTACATTTATAAACTGTAATGGTTTTCTGAAAATGTTTCTTTGATTTACATATGTAAATTAGAGAGCTAATAAAAGAGATGACCAAGACTTAAATTATAATTAAAATAAGAAACTTGACTACTATAGAATTTACACTTGGATTTTTTTTCCTGGAAAAATCAGATACTACTTTTTATATGTATATGAGTTTTATGCAATTAGCATTGTATTCTTGGTGAAACAAAATGATCTCCTAAAACAATAATGTTAGATATGAAAGATTAGAATCTATCATATTTTCAATGCATTCTTATTTAATTTACTTCTTCATTCTTTTCAAAATGACTTCACCTTTTTTATTTTCATTCCACATATCATTAGAATTATTCTCACTAGCAATTTCTCCATGATTTACACGCCATTAATGAACTTCTACCACCATATATCATGTTTCACAGCCCCAGGAGGAGGGAGGGCCAACAGTGGCACAAGAGTTGCTTCTTACAGTCTGTCACACATCCTGCTAAATTTAAGCTCTCCACGAATAAAAAGCCTTTCCATAGCCAGAGTTCAGCTTTAAGAAAAAGGCTAACTACTGAACTTGGAGAAAAGACAAATCTGCATTTGATAACTGATTTAACAAATATAATGTGTGTGTAGAGGATACAAAATTACAGTTCCACTACTGGGATAGTTACTATTTGTGTTACTTTCTTCACCCTTGTGGAAAGTCTACTAGTTGAAGTTAAACCATTCCTTTTTCACACAAGACACAAGCTAACCTTATCACTCTCAGAGGAAATACTAAGAAGGGTTGTACTTTGTCAGAGGGTAAATCAAGACATCTTTATTATGCCATGTGTTTACTTAGTGTCTCCTCTATTACTGAACATTGTTTAGTGATTTGCTCTCAAGGATTTTTGTGTTTGTTTCAAAAAAAATCCTTGCTACAATGATCAGACTTGATAAAGCAAATTGTGGTCTCTTGTGGATGTTCACATTCTGTGCAGTCGGTAACTATCTGATTCTAAGGAAGCTAACCGAAGCTTGGACTGAATGTGGATGAGACCCGCCACTGGGGAGTGATGGAGGTATGAAAAGACATGCTGGATGAGGGGAGGTGGCTCTCATATAGGGAGCAGAGTTTTGAAAACTTACATCAAAACATTTCTCTTCCTGGCCCCACCCAATATTGCCATCTGGAAACATTTGATAAAAATCACAATAGAAAATGGCAGGAGAACAAAGCAGGTGGTGAGCGTGGCAGCAGGATCAGTCAGAAGCAGCTGCAGAGCCACCCTGGACAGAAGAACCATAGATGATGCCCCACAGTTTGAAGGAAGTGTGGTTCCCAGTGGTACAGATGTTGCTCCATACAGTCTTTCATATATCCAGCTAGATGCAAGCAAAGAATGGAAAACTTTTCCATAGAGAGAGTTCAGTTTATAAAAAAAAGGCTAACTGCAGAAGTTGAAGAATAGAAAAATGTGCATTTGATAACTTATGTAACAATTACAATGTGCAGAGTAGAAGATACAAAATTACAATTCCATTACAATTAAATAAATATTTCTGTTAACTTTCATCCTTGGGGAAAGTTTCCTAGTTGAAGATAAAACATTCCTACTGTTTCTTATCTTAGAACAAAACTATTTAGGTTTCTGTACAAACCTAAGTTTTCACTTCTATATTAAGACACCACCATGTAAATTTTATTGCAATAAACATGTCATGCTGAGTAGTAAATTTATAAGTAGAGAAATGCCCCAGTGTGTTACCGAGTGAAAGGTGGTGTCTGGACAGTCAGCGCTTTCTGGAACTCTGGACTGACAAGCAGGAAGTGTTGAAGTGACTGAAAAGTTAAAGATCACAAGTACAGCATGAAGAAGACAGAGATTGGCAGTATCTACATCCATGCCAAAGGAAGTATCCTAGGAAATTTCGGCTATAACAAGAGAATGAAACTCCATATGCACATTTCTTCTGGATCACTTTTGGAGCACTAAAGCAGATAACAAACTTAGTGCTAATGCACATGTGCTAAGGGGAGCCTGATTTTAAGACTGATTTAATTTCTTTCCTTTTATGTTAAAGAGCCTTCAGGGGAAATTGCCTACTAGATCCAAGCTTTGCCAGCTTATTTTTCCTCATGATCAGCTCCTATCTATCAGCTGACAGTCCTACCCATGTGCCCCAGTGCTCTCCTTCACCGCTTCACGCCTGAAATACTGTTCTCTGCAGGCAACATCGGAAGTCCCACTTAACGCTCCACTTTCCTTCCAGCTCCTTCAAATAATTGGCCATACATGAAATTTGGCACTAAACTTTACTAATATACACACAGGATGTGGATTACTAGTTCCTACCTCATCTTCATTAGCCTGGAGGAAAGGTTATTTTTGGAGTGCCACTGTTGTGCAGCTGGGCCATGTCTTCCTGCTGTCACTCACCCCGCTGCTCTTGGTTGGATTTCATCACAATACTCAGGATTATATGCTCATTAAGGGAAGGAACAACCATAGTAAAAAATACTGAAATTACTCCCAGATTTCTAGATGGGTCTTACCTTTTTCTGCACCCATAGCTCTGGGATTTAGTTTGTTTTAATATGAGGGCTGTATAACAGGTTAAGACATCATACTAGTTTGGACACTACCGATAGGGGAAATGGAACAAAAACAGCTGTGGTTGGCGGCACTTTAAAAATGAATATTAAACTACCACAATCTTGAACAAATATCTTTATTGTAAAAATCAAATAAGTGTGGTAAAAATGATGGTAGCTATTTCACACAAGGACACAAGACAAAAGCTTAGAATTACTTGCTTAAAGTTAATTCAGAATGGAACAAAATTGTTCAAGTGCTTAGCATTAGAAAAGGTTTTATAACCTGCTTTTCAGTGGACATTACCTATTTTACAGTAAGATCTTAGTATGGGAACAAAGAGATGATTCCCAGCCTCCTGTGGTATATCATCTCAGCCTCCCAAAATGCTGAGATTAGAGGCATGAGCCACCATGCCCAGGACAATTCCAAACTGTTTACAAAAGTTCTGTGACTTCCTCCACCTTGCCTTACCCACAAAACAAGCATTACTAAGAATTCCAATATATAATACAAATAAAGCAACTGCCATGACCAAAGTACTACATTGATATGTGTATGCATCAATGGTCTGTTCAATTTTTTTACTGCTCTAACAGAGAACTTTGATGCATCTAAAAGGATGAGTACAAATGTTAATGTAATCCTGGCTTTTCTTTGACAACTCTCCTAAAAACTGCCTTACAACTTTTTGCAAGTGTAAGTATCAACGGTATACTCTCTGAAGGAAAGGAAATAATCAGCTGGACCACTATACCTAGCCACTGTCAGAAGCATATATGCAACACTTAGCACTACACACGTGTTTCCTTGGCTTCTTGAGTACTGCTGTGTACACTGCCTATACATTTTTACAACATCTCTAAATGTATAAAAGAATTAATGTGAATGTATGTGCTATCGCATTTCATTTCCAACTGCAGAATATGTTAGTTTTAAATCTATCTACCACATCTTGACTCTGACATTTATTTTTGGATTGTTACATTAAAATCAACTACATGGGATAGTCACCGTGGCTCATGCCTGTAATCTGAGGGCTTTGGAAAGCAGAGGTGGGTAAATCACCCGAGGTCAGGAGTTCGAGACCAGTCTGGCTAACATGGTGAAACCCCGTCTCTACTAAAAATACAAAAACACATCACACATGGTGTTGGGGCCTGTAGTCCCAGCTACTCCAGGGACTGAGGCAGGAGAGTCACTTGAACCCCGGAGGAAAATGTTGCAGTGAGCCAGGATCATGCCATTGCACTCCATTCTGGACAACAGAGCGAGACTTCATAACAACAACAATAAAATCACAAATAAAAAAACAAACCAAATAAACAAGTGGCAACATTCTTCTTGAATGACTATTTGATCACAGAAAACTTAGTTCCTGCCAGGTCATGATCTCTATTAGTAGCACAGCAACTTATTTGAAAGTAGATGGAAACATTTCAGATTACATTTTTATTTACTTTTCTCTTATATAGGCTGCTTCCTTGCCCTCTTTAGGGTTCCCTAATAAAATCAACTTAGAGGGACACTTAGAGGGAAAAACATAAGTGTATGAACACTTAGAGGGAAAACATAAAACAATTTGCCTTCACAATATTCTACAAATAACTATTGTAAGTTGTTTTCTTAAATACCTATTCAACTGGCTGTGAAGACTTACTTGCTAAGGGAGTTGACAGAGATAGTTCTGATGAGAAAACGTGGTCTGAAAGGTAAGCTGTGCAGCCTAAGGGAGTTACTTCAAAAGGCCACTTTCCTGACAAAGATCAAATCTTTTTTTCTATCGTCAGATTTTTAAAATTATAGAACATGCCTTACTTTTATATGTAAACCATAAACATCAGTAAAGAAGTGATTTATTCCATCTTCTTGCCTTATGCCATGAAGCATAATAAGTCTCATATGTGACATAATTAAGGCAACATTTTTCTTAGAAATAAAAAAAAGCAACAAGTTCATTGACACAATATTCCTCAAATTAGTCACCGGCCATGTATTTGGGATGGAAGATTTGAATGCATTAATTGGGTTTAAAATTAGCTTACTTTTACCAGAAAGAGAACATAAGCATTCTAAGTGAAAAAATAACTACAAGATAAAGTAGCATCACCCTTGATATTTTTCAGATAAACTTTTTGGTGGGTGTGAGACTTAGTTTTAAAATTAGCTGTTCAACAAAATATTTTCTCCCCTAACAAAACAAAAGTAGTCCCATGAATGGAAACTTTTACATTCATACAAATTGTGAAGCATACAATCTCAGAGCCTGACATCTGTATTCCATCTTCTTCTAGTTCGTGAACCTGAACTTTAGTTAATTATCTTTACTAAAAAGGTAAAGTTATGTCCTGCAGTAATGAATGCTGACACAAACCACTTGCTGGAGTTGCCCCCACTTTTCAAGAACATGTTGTTCAAAAGCCACATGTTCTCTTCTGTGAGGTCCAGAGCAGCATGAGCTATGAGCTGGTGCAGATGACGATAGTCATAAGTGACTGTGTGCGCAACAACAGATTAACTTACCCACATGGAATGAAGAATGCCAACATTTCATTCTGTAAATTCTATAGACGGTTTTCTTGTGCAGAAAAAGAAAAGCTTGACTTTGCTTTGTTTGCTATTGTCAAGAGACATACAAGAGATCTGTTTTCTCATTATATGTAATTCTTTCTTTTAAAATACAGATTTAAAATGACACCTCAGTTATGGGTTGAAGCGTATTCTCTCCAAAATTCCTTTGTTGATGTCCCAAGTGAACAGTACCACAGAATGTGTCTTCATTTGGAAGGAGAGGTTACATGTAGACATGGTTATTTCACATGAGGTCATTTTATAATAGGGTGGGCCCCTAATAAAACCACTCATGTATTTAGAAAAAAGGATCTTTTGGAGATACATGCAGGGAGAGAAATGACACAGGGACGCTGGAGTTACACTGCTGCAAGCCAGGGAACTTCCAGAAGCTGGGAGGTTAACCAAAAAGATTCTTACCTTAAGACCTGCATAAGAAGCATGGCACCACTGACACCTTGATTTTAGACAGTGGCTCTCAGAAATGAGGCAATAAATTTCTGCTGTCCAAAGCCACTAAATTTTTGGTACTTTATTACAACAGCCACAGGAAACAGAGACAGCCTCCTTGTTGAGGAAGCTGTTCCCAATCCTGGGCTGGAGGAGGGTGACCCATTGTCCCAAAATGTCTCCGACATCTAAAGCATGCTTTACTTCACTCATGTTGTCACGACAAACCTAAGTGAATCTTTAGATAAATGGATGCTTTTGTGTCTCAATCAAGCAGTAGTTTCTTTTACAATGATGATCAATCCTGAAAGATTAGGAGCAAATTGTGAAAATGCCTTAACAAGGGAATGGTAGCAGGAGAAAGAATTATAATCAATGCATGCAACAAATTATTTTTATGTGTTCTCTTTTGTCCACCACCAG
Source organism: Homo sapiens (assembly GCF_000001405.40). Taxonomy (NCBI): domain Eukaryota; kingdom Metazoa; phylum Chordata; class Mammalia; order Primates; family Hominidae; genus Homo; species Homo sapiens. The sequence goes on from NC_000024.10 coordinate 17,799,609, forward strand.
GCCAGTGGAGTGCACAGAAACTATATTCATGTAGCTGCATCCCAGAAAGCAATACTGCTACAAGTACTCAAAACAATTTTTAATTAGTATTTTTCCCATAATATGAGAAAATAATGTCACAACAACACCTGGCACATAATCCTGTCTATCATATTTTGGTGAGAAGTCCTGAATAGTTGAAAAGTATCACACATTAAACATTATACATTGCAAGCAACTTACAATATGAATTCCTCAAAAGTCAGTAAAGCTGACTTGGGTACTTGAGAGAAATAGTGCAAATGTGCCAGGAATGTATTAGGAACATAAATTGGAAAGGACGGGGCTCTTTTCATGACAAAAATCTATAGGGCTATTTACTCTGAATGACAACATGTTCTCAAGCCAAGCCTGGTTTCTGGAAATATTCTTGACAAGAAAGTCAGGTGTCATCATCTCTGGTGTTGCTTTTGAGCTTCCTGTGCATGGCTAAGTGGTCACTGGGGAGGAAAGCATGCATGTATGACCAGCCAGGAAGTGCCACTAGGGGTCACTGGGGTCTTTTTAAATCCTGTAGGTCCTCATCAAAAACATGATTCACGGAAACTGTCTGAATTTTAATGGATGAAACCCAGTAGGTCTTGATGAAAAATGTGATTCATGAAAACTGCCTGAAAACTCATAGATGACATTTCAAGGCTGCAACTTGCTACAGGTGAACTAGGCTTTTAAGTGCTCAAGTAGCAGCAATTCATGGTAGATGACATAGTGAACTGAATATCATAGGCAAGTCAGAAGTCATGCTAGTCTGTGCTGAATTAAAGTATAAAAGAACAACTCCCAGGATATTCCTTGGCTGGCTTCTATCAGTCTCTGGGACTCCAGAGGAAGCCTCATTTAATTGTGTTGGATTTCATTAACCTCTTCTGTCCTGATCCTCCACTTCTAAAATCACACTACACTGTATTGTTACAATATAATAAAAATTCTTATGAAATTTAAGCTTCTACATGCACTTTGGATTCTGCCTTCCCAGCTGGCAAAAACTCCATTTCAAAAACTGGTTTATCATGGTGGCCAACAATTACAAAGTAGAAGCTCCTAGACATGGTCTTAAATATGTGGCTCCTGATGAAGTAAAAAATAGTACATATTTTTAGCAGTCAATATTGAAATTCAAAGATGACTAAGGGAAGTGTAAAATTCTTGTTTTGTTTTGCTTTCTAACTTAAACTTGGAAGATGCCAGTAAGCTTGTCACCATTTCCCGTGTACTAGTGAAGATGCATGACTTCCGGAATAAACAAATGATAAAACTGTGATATTTCTTGTAGAATACTATGTATTTCTGTTAGAAACTAGAAGACCTCTAACATAAAATCACAGATAACATTCTCATGATCTGCAAGTATGGCACATTCAGCTCAAAGGACCCTGAGTGTCTGGTGGAGTAATCTAGGCTTCACTTGGTCTGGAGCAGTTAGCGCCAGCACTGACACTTAGAAGATTTAACAGAGGTAGACAGTAAGTTAAGAACCATAGACAGTGGTGAGAAGACCAAGGAATTAATTAGCTTGCCTTAGAAATGTACATAAGATATCCATTGGGGGAAGCTAAAACCAAGTCTCCCTCATGTCACTTAGAAAAGAGAAGCAATGCAGCACTTTGTGCTCTATTTTTCTTCTTTCTACCTGAAGTATGTGTGCTATAAATATACGTCCTTGCAAATAAAAGAGACTACGATATGCCTCTTGACACAACAATTTATAAGAAAGGAAGTTTTGTATGCTATAAGACATGAAAGAAATATTCCATAAAGGAAGACATTTTGAGTTACTGAGAGATCTTACAACGAAGTTTAACAGATTGGGGCAGGTGTAATGGCTTATGCCTGCAATGCCAGCACTTTAGAGGGCTGAGGCAGGCAGCCTGCTTCAGCCCGGGAGTTTGAGACCAGCCAAGGCAAACAGCATGGAAGAAGAAATACTTCTCTACAAAAAATACATCTCTACGGAAACACTAAAACTTTCTGGGCGTGGTGGTGTGTGCCTGTAGTTTCAGCTACTTTGGAGGCTGACAGGAGAGAATTACCTGACACAGCAGTAAGCTGAAATATCCTGACTCGAAAACAAAACAGAACAAAACAAAACAAAACAACAACAACAACAAAAAACAACAAAAAACTTCAACAGATTCACAAAAGAAATGAACCTATGAGAAACTGGGGAAAAAACATGAGCAATGACATGGCTTCTGGCACAGATAATTAAAATACAGATGAATGACTGATGGGTGGGAGCATAGATGGATATATGCAATGGTAACCCCACTGTGTGTGTTTTTAACACAAGGGATTTGAAATCAAACGAAGCTAGGTTCCATCTAACTCTGCTACATACTTGCAATGTGACCAGAGGGAAACTTAATCTACTGTTGGTCGTCTCCTTTATATGGTAATTTTGTATCACTTCATGGTAAAGTACCCAGCACAATGTCTGACGCACAGGACGTGCTTAATTAATATTATATAGAATAACATGGAAAGGCCAAATGCACACTGAGATGTGGGGGATTATAGCCTTGTCCACTTTCTCACTACCGTCTAAGCTGCTCTCACCCTTCAGTGGCAGAGTTAAGTATCTGCAACCAGGGTATCCCACAGAGCCAACAATATTCACTATCTGGTCTTCCAAAGACAACCTTTACTCCTGCTTTAGAAAAGAGGTGAAAAACAGATGAGATAGGAAAATTGGGTAACAAAGACAAGCAGGAATGATACAAAAGCCATGAAAACTGGCAATGATTCTCCAGAGAATGTGATGTGAGAAAGGATGGGCAGTAGAAAATTCAACAAAGTAAACAATGGTATCATGAATTATTGCTGGGCTAAATTTTAGAGCCAAAAGAAGCGGTTGTTACTTTCTTTAGTACAAACATTGAAGCAGCAGCAGCACCAAAAAAAGGCGGGGGCGGGAAATGTGTGTGTGTGATTTGGTGTGTGTGGTCTGCGTGTGGGTGTGTCAGTGTGTGTGTAAGGGAGATAACATGCATCCAATCCCCATATGAAAAGCCACAAATGTTAGAGCAGCATGGTGCTAACTCAGCAGGAGCACGGACAGAAGAGAACGCAAAGAAAAACTGCATGAGGGTGCTGTTACCAACTACACAGGTGGGCAGAAGACAAGACAGAGTTTACTTTATATACATTCCATGCTTATTGTGAGTTGCTAATTTTGTTTTCCTTTTGTAAACAGCTGAAGATGCAAGAAGGCTGTAATTTTTCATTCAATTTTGGCAAAGAAAACCTGACAGGTGAAGTGGAAGAATTGGAAACCCTGGGAGAAAATGGCCCCATTGCCCCAGGAAGGGAAGGTAAGAGCTGCAATCACTTAGCAAACACTTGAGGGTATTGGGCAAAGGTGAGACACACATTACTATTCTGCACTGTCCAATCTGTGGAACTTTCTCCACGGATGCAAATGTTTTACCTCTCTGCTGTCCAATATGAAAGCCAGTGAGTATTAGAAATATGGCTACTGTAATTATAGAATTGATTTTTAATTAAACAAGAATAGCCTCATGTGGGTGGTGGCTATGTAATAGACAGCACAGGTCTAGATCAAAGATTCCAAGCCAGTGGCATGATCTTGGCTCACTGCAAACTCCACCTCCCAGGTTCAGAAGATTTTCCTGCCTCAGCCTCCCGAGCAGCTGGCATTAAGGGTATGCACCATTATGCCAGGGTAAATTTTGTAATTTTAGTAGAGATAGGGTTTTGCCATATTGCCCAAGCTGGTCTTGAACTCCTGGCCTCAAGTGATCAGCAGACCTCAGCACTGCTGAGATTAGAGTCAGGAGATTGTAAAGTGCTGAGATTAGAGTCCCCAAAGTGCTGAGATTAGTCATGAGCCACCATGCCCAGCCTAATTTCAACTTTTTTATACAAAATTTCTGTGACATCCTCCACCTTCCCTTCACCAACAAAACAAGTATTATTTACTATTCCAATATATAATGCAAATAAAGCAACTGGCATGACTGACATACCTGAATTGGCATGAATGGTCTGCTTGATTATTCCATTGCTTTAAATAGGGACCTTTGAAGAATCTCCAAGGAAAACTTGTCCTAGAGGCCCTGAGGAGGTAGCTACATAGACTCAGACAATAGATTAAATTGGGAAACTGAGGACAAGAGGAGAATCTAGGATAGTTTCCAAATGTCTAGCTGAGGGGACAAAACAGAATATGACGTCATCTAAGATGCCCTCATCCAAATCTCTAAAACTTGTGAGTATGTGAGGGCTCATGGCAAAAAGAAATTACGGTTGTTCAGCAGCTGACCTTAAGATAGGAAGATTGCCCAGGATCATCCAGCTTGATCAATGCCATTACAATGGCCTTAAATGTAGACGATGGAAGCAAAAGAGGAAAGTCAGGGGGAAGTGACAGAAGAATGGAAAAGCAATGTGATGTAGATGGCTTAGAAAATGGAAGAAGGGGCTATAGCTAAGGAATGCAGGAGGCCCCTAGAAGCTAGAAAGTACAAGGAAGCAAATTATCCTCTAGAGCCTCCAAGAGGAGCACAGTTCTGCGCACACTTCGATCTTAGCCAAACAAGACCTGTATTGGACTCCTATATTACAGAAGTGTAAGATGATACACTTGTATTAAGCCACTAAATTTAAAATAATTTATTACGATGGCTATTGTTCCACCTCTGCTAGAGTTTTTTTTAATTAATTATTATTATACTTTAAGTTTTAGGGTACATGTGCACAATGTGGAGGTTTGTTACATATGTATACGTGTGCCCTGTTTGTGTGCTGCACCAATTAACTCGTCATTTAGCATTAGGTATATCTCCTAATGCTATCCCTCCCCACTCCCCGCACCCCGCAACAGTCCCCGGAGTGTGATGTTCCCATTCCTGTGTTCACGTGTTCTCATTGTTCAATTCCCACCTATGAGTGAGAACACGCGGTGTTTGGTTTTCTGTCCTTGCGATAGTTTGCTGATAATGATGGTTTCCAGTTTCATCCATGTCCCTACAAAGGACATGAACTCATCATTTTTTATGGCTGCATAGTATTCCATGGTGTATATGTGCCACATTTTCTTAATCTAGTCTATCATTGTTGGACATTTAGGTTGGTTCCAAGTCTTTGCTATTGTGAATAGTGCCACGATAAACATATGTGTACATGTGCCTTTATAGCAGCATGATTTATAATCTTTTGGGTGTATACCCAGTAATGGGATGGCTGGGTCAAATGGTATTTCTAGTTCAAGATCCCTGAGGAATCGCCACACTGACTTCCAAAATGGTTGAACTAGTTTACAGTCCCACCAACAGTGTAAAAGTGTTCCTATTTCTCCACATCCTCTCCAGCACCTGTTGTTTCCTAACATTTGAATGATCGCCATTCTAACTGGTGTGAGATGGTATCTCATGGTGGTTTTGATTTGCATTTCTCTGATGGCCAGTGATGATGAGCGTTTTTTCATGTGTTTTTTGGCTGCATAAATGTCTTCTTTTGAGAAGTGTCTGTTGATATCCTTCACCCACTTTTGGATGGGACTGTTTGTTTTTTTCCTTGTAAATTTATTTGAGTTCATTGTAGATTCTGGATATTAGCCCTCTGTCAGATGAGTGGGTTTCAAAAATTTTCTCCCATTCTGTAGGTTGCCTGTTCACTCTGATGGTAGTTTCTTTTGCTGTGCAGAAGCTCTTTAGTTTAATTAGATCCCATTTGTCAATTTTGGCTTTTGTTGCCATTGCTTTTGGTGTTTTAGACATGAAGTCCTTGCCCATGCCTATGTCCTGAATGGTTTTGCCTAGGTTTTCTTCTGGGGTTTTTACGGTTTTAGGTCTAACATTTAAGTCTTTAATCCATCTTGAATTAATTTTTGTCTAAAGTGTAAGGAAGGGATCCAGTTTCAGCTTTCTACATATGGCTAGCCACTTTTCCCAGCACCATTTATTAAATAAGGAATCCTTTCCCCATTGCTTTTGTCTGGTTTGTCAAAGATCAGATAGTTGTTGATACATGGCATTACTTCTGAGGGATCCGTTCTGTTCCATTGGTCTATATCTCTGTTTTTGTACCAGTACCATGCTGTTTTGATTACTGTAGGCTTGTAGTATAGTTTGAAGTCAGATAGTGTGATGCCTCCAGGTTTGTCCTTCTGGCTTAGGATTGACTTGGTGATGCGGGCTCTTTTTAGCTTCCGCATGAACTTTAAAGTAGTTTTTTTCCAATTCTGTGAAGAGTCATTGGTAGTTAGATGGGGATGGCATTGAATCTATAAATTACCTTGGGCTGTGTGGCCATTTTCACGATATTGATTCTTCCTACTCATGAGCACGGAATGTTCTTCCATTTGTATCCTCTTTTATTTTATTGAGCAGTGGTTTGTAGTTCTCCTTGAAGAGGCCCTTCACATCCCTTGTAAGTTGGATTCCTAGGTATTTTATTCTCTTTGAAGCAATTGTGAATGGGAGTTCACTCACGATTTGGCTGTCTGTTATTGGTGTATAAGAATGCTTGTAATTTTTGCATATTGATTTTGTGTCCTGAGACTTTGGTGAAGTTGCTTATCAGCTTGAGGAGATTTTGGGCTGAGACGATGGGGTTTTCTAAATATACAATCATGTCGTCTGCAAACAGGGACCATTTGACTTCGTCTTTTCCTAATTGAATACCCTTTATTTCCTTCTCCTGCCTAACTGCCCTGGCCAGAACTAATTGCCCTGGCCAGAATATTGGTCTTTTCACAAAGTCCCATATTTCTTGGAGGTTTTGTTCATTTCTTGTTATTCTTTTTTCTCTAAACTTCTCTTCTCGCTTCATTTCATTCATTTCGTCTTCCATCACTGATACCCTTTCTTCCAGTTGATCGCATCGGCTACTGAGTCTTCTGGATTCGTCACGTAGCTCTCGTGCCTTGGTTTTAGCTTCATCAGGTCCTTTAAGCACTTCTCTGCATTGGTTATTCTAGTTATCCATTCGTCTAATTTTTTTTCAAAGCTTTTAACTTCTTTTCCATTGGTTCGAATTTCCTCCTGTAGCTCGGAGGAGTTTGAATATCTGAAGCCTTCTTCTCGCAACTCACCAATGTTATTCTCTGTCCAGCTTTGTTCCATTGCTGGTGAGTAGCTGTGTTCCTTTGGAGGAGGAGAGGCACTCTGATTTTTAGGGTTTCCAGTTTTTCTGCTCTGTTTTATTCCCATCTTTGTGGTTTTATCTACCATTGGCCTTTGATGATGGTGATGTACAGATGGGTTTTTGGTGTGGATGTCCTTTCTGTTTGTTAGTTTTCCTTCTAACAGACAGGACCCTTAGCTGCAAGTCGGTTGGAGTTTGCTAGAGGTCCACTCCAGACCCTGTTTGCCTGGGTTTCAGCAGCCTTGGTTGCATAACAGAGGATATTGGTGAACTGCAAATGCTGCTGCCTGATCGTTCCTCTGGCAATTTTGTCTCAGAGGAGTACACGGCCGTGTGAGGCGTCAGTCCACCCCTACGTGGGGGTGCCTCCGAGTTAGGCTACTCGGGGGTCAGGGACCCACTTGAGGAGGCAGTCTGCCTGTTCTCAGATCTCAAGCTGCATGCTGGGAGAACCACCACTCTCTTCAAAGCTTTCAGGGAGGGACATTTAAATCTGCAGACGTTACTGCTGTCTTTTTGTTTGTCTGTGCCCTGCCCCCAGAGGTGGAGCCTTCAGAGGCAGGCAGTCCTCCTTGAGCTGTTGTGGTGGGCTCCACCCAGTTCGAGCTTCCCAGCAGCTTTGTTTACCTAATCAAACAACTAACTCCGCAATGGCGGGCGCCCCTCCCCCAGCGTCGCTGCCGCCTTGCAGTTTGATCTCGGACTGCTGTGCTAGCAATGAGCAAGACTCCATGGGCGTAGGACCCTCTGAGCCAGGTGTGGGATATAATCTTCTGGTGTGCCATTTTTTAAGCACATTGGAAAAGGGCAGTATTAGAGTGGGAGTGACCCGATTTTCCAGGTGCCGGCTGTCACCCCTTTCTTTGACTAGGAAAGGGAATTCCCTGACCCCTTGTGCTTCCCGGGTGAGGCGATGCCTTGCGATGCCTCGGGTCGTGCGTGGTGCTCTGCACCCACTGTCCTGCACCTACTGTCTGGCACTCCCCAGTGAGATGAAACTGGTACCTCAGTTGGAAATGCAGAAATCACCCGTCTTCTGCATCACTCATGCTGGGAGCTGTAGACCGGAGCTGTTCCTATTCAGCCATCTATCACCTCTGCTAGAGTTTTGTCATTTACTTTTTATCCCCCCAAATCCACGTTGACTGTATCCACTTCAGAACTACTATTATTTCTGTCCTCATGCCTAGAATGTTCTCCCTGATTCTGCCTGCAACCGCTACCTATTTTTAAAAATCCAACTAAGTTCTCCCCCTCCTCGATTATTTCCCACAAAAACCTACACGTTCTCCACATCCTAAGAAGTCCTGTCACTCATATTGCCTCTTGAAGTGTTCGTTTTTCACAGCCAGTGATCAAAACTCATTGTGCACTTCCTCAATGCTGTGTACAAAGCTGACACTGATCAAATTTTGTCCTCACAGGACTTGGATACTTTATCAGGCTTATTTTCCCAACCTACAACTCTGGACTCGGGTAGATTCCTCACTGCTCCCAAGAAGGTCCTGGATTTTTGTTTGTTTGTTTGTTTGTTTTTATTCCTTTGCTCACTTTTCCCCTCCCTGCAGTGCTCTTCTTTTAGCCCCCCCACCTAAATCCTATGCATCAAAGCCCTGAGGAGTTTACACTTTTTCTCAGAGATGATCTGGATCACTTCCATCTTCAACCACCTCTCCTTTAAACTCTTTACTCAGTTTATAATATTACCTTAGCTCTTGTTCAATTCTCTGGCCGTAACTTTTTCATTATTGCTTCTGAGAGGTTTGGCTCATTTTCTTTTTAGTTACATGTAAGCATTATGAGGTCAGTCTCACCTTTCCTCACAACACACAACGGTGGCTATTAAAAAAACATTTCACTCTGTGGATCTCAACCCTGAGCCATCTTGCTTCCAAGAGGACATCTGGCAATGTCTGGAGACATTTATGGTTGTCTCGCTTGGGGGAGAAGGTGCTATGGACAACATAGAGACCGAGGATACAGCTAAATCTACAATGCACAGGACAGCCTCCCAAAACAAAGAATCTGCTGGCTCCAAAAGGCAAAAGTGGCTCTATTATGAAACCCTGAGTCAGCTGAATGACCCTGTTAACTGTGAAAGCAAAGCCCCCAAGAGAGCAGACACTCGCAGGTGGAAGTGTGCTCAGTGCATGGATGAGCCTGTTGGGGCGTGGCAGATCTGATCTGGCTACCCTAGGGAGGAGTGGAGGTACAGCACCAGCCTGTGCTGTCATGTAGGGCCAGCAATGTCCCACAGGGTCTCAAAATGCCTGTTTCGACTCACTCCATCCCCCTACCTGCAGCCAGAGGTCAAGGAGGGAAAGGCATTCTCAGTCCCGCTGAGGAAACCTGCACTCCTGCGGCTTCAGCCCAGTTTGCGGGGGGCAGTTATTTGGATACCCTGGATATGCTCTGGCGAGATGTGGGCGGAGCTTCTGTTGGGTGCTAGGCAACCAAGTGCATGCCATGTATCTTCAGAACAGGAAGACTGTACTTTGTAGGTCTCCAGGAGGGGCAGGATGGGATATGAGGGCTGTAATCTCGCGGTCCTGCCTCATTACTTTTCATCCCTAGTGTTTGAGTCCCAGCCCTCCAGCCACCTTTGAGTTGTGCCTAGGTCACGGTCCTCGTCCATGCCTCAGAACGGCGAAGAGAGGAGGCTTGCATGTTTGATAGAAAACCTACTTGGGATTGTGAGAGTGAGAGTGTTCAGCACGCTTGTTCCTCACCTGGGACACAGGCAGGTTTTTGAGGACGGAGATTCCCCCTCATCTTGGACCTGCATCCTGTCCTGTGCACTCAACTCTGGCCATGGCGGGGCGAAGGAGGCGGCCTGGGAGGAAGCTGATGATGGGAGGAAGCTGGCGCCTACTGACTCAGGAATACACAACTGCCCCTCGTCGGGGACAGGTAGAAATGAAGTCTTGTTGATGTTCCATAATACCTCTTTCCCTGCTAGGCCACTCAGGGTGTCCCCAGAGACCAGTGATCTTTTTTCCTTCCTTCACCTTTCCTCTATCCCCCAGATAACCTGTAATCATTTTGTCTTCTAGTCCAACTTGCTCCTCATGTCTGACGTGTTGAGTCAAGATGAGCTGCGAGAAAAGCTACACCAAACGTTGAAGGATCGGGGTGTACTGGGCACACTCAAGTATCGGATTTAGGTTTATCTGTTCCATAACTTTTAAAAGTGTAACCTGTAACAAGTAGTTCACATTTAAATTCATCCAATGTTTGGGTTTCAAAACTCTACCCTGAAATATTACAGTCTCTTTGAATCCATTGAGAAAATGTTGCATTTGAATCGACTTTAAGGAGACTGTTCAAATAATTAATTGAACCCACAATAAGATAGGAGCAGAAAGCATTTATATAATGAACATGTTTTAGTAAGATTAGGCCTGTTTTATAAATCTGGCTTACAGGTTGCTAAACTGACAAGTGGGTTTGTAATAAATTAGGATGAGGAACATTAACACCATATAGAAAACACTAATGTGCTGTTTTAATAGTCTGGGAATGAACAGCTTCATCTTTAAACTATATTGATATGCCTGACTATTTAATTTGAGCAGCAAATATCTGTAGGTATGCTTTATGTTTGGATTAACAGCTAGGAATAACATTAACTCAACGTGTTTTCATTGCAATATGTATTTCAAAAGCATATTTTACATTCAAAATATTTAGATATATCTTGTATATATGTCCTTTTTAAATTTAAATTATATGGTGTGAGCATTTCTCTGTTTCCTTAAAAGTTTCTTGAAATCCTCATCTTTAGTGGTAACAGATTTATCTTTGGAAATTTTTGTAACACACGAGCAGTCCCTTGCTGAATATTTTGGTTATATTTTCCAACAGTCCACAGAGGTGCGAAGAAATGGCAGAATTTTTTCTTATACTTCATAGCCCAAGCGTAAGCTACTGAAATGGGCTTCTAGGGAGTGAAGTGAAGAGTCTGCAAATGGGTCTGGCTAATCATCAGTTTCACTTGGAAGCTGAGGAAATAAACATTTTTCTACAACACACTGGCCTTCTTGTCTCAGGGCATAAGACTTCTGCAGGGGAAGGTTCCTAACTTCTGGCCATGGATCTAGCAACATTATGGAAATAAAAGGAAGTTTTCCAATGAATATAACACATCTGTGTATATCTCTACTGAGAAAATCCCACTGAAGTTTTTTTTTTTTAACTTGTCTGACTTCCCTCCTTCCTTCCTTCTTTCCTTCCTTCTTTCTTTCCTTCCTTCTTTTCTTTCTTCCTTCCTTTCTTCCTTTCTCCTTTCCTCCCTTTCTCCCTCCCTCCCTTTATTTCTTCCTCCATTCTGTTTTTATTTTTTTCCTTTCTTTCTTCCTTCCTCCATGGCAAGACACAAATTCAAAACCAGCTAATCTATGAGTAGATGCACCCTGAATTGAATGGAACATTGCAATCTCCGTTCATTTCAGTGCAAGGGAACTCCCTCTTACTAGCAGCCTCTAACTCTTCAGTGGCCGATCACTAACAAAGATGTGGCTATGAGTCTTCACTTTCTGTTTTCTTTCCAGAAATTGGTTTAGCAAAAGAAAATGTAATGAATTTCCTTTTCTGTTTTGAACTTTTTATTAACAGTTTTTTCTTGGCAGACTCTAACATGCTGCATTATAGCTAACTGCTTTTAAACTAGTTCTGTTTCTCATTCCTCTTTGAATTTACATCGTACCTGCACATAATACATTTGCTATATAACAAGTGGGTACTAAATTTGGAATTAATTTCTTGGTATCCCATTTAGTCTTTTGTAAAATTGTGATCTACAATCTCTACAGCTTTAAGAGCTAAAACTGATTTATCTATTTTCCATGTTATTTAATAAGACTTTGCCAATCTGCTGAATGTTTGCTCTGAGCTTGGCACTGCGATAAACACATGACAGATGTTTAGCGTGTTACAGATGAGGAACCAGACTGTGGAGAGGTGAATCAAGTAACTTAAGTGATGTAATTCTTAAAAATCTGTAAAGTTTCCTAATAATAAAGACACTCTCATTTTATTTCTTAGTACATTTCTAATTATTTGAACTATATTTCTCCACCATTATTGTTGAACAGTCATCCCAGTTTATTACTTTAAAGGTAGATGCAGCAAAGTTTCCCTGTGAATATGTGTGTGTGTTGTTGGCGGGGTGGTGTTTGTAGACTTTGTTTTTTAGAGCAGTTTTTAGTTCACAGCCAGGTAGATGGAGAAGTACAAAGAGTTCCTATACACCCAGTGCTCCTACACATGCACAGTCTTTCCCACTGTCAACATCTTTCATCAAGGTGGTACATTTTCTGCAATTGATAAACCTACCTTGACATGTCATTATTCCCAGTCTATCGTTTACATTAAATTTCACTCTTGGTGGTGTGTGTATGTCTTTATTTTCTTTATGTTGTCATAGTTATCTAAAGATTTCATATTCCAAATTTTAAGGACACAAGAAGCTTGGTATTGTAATTATTTTCTTTGAGATGGAGTATCACTCTGTTGCTCAGGCTGGAGTGTAGTGGCATGATCTCGGGGTGCAAACTTTGCCTCCTGGGTTCAAGCAATTCTCCCACCTCAGCCGCTCAAGTAGCTGTAATTACAGGTGCTCACCCAAGTACCCAGCTAATTTTTGTATTTCTAGTAGAGGTGGGGTTTCACCATGTTGGCCAGGTTTGTCTTGAACTCCTGATCTCAAGTGATCCATTTGCCTCAGCCTCCAAAAGTGCAGGGATTACAAATGTGAGCCACAATGCCTGGGCTTAGTACAGTATTTGAATGAAAATTTTAAGCATGTTGAGTTTCCTCATAAGCAACCAAACTTTACTTATCGGTTTTATAAGTGTATTTATTTACCTATTTATTTTTTAGTAGTAGTGTCTCACTCTGTCACCAAGTCTGAAGGGCAGCGGTATAATCTCAGCTTACTGCAATAACTGTCTGCTGGGTTCAGGCAATTATACTACTGCAGCCTTTCAAGCGGCTGGGAGTACAGGCACACACCACCACATTCTGCTATTTTTTTTTTTTTTTTTTTTATAGATACTGGGTTTCTTATGGTGGGCAGTGTTGTTTTGAATTCTGAGCTCATGTCATCTGCCCGCTTAGCATGCCCAAGTGCTGTAATTACAACTGTGAGTCATTGTGCCTTGTCTGGAATTCATCTTTGATATATCTTTCTCTAATTTCATAATCACTCCATATTCTACTTATTGTGTAATTACCAGTTGTATAATTCTTATAACAGGAATTCATCCTGCTCAAACAACTTAATGGTTTCTCCTAATAGAAGATGCCAATGCTAAATGTTTTCTTTGAAGGAAATCCATTTGAAAACATATCAGTGTTCTCAGAGTAGACATAATTATTGATATATACTGTAGTAGAAACAGATATAAATAGCTGCCCAAAATGTCTGTTTGAGAGTATTTTAAGTGCATTTTAATCATGATTGTAAAGACAGTGAAAATTCAGTTTATTTAAATTTTAAACACTACTTTCAAAAAAATGTAATTGAATGACATTTGACGTAAAATACTTAGAGGTTAATTACATGATCAAGAAAGATATTTTATTATTTTGACCTCACTATGTTTTTGTAATGTATCTAACAGTGTAAGAAAGAGCTTCAATTTTGCTTTGTAATCTTATTTTTTTGAAGGATGTTTCTTAATCTCATATTCATAAATATATTATAATGTGTCATTTAAACACTGCTATAAGCATGTGTCTAAGTAGGAACTTTTAATTTTCTTAAGGTATTTACTATGCAGGATGGATTGCACTCAATAAAAATCACCGTACTTCAGGTTTCTAGAAATCACCGGTAAGATTACTTAGTTTCTGTAATCTACTTTGGTTTGTTAATTATAGCTGAATAGCATTATAAAGGGAAAATATGTTTTTAATAGGTCTCAGGATTTGATAAAGAAAACCAAAAATGTAGGAGTCTACGTATTTGTAAAGTATAGCAAGGTTTTTCTATGTAGTTTTCCTTATAAAAGAATGGAGCAAATTTTGAGGGAGAAGTGTAAGACATTTCATTTCATTTAAATTACATGTTTTCCCTTGCTCACCACATCTTAGTTTGTAAACAATAGTTCACCTGTTCTGCAGGTCATTATTCCCATATTTTCACTTTTGTAATAACTTTATATAGTCAAATAAGAAAACTTCAGACAGTATCAAGAGTCCTGCAGACACACTAAGAGATACTGTTTGTAAACATATCCGCTGTTGGCAAAATTTCTAAAAAAAAAAAAACATTCAAAAACCTGCCTTTTAGGCCAGGTGTCTTTGTATACTAGGTATGCCTCTCAAATACAATTGATAGAGTATTAAATGTATTAATATGTCATTAATGAATAGAATATGTGTTTGGTAAAGTGTAATATAACTTTTGTTCTTAAATGTTTACGCAGACCTGATTAATTGCCTTAATTTTGGCCTTCATACAAAAGATTTATAAAGTTTGTAACTACTGTGGGTTTCACACCATTTGTTAGACTTGATAATGGGCTTTGTAGCATGAACATAAGCTGGCAACTTGCCTTTTAATGCTTAGTTATCCCTTAGGTCTTTTAAAATAATCTGTGAATTAGTAATGGTCCTTTTGTGTTGTTACCCCCTTGGGATTTTGTCTGTTACATGCATTTCTATAATCCCCACAGAGACATTTATTCATTCATCCATTCATTCAGAACTTAATCATTTGAGTATATACTTTTGCCAGCCATTGGGGCTGTGTATTAATTTCCCAAGCTTCATTGTAATAATGTGAAGGAAGAAAGGAAGGCAGGAAAGAAGGAAGAAAGAAAGAAAATAAAAGAAACTGTGGTAGCAGTTCTCATAGTTCTCACACTGTGACACCACCTTTTAATTTTTATGTAGTGAGATTGATAAATATTTCTCCTTATTGCTTCCAGGTTTCATGTCATGCATGGGAAGGACTTTTTTCAGATTTACTCTTAAAAGCTATAACCAGACAAAGAGGCTCATTCCTGTGATTCCAGCACCTTGGGAGGCCCAGGTAGGAGGATCACCTGAGGCCACGAGTTTGAGATCAGCTTGGGCAGGCAGCATAGGAAGACCCTGTCTATACAAATAATAATATTAATAATAGTAATAATAATAATAATAAATAAATTAGCTCAGTGTGGTAGATGGTGGTAAATGCCCGAGCATTTTCAACATATAGAAAAGTTGAAACAATTGTAGTCAACATTTACATACCTACCACCTAGATTTCACGATTACATTTGTATTATACATACTTCATCATTTTTGTCTGTCCATCTATTCATCTATCTTGCTTTTTTTTTTTTTTTTTTTTTTTGTATTTCAAAGTAAATTGCAGACACCCATATTTTCCCCTAAGTATACTCTACTTTTGAGCTAGAAGTCTGGCCTCTTACACACCTGACCATGCTTCTGTGTCCTAATTTGACCTGTTACTTTTTAATAGCTGACAACCTTCAGCTTATTGGTGATCAACTGGCAGATGCTTATCCTAAGCATATAAAGTTTGAGTCTTTAGAAATAAAGCTAAATGAAGATAAGAGAGAAATAGAAAAGCAACTTCTGGCAGAAATGTGTCAAAAGGTAATCTTTATCTTGTTACAGTTAATAAGGCATGTTTTTGTTGGCCATCTAAAGATTTAATCTTAGATATACTAAAAAATACCTGGAATTTTTAATAAAAAATAGGGTACTTCACTGTTTTGCATATCAATTTTTTTCTGATGAGATTTGTTTATTCCTTTTGATTCAGTCCTACAAATACAGCAAATGGTATAAAATGATAGATTAAATAAATATAACACATTTGGACAGAACATTAATGTGGAGACTAGCTGTGGAGGGAGAATCTGTTACTGCACTTATATTATAATGATTGGAACTTTTATATTTGTAATCAATTCACAATTGAAGTTTTTTATGAAAGTTATAATAGAGTGTGAGAAGGAATTATCTATGTTCTGAAATGATTTTGAGAAAGCTTGTCAAGCGGAATCTGAAAACTTTATTCTTTGGAAAAAGAGTACCCTTGAGAGACATCAAAAGCACCAAGAGGTGGTATTTACAAATATTTTACTGGGTGGCTATTTCCTACAGCTGTTACTGGATTGACTCAAGGAATGAGATGTTACAATTGATGGAACAAGGTCCCAGAAGAGCAGTAGGGACTGTGGCCAAGACTGAAAATAAAAGAATGATGGGCCTTGAAAAGGATACAGATTTGCATCCTTTGAGTCTTCTGGAAATGCAAGATTTGCAGAGGTGATCAGCCAAGTTGGAATTATGAGAAACACACTCTAAAAAACTTCATCTTCTCAGGCAAATTAAGGAGATAGATGAAAGGTTTCAGGAGCAGCTTGGAGGTGCAGAGTAGCTCATGTGGGTAATGTATGAACAGCTCTTTACAGCAGAGCAGACTGATTACCTGTACTGAAGGCCCAGCTGTGGTGGGGGTAACCCTGGAAGTGAGAGAGACAAAACCACATGTTTGTAGGCAAGTTTTCTGTTCTACCTCTGGGGAGGAATTTTAAGGGTCTCTCTTGCTGTCCCTTTCAGTGAGGGTGGAAAGATGGAGATGCTTGGGAAGTGGAGATTTGCAGAACATAATTCAATGTCCTTGAGAAAGGCAGCCTATCTCATGAAGATTCCCTGGATCTCCTGTGTAGTGATGGTAAGCAGAGGAGAGGGCAGGTGGCTGGTAACCTAGGGGGAAAGGGAGGGTTGAGTGGTAGTTTCAG
This sequence comes from Homo sapiens, assembly GCF_000001405.40. Taxonomy (NCBI): domain Eukaryota; kingdom Metazoa; phylum Chordata; class Mammalia; order Primates; family Hominidae; genus Homo; species Homo sapiens. Next base: position 17,816,519 of record NC_000024.10, read on the forward strand.
TGATAAAGAACTAGATCTGGAGAGACTGGCAAGTGGAAGAATAAAGATGGTCCAGGAGTGCAGAACTGCAGAATGAGGTTTCAGGTAGAGAGTGGAAGTCAAAGGTACTGTGCTGCCATTGGATGGAGCCATGGAAATGAGCAAGAGTAAAGATCCCTGGAGTGAAGGAGTCACCAGGGCCCCAAGGGTCATCCATGTGGCCATTTGATCTCATCACCAGGAAAGTAACTTGAAAGGAGATGAAGGGGATGAGGAGTGGCAGGGAGTTTGTGTTGGCAAGTTGGGTTGGATCTACTCCTTTAAGAAATTGTATTCCTTTTCCATGTGAATGTCTTAGACCACACAGGATTCACAGCAGTATTTCAAACATACATCTAAAACTGCTGCTGCCAGATGTTAAAAGTAGGAAGTCTTCCCCCTAGTGCCCACTCTTGCTTGGAGCTTCTCAATGAGACATAGTTGTTTAATGCTAAGGGCACTCACTCTAAAATTTTCCATAGCATTTCTGGAAATTCAGCTTGCTTCAGTTATAAAATTGAATGTTGGATGCACAGATCTTAGAGATGATTAGATTGTGTTTAGACTAATAACTTCATCTTCAAGATAGGTGACTGACTAAGTTTCTGTTTATTCAACCGTGAATATCTGAAGCCTTTGAGGAAGATTGTCATTCTCATAAAAACCACCATGCCTGTATTTCCCCACCTGCAATATCAATCCTGTCTCTCTCTGATAAAACCATAGTGTCATTCAAGGCCCAGCTTTGGTGTCACCCCTGAGATGCCTTCCCTGACTCCCACTGAGCAACTCATTTAGGTCTTATTCCTGTCTGCAGTCTTTATTTACCTCAGTTATAAAATTATCCTATCTTAGCGTGATTGTTTCTCCCTGACTATACTGTGAGGTCTTCAGAGATGAGGACTACATCGGTCTACATTTTTATATCAAGTTCCTAGTATGCTGCTTGATATATGATAGAGAGTAAATTCTTACTCTGTGAAGACATAAGTGTAATGTTGGCTCATTCATTTATAAGTTCATGTGAGCTTACTAACTCTGAATCACAATGACTCATGAACATTTAGATGACTCAGAAACATTCAGGCAGCACCACCACTAAAATCCATGGGGATTTTATTCCTTTGGAGTTTTATTTCTGAATGTACATTTTGTTTATTTATTTTCCTGAAGAACTTCCCAAATTTTAGTTAAGGGGGCTAGGTCTGGTGGCTCGTGCTTATAGTTTTAGCACTTTGAGAGGCTGAGATGGGGATCTCATTTGAGCTCAGAGGTTCAACACCAGTCTGGGCAGCATGGCACCACCTCATCTCTAAAAAAAAATTAGGGGAACTCGGTGATGTGTGTTTGTAGTCTCAGCTACTCAGAAGACTGAGGTAGGATGATGCCTTGAGTCTGGGAGGCAGAGGTTGCATTTACCCAAAATCACAACACTGCACTCAAGCCTGAGCAACAGAGCAGAACCGAGTCTCAAAACAAAGATTACCTAAAATTACCTAAGGGACTGAGATATGTTAATTAAGTAGCATAGATTACACGGGGATGTTAACAATATATGGAAATGTACTTTAACAGAAATTGGGAGAGTAAATGTAAATACATGTGCCGCTGGAATAGCTAGTTGAGGAAGACATTGAATTGGATTTTTTTTTTTTTGAGATGCAGTTTTAATCTTTTGCCCAGGCTGGAGTGCAATGGTACTACCTCAACTCACTGAAACCTCTGCCTCCCAGGTTCAAGTGATTCTCCTACCTCAGCTTTCCAGTTAGCTGGGATTAAAGGTGCCGACCACCTTACCCAGTTAATTTTTGTAATTTTTGTAGAGATTGTGGTTTCACCATATTGGGAAAGGCTGGTCTCAAGCTTTTGACCTCAGGTGATCAGCCTGTTTTGGCCTCACAAAGGGCTAGGATTACAGCAGTGAATCACCATGCCCAGCTGAGTAGGAATCACTTGAAGGGGAAATTGTATTCTTAATTTCTGTACTTTGTTTTTTGGAATTTAGTTAGAAGTATATTTATTTCAATTTGTTCTGCTTCCATTAACTTTCTTGCTAAAACTTTTTTTTTTTTTTTTTTTTTTGAGAAATAGTCTTGCTCTGTCACCCAGGCTGGAGTACAGTGGTGTGATGTCGGCTCATTGCAAATTCTGCCTGTCAATTTCAAGCAATTTCCTGCCTCAACCTCCTGAGTAGCTGGAATTACAGGTGCCTGCCACCATGCCCAGGTAACTTTTGTATTTTCAGTAGAGATGGGGTTTTGCCACCTTGGCCGGTGTGATCTTCATCTCCTGACCTCGTGACCTATCTGCCTCTGCCTCAGTCTCCCAAAATGCTGGGATTACAAGCATGAGCCACAACAATCGGCCAAAATTAATGCTTTTTTACAGATTGAAACAAGAAAATCTATGCTCAAAGCCTTGTTTTACTAAAAGATATAGATTTGTTAAGAGGAAAAAAGGCAAAGCTAAAGCAGAGAGTTGAAGCTTTTGAATTATGCATATGCATGTTTATCTTGAATCTTCGGAATGATGAGATTAAAAAGAATTACTAAATATATGTCTAAATATTGTAATGTTTACTGACAAGTAGAATTATTTTTTATAAAGGTGATCTCACCCAGCATTAGAAGTTACACATTAACAGAAACAAATATTAGGTCTGTGCTTTTGAAATATTAAACGTTAACATGAAATGCTATCACTAGGCTACAGTAACACCAAATAGAAAATTTGGAGAAGCTGTATGACACTTGAACAGATCATACATTTTAAAGTTAACTTCAGACCTTCAGGTCTGATATTTTTGTGTGTTTATGTATTGTAGCCGAATTCCAAATATCCAGGCCTGAAGCTTTTACCTGCTCTGTGCTCAAAAAAGGAAGTATTGTGGTTTGACTTGTACTGGATGAAACTATTTCTCAATGCTATTCACTTTTTCTGTGTGCTCAGAAATGTTTCATCCTTCATATATTACCTGGGATTGACAGAAAGCTCACCTGTGTATAGTTTGCACAAGAAGTTTTCCTTTCCATTGGGAATATTCTGTTAATTGACACCCATAGATATTTTAGGCTTTTAGCTCATTAAAGAATTTGTCCCCATCTTATTTAACGTTGTTTTCTCACTTCTATAGGTTTGATTTTTTATTTCAGCCCACTGTGTATCTTACTCTCTTTTTGGCAGTAATGAAAAGGTAGATTAAACGAGAGAGAGAGAGAGAGACGAAAAAAAGAGAAACATTTGGGCAAGGAGTGTGTGTCACTTTTTTTAACCTCCATTTTCTCTACTCCTTTTCCCTTCTCTCAGCGTATATACACAATCAATGTAGTTTACCTCTCCATGGCGTTCCAGATTACCAGAAGAGGGAGCTAATACCTGGAGCTTTTAACTGCTCTTAGACTAGTTAGTGTTTTGCAGTGCTTCTCAGGATGGCTGGATCTCATCTCCTGTGAATCCACCTCCCTGGCTGGGGAGTTGGTGTAATGGGTGATTTGAAGTCTCACTATGAAGATCATTCTATTCTTAAGTATGTGGAAGCCCTGAATGACCCATCTATCTGTTGCCCTCTCTTTTGGTACTTGATCAATATTCAATCAATCGGTTTTTTTTTTGTTTGTTTCATAGGGATTTTTTGTTGGTGTTTTTTGGTTTTAAGAGACAGGGTCTTGCTATGTTGTCCAGGCTGGTCATGGAGCAGTTTTAGTCTGTTGAACTAAAAAGGTGTCACGTGATGTTTTTCCTAAATTTGTTAACTCAGCTATTATAGTTTATTTACTTTATGTTTTTTGCTAATTTCAGAACCCAGGAACTCCAGGAAGAAAAACATAAAAGCATGACTGAGGACTTAGGAGATGGGAGCAGAATACAAAGTGTCTTGAGGAAACCTATGACTGAAACCTAAAAAACGTACTTCTAAAGTAATTGTTTGGCACATTTGAAGAAGTAATATGTTTAAATTACATTTGTAGAAATATAACAAAAGCCGAGGAAGTAGTCTATGATTAATCTTTTATGCAAACTTTAGTGTTAAAAATACATATGTTTATCAACAGCCAATATATTCTTGCATTTGAGTTAGGGTAGCTTTTAAAAGATAAGGTGTAGAAAAGCACATCCTCTGTTCTTCTTACTCATGGCTTCTTGAATATTTATCAAGGACTGAGATTTGCTTTAAATTTCAGGGCACGTTGCGACTTGCTCAGGTTGCATAATTAATAAGATGTAGTTTGAATTATAATAACTTTTAGTTTCCTTTTTCTCTACCACACTCATACTGCCACAAAGATGGGGATATCTAACAATGTATAAAGTATACTTAGTGGTCAGATTGTTTGTCAGTGAACGTGTGTCTTGTATTCCTTCATGATTCTGCAAAGTCATGATCACAAGAAAGGAGCTAAAATTAACTATGTGGGGCAAAAATTGATATAGGGAAAGCAAAATATGGACAACTGTCGTTAATTTGGCTTTGCTTTACTCTCACCTTGTGTATAAGTGAGTAATACGTCAGTTGTAAGACTTTATGCCCATGTGGTAACTTTTCAGTGGGTTCGAAAGCATCTGACACATACAAAATCCTCAGTTAATATTTGCTGTTAATGTGTCCGGAAGAGATGACTCAACTCACGTGCTCTGGGCATTTATTTATGTGGCCTGTTTTTAATTGCCTTCCTCATAATTTATCATCAATATTCCATTACACAGAACTTGCAAAGGTTTCTTGAGGTTATTCTATAAACAAATTCTATTTTTAAAATATAGAACAGTTATTTATAGATTCTGAATTCCCAATATATTCTCAATATATTTTCATAAATCTGTAGTCGTCGAGAAGTTGGCAGAAGCTTATTGCCTCTGGTACATATTACTTCTAACCACGAGAAACTTTACTTTTCGTGATGAAAATGAAGTATTTTATCCAATTTTTTGGTCAGTTTCTATATTAAAATAGCTGACATGAAGTTTCTGTAATTTTTTTAATAATACATTTATTAGTAGTTTTTAGTAATTTTTAGTTTTACAGTTAGTAATTTTTAGTAATACATTTATTAAAGTATGTTAATTTTATATAGTTATGGAGCTAGTGAACTGTTTGGTACCATTGTGACAGCTTCCATGGCCTGCATGGTGTATTTCTGGCTTTGGGAGTTCTCATATGACTTTGGCAAGCTTGGAGTTTGAGGACTGTTCACAACAGGAATGTTTCTTCATCCTTTTGGAATCAAAAGTCAACTTGTAAAAGCTGAGAAACAAAAGTAAAAATGTGAAAATGTGCCTTTGGATATTGCTAATTCAGATATAATGCTTTTAGCACCTGGTTCCCTGGACTGGGCTTTGTCCCTGGGCCCAAAATCCTTACATTTGTTTGGGCTGTGCAGATAGTACAGGTGGGTTGAAAGTGACTGTCTAATTATCATTTGGGATTGAGTCTGTTGTGTGCTGTGTAAATTTAACTGTCTTCCCTGTTCTTTGGGCCAGTTGAGACCAACTGGAAAGGAATGCTTTCAGTAACCTTATGAAAACACAACCCTGCATTTTGTATGATTGTGCTTTATAACACCAAGGCAGGGTTTTGTTGGACATTTTATGTTTGAAAGTCATATCCCTGGCTTTAGCACTGAGGGACTTTGAAGTCCCACAATGTCATATTCAGCGCCCTCAGCTGTATCTGTACCATAGATAAGGTCCTGCATTGATAAGCATCTTTCTGGAAAGACAACTGTGAAACTTATATTTACTCGTTCTGATACTCAGATATCAACTTCAACTAACGGATGACTACATCATTAGAACTAGTCGAGTGATTGAAGAGGAAAGGAAGAATAAAGGTATTGTTTGGGTGGGGCAAGAAGCCGTAGTTTTCAGTTTTGATACAAGGTATTAGCTTCCCTAGTTGAGTCTGTTTTATATTAAAAAATAGCTTATGCTATTTTTCTTGTCTATAGTACACTTTTGGTGTAATATTAATTATCTAAAATTTAAAAAAAGAATTGTCTTCCCTCCTTTTGAGAAACCATTATTTTTAATATTTTATATAAACAGAAAGCCCAGAGATTTTTTTCTGGATATTTTATTAAACTTTATTTCAACATATTTTGATAAATCTGCAATTATCAAGAAGCTGGCAGCAACTTATTGCCTCTGGTGCCTATTACTTTTAGCCATGAGATACGTTCTTTTTCACTTATGGAAAAATTTTAACTTCTCTGTTTCCTGTGACATAGCTTCTTATTTTGTTGCCTTCTCATATTTTTTTTTATTTATAATATTTTTACTTTACATATAACCTCCTGAATTCTTGTGTATATTGCCCTTGAGACTGGAAGATGAGTAATGTCTCAATCTTCAGATATTTTATATTTCAATATATTTTTAGGAAATTGCCTGTAATGAGAAGTGAAGTTTTGGTGGAATATTCAAATAGATTCTTGGGAGTATACCAAAGTAGTTATTTGATGTTGTCCAGACACCCAGTGTGTGGCTTCCCCTTTTACTACTATCTTGTGGAGACTAACACTTCTTTTATAAATTAGTACCATCATCTATGTAACAAATTTTGCCTTGATATTATATCTACATAGATTCAAGTTAGATAAAATGAAAATGACAAAGTAATACCTACAATACAATAACAATATTGTCTTTTACAATATAGTAACAGACAGATCTTCTTCTTCAAGGAACTTAAAACCTCTCTGGTTAGCAGGTGTAGATGGTGGAATTTCACCACATAGATGACAGTTATAGCTTCACGTCACCTGTTAACTAACAGGGCTTATTTCTTACTTGCCTGTGAAAATTTTATTCCCTACACAGGCTATTTCATATTATAAAATAATGGTCATTAGGTCTGACAGACTGGCCATAAATATTAAATAGCTTTTGTATTCACAAGGAAAACATTATGATGTTTAAAGGGCTATTTATTTCAGGAAAAGCTGTTTACTTGCAAGAGGAGCTCACAGTTAGTAATCCAAAAAAGGAGGAACTCAATCAATCTGTAAGTTTTATGTAAGAACTCCAAGAATTTTTTAGCATATTTTTTGAAATACATTTTAATGAATATATAAAATTTTAGTCATGTATAATTTATCCAAAGTCTTTCTCTCGAGATGTTTAAACTGCCATTTCTACGGCAAAGAGGGGGATGACTAAAGTTAACTCAACAGTTCTTAATTTCAACCAACATCATATATGAAAGTGTAGACAGTGCTTTGGGTCTTAGAGTCCTCCTTGAATCCTATCTGTGGCCCAATTTCTTGTGTGCCTCTGGGCAGGTCCTTTGATTGCAGATTCCTCAGCTGTAAACTCTAGGATGTTTTCCACATTATAGGGTTGTTGAGGGAATTCAGTGAGTTAACGTATGAGCCTAGTTCATAGCAGGTGGCCAATATTATTATTGTTCTGTTTCTACATTAACCTGTTCTTTCCTTTCATCAGCAGCAGCTAGAATTTTTGACATTATAGTGTTATCTCACATATTAAAACTAAATGCAGTGCATTTACCACCTGCCATTGCTTGTTTAATTTTCTGTTTATTTTTATGCTTGCTGTCTGAAGATGAAGCTGGAATTTTAGGCACTTAAAACATTTTTGCAAGTTGAACTTTTGTGAGAACTTTGTATGCCTTCTTATTCAAATATGGCATACAGTATACTAAGAAAAGAAAAGCTCTACGCAAAATGTTACTTTTTTTTTTTTTTGAGACTGAGCCTCATTATGTCATTCAGTGTGGAGTGCACTAGTGTTATATCGGCTCACTACAATCATCACCTCCCAGGGTAAAGCAATTCTTGTGTCTCCACCTCCCGAGAAGCTCGGATTATAGCCATACCCCACCACACCAAGAAAATTATGTGTTTTTGTTTTGTTTTTGTTTTTTACTTTTTTACTTTTTAATTTTTTAAGATGGAGTCTCATTCTGTTGTCCAGGCTTGAGTGTAATGATGCAAACTGGGCTCACTGCTACCACTGCCTTTGTTTTCAAGTGATTTTTCCTGTTTCAACCTCCTGGGTAGCGGGGATTACAGACACCTGCTACCATGCCTGGCTAATATTTATAGTTTTAGTAGAGATTGGGTTTCACCATGTTGGCTGGAGTTGGCAAATTTTTTACCTCAAGTGATCTGCCCATGATGGTCTCCCAGTGTGCTGGGATTACAGGCTTGAGCCAGTGTCTGGCTGTACTTTTAGTAGAGACCGGGATTTTCCTTGTTGCCCAAGGTAGTCTGGAAATTCTGAGCTCAAGCTATCCTCTCATGTTGGCCTCCCAAAGTGCTGGAGTTACAGGCGGGAGCCACCATGCCTGGCCATTTTTACCTTATCTTTTCATATTTAAAACAAACCTATATTGGTATGATGAGTGACTGTTTTAAGTTCTTCAATGCCTATGCAAAATGGGGTTATAATCTTACTTAGAAGGACTTGCTTCATGGGATGTTGTCCATAAAACTTCCTCTGCCCCAACTGCAGGGCAGAAGACAATTTTTGTTACTGTAGTTTGCATCTTATTGCAGAGATTCAGACATCGGTTCAGTGACCTCAGTTAAATTGTGACGCTATGCTAAAAGGAGCCTGCCAGCTTTTACTTTTGCAGCACTGTAAAGTCATCATTCAAATGCAAATTTTCCTTGTTAACTTTCAGATTGAGTTAATGTCTGTCAAAGCACAGTCTTTGGCAATAACAAAACAAATATATTGTGAATGAAAGTGTTCAAGAGATAAGTGACTATTTACTACTAAAGGAAGAAAAACTGGAAGAGAATAAAAATAAAAACATGCATCTCTTAAACCATATGTCCACCTCCTATGTTCAAGCAATTCTCCTGCCTCTGCCTCTCAAGTAGGTAAGACTACAGGAATTTACCGCCCCCCCCCCCCCACCCGCTCCACACACACACAGCTAATTTTTATATGCTTAATAGAGACAGGGTTTCACCGTGTTGGCCAGGCTGGTCTCAATCTTTTGACCAAAATGTTCCACTAGTCTGGGCCTCACAAATAGCCAGGATTACAGACATGAGCCACTGTGCATGGCTTGCATGTATTAGTGATTCATACTAAGTCAGTATAAAACTATGTTTTATACTTGTAAAGGAGGCTTAAATTGGAAAGATTTATAAAATTATGATTTCTGGATTAAACTCTGCTAACCTGCCTCTAGGTGGTGTCAAGGCATTTTTTTTACTCTCTGCCTGCTGATTGGGTTTGGCTAGTGGGGACACCAGCCTCCACATACAGTGGCCCTAGACTGGCTGCTTCATATCAAGTCCCAGAGAGGTCATAGTGCCTGTGATGACATCTTTCAAGTGCTCTGAACCATCTCTGTCTCTCCAGTGCTGAGAATTTATCTCTCCCCTAATTCTCCATTACCAAGGAGTACAAAGACTATGGTCCTGTTACTATCCCAGGGAACTCCACTATCTTTTGTAGATACCCTGAATAAGTCCCTCTTTATTAAAAAGTTCTTAGATGACTTTGACTGTGGGGACCATCTGCCTTCTGTCTGGATCCCAGCTGCTTCTTACAGATGCACAGATTATATTGGATCTCGAGTCTGTCACCAAAAGGTAGACCAGATAGCACCTTGTGTGTATGGTAGAGGACAGAAACAGGCTTTCAGGTTAACATGAGAGTTTGAAAGAGTTCTTTTTCTTTCTGTGCCATCATGCATTCCACAAGCAATGAATGAATTGTTGTTTTTCCTGCAGCAAATCAGTTGTCATGTTTTAAAAATGGTTTAGCCATTCCAACAAATATAGATGGGCCATGCTAACTCGTTGTAATTTTCAGTCACTTAAAGATATATGAGTTTGAGCATCTTTTTGTTTGCTTGCCATCTTTGTATTTTCATTGGTGAGCTCAGCTTTTTACACATTGTCAATTGGGTAGTCTGTTTTATTGTTGAGTTTCAAGATTTGCGTATTTTCAGTGCAAGTTTTTACCCCGATCTGTATTTTGCAGATATTTATTTTCAGTCTGTTGCTTATCTTTCTATTTCCTGAACAAGATTTTACTCAGAGTATAAGCTTTTAATATGAGAAACCTTAAATTATTAATTTTTTTTTTACCGTTGCTGATCGGCTTTGTTGTCATTTGTTAAAACTTGTGGCCAAATCCAAGATCACATACATTTATGTCTGTGCTTTCTTCTAGAATTTGCATAGTTTTACATTTCCAGTTAATGGCTCCTTCACCATTAAAAAAAAAAAAAAAAAATGAGGGGGAATTGCTGGCAAGATTGCTGAATAAAAACAGCTCCAGATTGCAGCTCCCAGAGAGATCAATGCAGAAGGTGAGTGATTCCTGCATTTCCACCTGAGGTACACTGTTCATCTCACTGGGAATGGTTGGGCAGTGGGTGCAGTCCATGGAGTGTGAGATGAAGCAGGGTGAGGCATCACCTCACCGGGGAAGCCTGAGAAACCAAGGGCCCTATTCCAGATATGCGCTTCTCCCATGGTCTTCACAACCTACAGACCAGGATATTCCCTTTGGTGCCTACCCCATGAAGGCCGTGGGTTTCAAGCACAAAACTGGGCAGCTGTTAGAGCAAACACTGAACTAGCTGAAAGAATTTTTTTTTTGTTTGTTTGTTTTCATACCTCAATTGTGCCTGGCATGTTAAGGAGACAGAACCGTTCACTCCCCTGGAGAGAGGTGATGAGGCCAAGGAGCCAAGTGGTCTGGCTTGGGGAGTGACACCCCCTACAGAGGCAAACAAACTAAGGTTCACTGGCTTGAAATTCTCTCTGCCAGCACAGCAGCAGTCTGAGATCGACCTGAAATACTCGAGCTTGTCTAGGGGGAGGGTCATCCGCCATTGCTGAGCCTTGAGTAGGCCATTTTACCTTTGTAGTGTAAATAAAACCACAGGGAAGTTTGAATTGGTTGGAGCCAACTGCAGCTCAGCAAGGCTGATGTGGCTAGGCTGCCAGATTTCTCCTCTCTATGCAAGACTTTTCTGAAAAAATGACAGAATCCCCAGTCAGGGGCTTATAAATAAAACCCCGGTCTCCCTGGGACAGAACATCTGGGGGAAGGGGCAGCCATGGATGCAGCATCACAGACTTCAACATAACTGCCTGATGGCTGTGAAGAGAGCAGCAGACCTCCCATCACAGCGTTTGAGCTCTGCTAATGGTCAGACTGCCTTCTCAAGTGGATCCATGGCCTCTGTGTATCCTGACTGGGAGACACCTCATACAGGAGAGCACTGGCTGGAATCTGAAGGTGCCCCTTGGGGATGAAGCTTCCAGAGAAAAGAACAGGCAGCAATCAATGAGGCAGAAAATTAACAAGGATTTGCAGGACCTGAAATCAGCTGTGGACTAAGTAAACCTAATAGACATCTGCAGAACTATCCACCCCCAATCAACAGAATATACATTCTTCTCGGTGTCACATAACATGTATTCAAAAATTGACCACATAATTGGAAGTAAAACACTCCTCAACAAATGCCAAAGAATGCAAATTATAACAAAGAGCCTTCCAGACCATAGTGCAATCAAATTAGAACCCAGATTAAGAAACTCACTCAAAACCACACAACAACATAGAAATTGAACAACCTGTTCCTAAATCACTGATGAGTAAATAACAAAATAAGGCAGAAATAAAGATGTTCTTTGATACCAATGATAATGAAGACACAACGTATCACCATCTCTGGGGCACATTTAAAGCAGTGTGTAGAGAAAAATTGATAGCATTAAATGCCCACAAGATAAAGCAGGAAAGATCTAAAATAGACACGCTAACATTAAAATGAAAAGAAATAGTGAAGTAACAGCAAACCAATTCAAAAGCTAGCAGAAGACAAGAAATAACTAACATCAGAGAAGAACTAAAGGAGATAGTTCAAAAAAAACTTTCAAAAATCAATAAATCCACGCGCTGGTTTTTTGAGAATATCAACAAAATAGATAGACCACTAGCCAAAATAATAAAGAAGAAAAGAGAGAAAAATAAAATAGATGCAACAAAAACTGATATAGGGAATATCACCACTGATCCCACAGAAATAGAAACTACCATCAGATAATACTATAAACAGCTCTCGGCAAATAAACTAGATAATCTAAAAGAAATGGATAAATGCCTTGACGTATACACCCTCCCATGTCTACACCAGGAAGATGTTAAATTCATGAATAGACCATTAACAAGTTCTGAAACTGAGGCAGTAACTGATAGCCTACCAACCAAGAAAATCCAGTACCAGACAGATTCATAGCCGAATTCTACCAGAGATACAAAGAGGAACTGGTACCATTCCTTCTGATATTATTACAAACAATAAAAAAAGGAAATCCTCCTTAAATAATTTTATGAGGCCAGCATTATTCTGATGCTAAAAACCTGGCAGAGGCTCACCAAAAAAGAAAATTTCAGGCCAATATCCCTCATGAACATTGCTGTGAAAATCCTCAATAAAATACTGGCAAACTGAATCCAGCAGCACATCATAAAGCTTATCCACCACGATTATGTCAGCTTTATCCCTGGGATACAAGGCTAGTTCAACATACGCATATCAGTAAATGTAACACATCACATAAACAGAACAAATGACAAAAACCACATGATTATCTTCATAGATGCAGAAAAGGACTTCATCAAAATTCAACACCCCTTTATGTAAAATCTCTCAGTCAACTAGGTAAGGATGGAAGGTATCTCAAAATAATAAGACCTACTTATGGCAAAGCCACCGCCAATATCATACCGAATGGGCAAAAATTGGAAGCATTCCCGTTGGAAACCTGTACGATGCAAGGATACACTCTGTTTTCACTCTTATTCAAAATTGTATTGAAACTTCTGGCCAGGGCAATCAGGCAAGAGGAAGAAATAAATAAAGGGTATTCAAATCGGAAGAGAGGAAGTCAAATCGTCTCTGTTTGCAGAGGTCATTATTATATACTTAGAAAACCCGCCATCTCAGCACAAAATCACCTTGAGCTGGTAAGCAACTTCAGATAAGCCTCAGGATTCAAAATCAATGTGCAAAAATCACAAGCATTCCTACACACAATAACAGAGAAACAGACAGTGAAATTATGGGTAAACTCCCATTCACAGTTGCTACTAAGTGAATAAAATGCCTAGGAATACAACTTACAGGGGATGTGAAGAAACTATTCAAGGAGAACTTCAAACCAATGCTCAAGGAAATAATAGAGGGCATAAAGAAATGAAAAAACCTTCCATGCTCATGGATAGGCAGATCAATATTGTAAAAATGGCCATACTACCCAAAGTAATTTATAGATTCAGTGCTATCCCCATCAAGCTACCAATCACTTTCTTCACAGAATTGGAAAAAACCTTAAAATTCATATGGAACCAAAAAAGAGCCTGCACAGCCAAGACAATCTTAAGCAAAAAGAACAAAGCTGGAGGCATCACACTACCTGACTTCAAACTATATTACAAGGCTACAGTAACCAAAACAGCACGGTACTTGTACCAAAATAGATATATAGACTAATGGAACAGCATAGTGGCCTCAGAAATAATACGACACATCTACTACCATCTGATCTTTGACAAACCTGAAACAAGCAAGCAATGGGGGAAATATTTTCCCTTTAATGAATGACGTTGAAAAAACTGGCTAGCTATTCAGAAAACTGAAACTGGACCACTTCCTTATACCTTATGCAAAAATGAACTCAAGATGGATTAAAGAATTAAACGTAAGGATTAAAACCATAAAATACCTAGAAGAAAACCTAGGCAATACCATTCAGGACATAGGCATGTGCAAAGTCTTCATGTTTAAACACCAAGAGCGATGGCAATAAAAGCCAAAATTGACAGATGGGATCTAATTAAACTAAAGAGCTTCTGCACAGCAAAATAAACTATCAACAACGTGAACAGACAACCTACAGAATGGGTGAAAAATCTTGCAATCTATCTATCTGAGACAAGGCTAATATCAGGAATCTACAGGGAACTTAAACAAGTTTACAAGAAATAAACAAACAACCTCATCAAACAGTGGGCAAAGGATATGAACAGACACTCCACAAAAGAAGACTTTGATGCCGCCAAGAAACATATGAAAAAATGCTCATTAATTTATCACTCGTTATTAGAGAAATACAAATCCAAACCACAGTGAGATACCCTCTCAAACCAGTTAGAATGGCGATCATTAAAATATCAGAAAACTGCAGATGCTGCAGAGGATGTGGAGAAATAGAAATGCTTTTACAGTGTTGGTGGGATTGTTAATAATTTAACCCTTGTGGAAGACTAGGATCTTGTGGAAGACAAGAAATACCGTTTGACCCAGCAATCCCCTTACTGCGCGTATAACCAAAGGACTATAAATCATTCTACTATAAAGACACATGCACACGTATATTTATCGCAGCACTATTCACAGTAGCAAATACTTGGAACCAACCCAAATGTACATCAATAATAGACTGAATAAAGAAAAGGTGACACATATACACCATGGGATAGTATGCAGCCGTAAAAGTGGATGAGTTCATGTCTTTTGCAGGGACATGAAAGAAGCTGGCAAACATCATTCTCAGCAATCTATCAGAAAAAAAGAAAACCAAACACCACATGTTCTCATTTTCAAGTGCGAGTTGAACAATGAGTACACATGGACACAGGGAGAAAAACATCACATGGTGGCGGGTGGTGGGATAGTGCGGAGAAAACATTAGGAGAAATACCTAATGTAGGTGATGAGTTGATGGGTGCAGCAAACCACCATGGCATCGTAGTTTGCATTTCTCTAATGGCCAGTGATGATGAGCATTTTTCGTATGTTGGTTGCATAAATGTCTTCCTTTGAGAAGTGCGAACAGACACTTTTCAAAGGACATACAGGCAGCCAATAAACTTATTTTTAAAAGCTCAATATTATTGATTATTAAAGAAGTGCAAATCAAAGAAAAAAAACAATGACATACCATCTCATACCTGTCAGAATGGCTATTATCGTAAAGAAATTTATAACAGATGCAGGCGAGGTTACAGAAATCAAGGAAAAATTATGCACTGTTGGTAGGAATGTAAATTAGTTCAACTGTTGGGGAAAGCAGTAGGGCAATTCCTCAAAGACTGGAAAGCAGAACTACTGTTCAACCCAGCATTCCCTTTACTGGATATGTACTCAAAGGAATATAAATCATTATACCATAAAGACACATGAATGCAAATGTTCATGCGGACTCTTCCCAACAGAAGACATGGAATTAATCTAAATGCCCATCAGTGATGGTTTGGATTAAAGAAAATGTGGCACATACCCACACAAAATACTATGCCGCCATAAAAAAGAATACAGTTATGCCTTTGAGGGAACATGGATGGAGCTGGAGGATATTATCTTTAGCAAAGTAATGTAGGAACAGTAAACCAAATATCACATATTTTCACTAGAAGTGGGAGCTAAATGATGACAACTCATGAACACAAAGAAGGGAACAATAGGCATGGGACCTACTTGAGGGTGGAGGGTGGGAAAAGAGAGACCAGCAGGAAAAATAACTATTGAGTCCTAGACTTAATACCTGGATGATGAAATAATCTATACAACGAACGTCCGTGACAGGAGTTTACCTATATAACAAACCTTCACACGTACACCTGAAACTAAAACAAACAAACAAAAAGAAACCAAGATAATAGGCAACATTTCCATTTGAATTTCTAAAATGACGGCTTTGAACAGTCTGACCTCTGCTTTTATTTGGTGCCGCAGGCCAGCCAGGCGGGGCGTCGCACGTGGCTGCTTCACCTTGACCATGAGTGTCCTGCAGTTCTTCCGGCTGCTAGCAGGGGACGCAAGAGTCTGCCTCTTCTGACCCTGGGAGTGCAGGTGTTTTCAGCGCATGCTGCTTGAGGGGGAGAGCAGCGTTCTTCTCAGCACAGACCAGAGCAACAACGCCTTGCTGTGGGACAGCTGCAGGGAGTGGTAAGTAAAAACTTCCCTCTGACTGCTGAGGATCAGGGACCCAGGAGAAGTGCTTCTTGTGGAAAATTAAACATAAAAATATCCCATGGCTTTAGTGCACCCCAACGTCCTTCCCCACACACAAGGTGTAGTGGCCACAATGCCAGGTCCACACTGTGGCCTCATGCCACAAATGTATCATTCGTCATATAACATCTGTAATAGACATATAACATCTGTAAACAAATATATCAACCATAATACAGATGTGTCATTCCTAATACTAATGTAACACCTGAAATACTGATCTAACACCCATATTACCACTGTAACACTCATTAACAGCAATAAAACACTCATAATACCAGTATACCATCTGAAACACAAATATAACAACCATAATACTGATCTAAGACCCATAATACAAGCATCACTCTCATAATACCAATATACAACCCACAATACAAATGAAACACCCATAACACTTATGTAACATGTGTAATGCTGTCCTGACACCTCTAATACAACTGTAACACTCATAATACCAATATACCACTCATAATACCAGTATATCATCCTGCAATACAAATATAGCAACGGTAATACTGATGTAACAACTGTAATACTGATGTAACACCGGTAATACTAACACCCATAATACTAACACAACATCTGTAATACAAATGAAACAACCATAATACTGATGTAACACCCATAATTACTGACGTAACACTCATCATAAAGATGTAACACCTGCAATACTGACATAACATTCCTACTCTTACTGGGGCACTTTCTTTCAGAGCTTCCACTGAGCTGGATTTGGGTTGGATTTGGCCTCTATAATGATGTTTGATGTTGTTGTCTCTGCTTTAGTGAAAAGGTATTGACATGGTTGTTTTTATTAAAAAGTAGTTTATTTCTCAATAATTTCATACTTCTAGGAAACTTCCAATAGCTATTAGTATAGATTAATCCTCTCTTCCAGAATCTCCAGTGGTTTCTGCTGTGCCAGATTTGAAGCTTTATGCAGAATATCCCAGTGGGTTTTACAAAAAGTGGAGACATTCTCCAAGGGTACCACCACATAACTACAACATCAGGAAATACAGGATTGGTACTGGTAATGGTAATGGCAAAATATTCACTTACAAACACAAGTTTCATCCTGTCACTCTCCTGATTTAATTTTGCCAGTGGTTTCCCACTGACCTTAGAACAAGAACCATAGAACTCACCATGGCTGCAGACCCCAAGTTCTCCTGCCTGTTTCCCGTGCCCACTCAGTCCGCTCAACTGCCTGCAGTCTCATCTGATTTTAATTGTGGGAACACAGTGTCTGGAGTGTCTCAGGAATTTTATGTGCTATCTCTCAATCTATTCACCTAGTGCCCACACTTATCTAATTTCCCAAGGCTTTGTCCAGCTAATAAAGTCAGAGCTTGTGCTATTTAACTGTAGAAAAGATAATAATGTGCTGTTTCTAAAGATGAAAAGAAATTCATTATTTGTTAGGTAATTGATGAGATCACTCTCAACTTATAAATCAAGGAAATGATAGTTAATGCAATGAAAGTTCATGTTTGGGGAAATTAGTAAATACAACATCTCAGTGCTGAAGACAAATGACCCTATTAATTATTGAAATTACATAAGAATTTATTGGGCAGACTGTTACCTTGCTATCTTCCGTAACTGTGTGTTATTAATTCCAAGTTATGTTAGGTTTAAGTACTTACATGTAACGTAGTGCATCAATACATTTAAGTGACAAAAAAGTCCTAGAACATGACATGACAATTCATATAAATATTTGTAAACCTCCTTAACTGTACAGTGTAAAGTAAATAAAGTAAGCTTAGCTATTTAAGCAGATGAGTTGTTAATATTTGAATATTGAAATGCTGTGAGGGTATGTAATTATGTCACAGCTTTGATATGAGACTTGGGGCATTTGTGTATCCATGTACCTCATTAACTTAATGACTTCCCTTATTACTTCCTTCTGGATGATAAATTTTGGGCCCATGGAGGCTGAGGGACAAACTGTCAGCTCTATTGGAAACTCTAGTCCAGCAAGAAAGTTTTCATTTCAGAATATTATTTCCTGCCAGATATTTATTTTCTCATCCAAGCAAACTTGCTCCCCAGCAATATTGTTACCTTAGCTGCTCCTCAGGTCAAGCTGGACAGGACTAATTTTCCCACACGGAATCACATGACTATGAGGAAAGCTTATTTAGGAAACACCTGATGGAGTAAAACTTATATATTTTACTGGTCATCTTTTTATGTGCTTGTATTCCATATGCATGTCTTTTTGGTGAAGTGTGTAGTCAACTACTTCTCTGTTTTGTACCTGGATTGTTTGTCTTTTTTTTTTGTTACTGGGGTATGCAAAGTCTTCATACATTGTCGATAACAGACTGTTGTTACACACATAAAATGCAAGCCTTCCTTTCTGTACCATGTCTTTTCACTTTCTTGATAGTGTCTTTTGATGCACAAAAATGTTTAATTTTGAGAAAATTCTTTCTTTAGTTGACTGTGCTTTTGGTATCAGATCTAAGAAACCACTGCTAAATCCAACATTATGAAGATCTATCCCCATATTTTCTTCTAAAGTTTCTTTTTTTACCTCTAATATGTAGGCTTTGAAACATTTTCTGTTAATTTTATTTTCTGTTGTGAGAAAAGTACAATTTCTTTGTCTGAATGCGGTATTCAGTTGCATAACAGCATTTGTTGAATTTACTGATCTTGGTTACATGTCAAAAATCAATTGTCTACAATTGACAATTGTAGACAATTGTAGAGGTACCGTTGGATTTAACCTTCAGTTCCATTGACCTCTGTGTGTGTCCTTATACCAGTATTATGCTGTTTTGATGACTGCTGCTTAGCAGTAATATTTGAAATTGAGAAATGTGAGTCTCTAAGTTGGTTTTTGTTTTCAAGAATATTTTGGCTATTCAGGATCCCCTGAAAAGTATATGAATGTTAGAATTGGCTTGTCCATTTCTGCCAAAAGGACTTTGGTATTTTCATAGAAATCACAATGAATTTGCAGTTTGCTTTGTGCAGTATTGTCACATAAAAAATCATCTTCTAATCCAAAAGCATTGAGTGTCTTTATGTTTATGTAGGGTTTCTGGAATTTATTTCAGCAGTATTTTGTAATTTTTCATGTCAAATTCTTGCACCTTGATAAAAGTTTGTCTGGAAAACTTTATGATCATTGGCTTTTTGTTGTTGCTCTTTGAGACAGGGCCTTATTCTTTGGCCCAGGTGGGAATGTACTTGTGCAATCATAGCTCACTGCAGCTTCAAACACTTGGGCTTGAGCAATCCTCCCCCCTTGGCCTCCCAAAGTACTGGAATTACAGGCGTAAGCCACAACATTCAGCCTGTTTTGTTGTTGTTGTTGTTGTTGTTGTTTCTTTGATTGTTTGTTTTTGGTTCCTGTTTTGAAAGTTGAAAAGGATAATTTGCTTTATAATCAATGAAAATATAGTACTTTGAATAGGCCAGAAGACATAATGCACAAGAACTTTAAGTTGTATAGTTGACTTATCAACCACCTGGGTAAAGTTCAATTACTTCTTAAAAATTTGTAGCTGTTAACCTTCCCAAATTGTCTTTAAATAAACTCCTTGAATTGTAGGAATAAAAAAAATGAGACGACAAGGCACATTTAAACAATACTGAAGTTTATCAAAGGACTTAAGGAATTTCAACTCATATGTCTCTCTCTCTTTCTTTCTTTCCTTCCTTCCTTCCTCCCTCCCTCCCTCCCTCCCTCCCTCCCTCCCTCCCTCCCTCCCTCCCTCCCTCCTTTCTTTCTTTCTTTCTTTCTTTCTTTCTTTCTTTCTTTCTTTCTTTCTTTCTTTCTTTCTTTCTTTCTTTCTTTCTTTCTTTCTTGGTCTTTCAGACAGGGTCTCACTTTTTGTCGAGTGTGGACTGCAATGGTGCCATCATGGCTCATTGCAGCCTGCAGCTTCTCACTCCTGGGCTCCTTTGAATCTGTCTGCCTTAGCTTCAGCTGCAATACCTGGTAATTATTTTTCTTTTTCCTTCTTTTTTATTTTCTTGGAGACAATGGTTTGCCATGTTGCCTGGGCTCTTCTGAAACCTCTGGGCTCAAGAGATGTGCCTGCCTTGACGTCTCAAAGTGCTGAGATTACAGGCATCAATAAAACATTTATTGTGTTAGGGTCAGTAAAAATAAATCAATGTTTTGGCTAAGTTATGAACATACCTATAATGCAATTATTTGAATAACTCCAGCAATGCCATGGGCAGCTACAAACTGATGAATTTTATTAACAAACAACTAAATACACAAAAACACTTAGCCCAATTGTTTAACTGAAAAACATGTTTATTATTTCTAGTTTCCAGCGTTTTCTAGGTCATCATTGTTCATTTTAAAAGTCCTTTCCATAGGATAAAGCAAAACCACCTATGAATTGCCATATTTGTTTATTTCTCAGTTATGAAAATGTCCTTAATTTGTTGACATTGCAAACAAATTTCAACTCTGTTATGAAAAACTTAAGACAACCTTCTTAGCAATTAATTTTATAGTTACATTGCATACAGGGAATGTGCTGTCTGTGAAAAAATACAAACTCAACTACAAGTCTTAAACACTGAAAAGAGTTACCAGGTGATTATAATTTATTTTATTATATCAATCTATTGTATTGATATACAATCAATTGTATTTACATACAATCTAGAAAGTTTACAGCTGTCAGAAATTCTAGTGCAGGTTTATGTGAAATCAGAATTTAAAAGTCCCTGTGGAGCTGTAGGTGTAGTAAAATGTGTAGGTAAAATATGTCCATGCTCTTGACAGTGCTCAGGAAGGGATGTCTCTCAAATTGACCTCAATGGTTCTCTTCTCAGCAAAATGACCTGGGCCACTCAACAAGGGTTTCATTATTGCTGATGTTTGTGAAGGATCTTTTATAAAAATTTATTACTCAAAAGATATTTATTTGACATCATGGCATTAGGGTTTTCAAAACCGCTAGAGGTTTTCTTTTCTTCATCCATTATATTTTAAAGGAATTCGACATTGATTTCTCAGGAACTTGAACAGTTTCTGGTTAGCCCCACAGTGATTCCAGCCAGGTCCCAATATAGTAGCACAGCCTCAACTCCAAGGCTGTCCCAGACCTCGGCTGCCTGATATCTGTGTCTTTCAGGGCAGTGGGAAATATTCCAGCTTCTTGTTTTTTTGTTTTTTTGTTTTGTTTTTTTTTTTTTTTTAGAAATAAAGTTGTCATCTTAATTTCATTTTTGTAGGGTTGATTGCTAGTGAATAGAAATAGATTTTGTGGCCAGGTGCAGTGGCTCACGCCTGTAATCTCAGCAATTTAGGAAGCCAAAGTGGACATATCATCTGAGGTCAGGAGTTCAAGACCAGCCTGACTGACATGGAGAAATCCAGTCTCCACTAGAAATACAAAATTAGCCCGGCATGGTGGGACATGTCTGAATCCCAGCTACTCAGGGGGCTGAGGCAGGGGAATCACTTGAACGCAAGAGGCTGAGGCAGGAGAATCGCTCAAACCCAGGAGACGGAGGTTGTGGTGACCCGAGATCGTGCCATTGCATTCCAGCCTGGGCAACAAGAGCAAAACGCCATCAAAAAGAAAAAACAAAAAGTTTTTTTTGTGTTGATATTCTGTCTTGTTATTTTTCTTAATTTGTTTCCTAGATTTCATAATTTCTAGATGGTTCCTTATGGTTTTCTGTGTATGAGATCTGTGAATAGTTTTACTTTTCTCTTCCACATATGAATAGCTTTGTGTGTGTTTGCGTATATGTGTGTGTGTGTGTGTGTGTGTGTGTGTGTGTGTGTATATATGTAATTATTCTTCTGGAACTTCTAGTACAGGGTTTAATACAGTTGAGCATCAATGCTGTGTTCCTCATCTTAAAGCTTTCGTTCCCAACAATTTAGATGATGATTATTATGGGTTTTGCATAAAGATGTTTTATCATGGGAAAAAATTGAAATACAGTTTATTGGATTTTTAATTGTTAAATGTGTTGTCTTTAAGTACTTTTTATAAAAGTTGAGACAAACGTGGTGTATTTCAACATTTGATTTACATAATATGTTGAAAAGGGATGGCATTAGAATGGTAAAAAAAAAAAAAAACCTTGATTTTCTGAGAAAAGATCTTAAACATCGTGGTTTATAATGTCTTCACTTATTTGGTTAAATATTATAATGTCTATAGTTAGCAGATATGGTTACGTTTAGTTTTTTGTCCCAGTGATACCATTTGTTTAATTCAATACTAATTTGGGCTTAGAAAGAGATATGACTCCTTGTACTCTTTTGCATATAAGGGGCTAGAGGTTAGAGTCATACAGGTTGTATTCAAAGTTTTTTAAGCATAATGGTGTAACCTTAAGGATAGAATAGAAACGGAGGATTGGGATAAGGTTTACAATTGCAGAAAAAGTTCAGGATTAGATTGAGGGTTAGGGCTGGGCTTGAAATAAGATTTAGTGTTGTGGTAGGATTAGGGTTCGAGTTAGAGTTAAGATTAGGTTTATGGGTTAGGGTTGAGTTTAGGGCTAGGGGTCAGAATCAGCATTAGAGGTTAGGTTTGGGCTTGGGTTATGCTTAGGTTTAGGGTAAAAAGATAGGCTTCCAGTTAGAGGTTAGGAATTAGGGTCCTGGCCAGGGTTAGGGTTAGTATTAAGGTTTAGGGTGAGGGTAAGTGTTAGAGTATTTCAGTATTTGGGTTAGTGTTTAGCATTAGGATAGGGCTTAGGGTTACATGTAGGGTTAGAGTTCAGGGTTCTGGGTTAGGGTTTAGGGTTATTGTTAATGATAGTGATCAGCATTTATGGTTAGATGTTAGTGATAGTGTTGGGCATATGGTTAGGGTTTTTGATTTAAGTTTAGCATGACTGTTAAGGCTGAGTTTGTGTTGAGGTTGAGGTTAGTGGTCACGATTAGGGTAACTCTTAGGGTTCAGTTTAGAGTTTAGGATTAGGGTTAGGGTTAGGGTTTAGTGTTAGGGTTTGTTTAGTGTTAAGGTTAGGGGTTAACATTTATTGTTAGTGTTAGTATTAAGGTTTTTGTAGAGTTAGGGGCTAAGATTAGGTTTAGGTTTAGGGTTTAGGTTTAATTAGGGTTACAGATTTTGCTTTAGGGCTAGGGTTAGTGTTAAAGGTTAGGTTTTCTGATTTAGGGTTCAGGTTATGATTAGGTTCAGTGTTTAGGATAAGAGTTATTTTTAGGTTTAGTGCTAAGGTTAAGATTATGTTAGAATTATGTTAGTTTCACTCTCAGGATAAGGGTATTAGGGTTAGTGTTAGTGTGAGTTTTAGAGTTATGGGTTGCAGTTAAAGCTACCTTCAGTGTTTTTGGGATTTGGGGATTTATAGTTGGAATTAGGGTTAGCTTTAGGTGGTAGTGTAAGGGTTCGGATTAGGGTTTGGGTGAGGGTTAGGTTTAGGATTCAGGATGAGGGTTAAAATTAGGGCAAGTGTTATGCTTAGTGTTAGGGTTATAATTAAAATGTTTGGTTTAGTGTTAAAATTTAGGATTAGGGTTTAGTGTTAGTTTGTGGTTTAACATTGGGTGCCTGGTTGTGGTTGAGTTAGGGTTAGGATGATGGTCAAAGCGTTTGGCTAAAGATTAGGCTGAGGGTTAGTGTTAGGCTTAGAGTAGGGCTTTTGATGAGGTGTTAGTGTTAGAGTTAGGGTTTAGGGTTTGGCTAAAGGTTAGGGCATTGTTTAGGGTTAGTGTTATAATTAGGGTTAGGATTTGGGCTTAGGATTCTCTGTTTAGTGTAAAGTAGGGTTTATGTTTATGTTTGGGGTTGGTGTTCATGTAGGGGTAGGGTTAAGTTGAGGGTAAAAGGGTTAGGATTTGTGGTAAGGTTAGGCTTAGTGTTAGGCTTACTGTTAGGGCGTACATTTGGGGTTGGTGTTAGTGTTGAAGTTCGGGTTAGGATTTGGGGTAGGGATTAGGAATAGAGTTTTCAGTTAGTGTTAGGGTTTAGGATTAGTGTTGGGTATTAGCATTTTAGTTAGGGTTACAGTTAGAGACTAAGGTTTAGTTTAGCATTTAGGGTTAGGGTTTTGGTTTATGGATACAGTTACAGGTTACAGTTAAGAGTTTATGGTTTAGGATTAAGATTATAGTTAGGTTTTAAGCTTTAGGTTTAGAGTTATGGTTTAGGCTTATTTTTATTAATGGGTTTAGAGTTAGGATGGTTTTAATGTTAAAGTTCTGGTTTCATGCTTTTACAGTTAGGATTAGTGTTACTGTTAGGGTTATGTGTTGAGTTTGTGGTTAGGTGTAGTTTTTCAATGTTTTATTGCTAACATTAGGATTTCATTTGAAAATAAGGGGTTTGCTTTGGGTTATGTTTTCAAGGTTAGATTTTGGGTTAAGTGTTAGGGTTAGTATTTAGGGTGAGGATTACATTTAGGTTATCAGATAGAGTAACTTTTATGTTTAGCGTTACAGGCTATGCGTTTAGTGTTTAGCGTACAGCGTTTACGTTACAGCGTTACAGGTTAAAATTCAGGGTTAGAGTTAGCTTTAGGATATAGAATTAGTGTTAGGGGTTAGAATTAGCGTTGGAGTTTAGTGGTTGTGGGTCTGTTGGTGTTACAGATAGGGCACAGTGTTAGAATTAGGATTAAGATTAGAATTATTGTTTAATGTTATTTTTAGGGTTAGGGTAAGAGTAGATTAAGCTTTAGGGTTATAGTTATGGTGAGTGTTTAAATTTAGATTAAGGGGTTAAGGTTATGTTTATTATTATGATTACAGTTGAGGTTACAATTATTGGTTAGAATTAGTGTTAGGGTGAGCATTAGGGTACAGATTGCAGTAACACATTAGGGTTAGAGTTAATGTTAGTAGTCAGGCTTAGGGTCAGGGGTTAGGATTAGGTATAGGGTTAGGGTTGACCTAAAGATTAATGTTAGGATTAGGGTTTGGGTTTCATGTAACAGCTAGGTTTTGGTGTCATGTAGGTGTAGGGTTAGGGTAGTAATAAGAGTTTTAGCATTCAGGTCATGGGTTAGTATTAGACTTATTGTGAATGTTATGATCATGCTCAAAAAGCAGGTTTAGAAGTTAGAATTTAGGGTTAGATTTAGGGGTTGTTGTTAGTGTTAGGCTTAACGTTAGCTTTTGAGGGTTAGAGATGGTTTTTTTGTTTAGTGTTAGTGTTTTTGTCTTAGGGTTAGGGTTTTAGGGTTAAGGTTTTAGGCTTAGAGCTTAAGTTCAGGTTTCTGTAATGTTTGCATTACACTTGGATTAGGGTTATTTTCAGGGTCAGGGTCAAATTCAGGTTTAGCTGTTAGATTTAGGATTTAGAGTTGGGATTTGTTTTGGGGTTTAGGTTTTGGTGAGTGGCTAGGCATAGAGTTGATGTTGGGGTCAAGTTTGTGGCTTAGAGTTGCTGTTAGTGTTAGGGATTCCTGCTTAGGATTCGGGTAGAGGCTGAGTTAAGGTTAATGTTATGATTAAGTTTAGGGTTACAGAAGGCACTGGGCAGCTGGCTAGTGTATTACATCATCACTCTTTTTTACAGAAGGGAGGACTGAGCCTTGCACCCAGAACTTTTCTGCGTCTAAGCTCAGGGCCATCTTAATGCTCATTGTGCAGCCTCATAGATTAGGAGCCAAAGGAAGTTGGCTTCTGAGGCCACAGCTTTTCTAAATGTCAACCCAGAGCTAACCAAATCCACAGTAGCTTGTGTTTGAGAATGGCAGGTGTTTTGAGGTAGTCTCTGGAAGGCCCAAAGGAAGGGAAGTGGGAAAATGTGAAAGTAAAATGCTGCAGCTGCTGTGGAAAATAGTTTGGTGTTCTGCAAAAGCTAAATATAAAATTACCATAGGACCCACAACATCCGCTCCAAGCTGTATATACAAAAAATGTAAAAGAGTTATTCAAAGAAAAACTTGTATACATATGTTCATAGCAGCATTCACAATAACTAAAATCTGGAAACACACCAAATAAATGTCCACCAGCAAAAAGTAAGAAGCAAAATGTAGTATGCCCATAGAATGGCATAATATTCAGCTGTGAAGAGGATGACAACTCTAATGCTACAATGTGAGGAAACTTCAAAGCAATTTTGGCTCAAGAAGGTGAAGACAAAAGTCACATAGTGTATGATTTTATTTATGTAAATATTTAGAATAAGTAAATCCATAGAGAAAAAAGTGCAGATCACTTGTTGCTGGTGTCAGAAAGAGGACAGATTGGGTAGGAGCTTCTTAATAAGTAGGGTATTTCCTTTTGGAATGATGAAAATAATTTGGAACTAAGATGCGGTTGTTGCCCACAAATATGCATGTACTAAAGATCACTAAGGAATTCATTAACAAACAGTTAATTGTATATTATGTGAAGGAAATTGTCGTCACTAAAAAGACAAAATTTCTTCCTCAGCATTCTCTCAGCAATGTGAGCTCTCTTTCCACAGAGTGCTTGTAGCATGGGGTTCTGGTCCGTCCACAGCCCAGAACTACCTGGGGCCAGGCCAGCCACATACTAGACATGAACTCCCGCCACCCTGTCCAGCAGCTCCTCGACCTGTTACCAGTGGAAGTTATCTGAGTTACTGGTGTCAAATCTATCATGGTCTGCAGTAACTTAAACTCTTCCCTCCTCAGAAGAAAGGATTTGACTGAGGGGAATAAAGTAGCAAAGGAGACTGAGAAAAGTTTCCCAGCAAACATGGAAGTTTATTTAAAAAGTTTTAGAGTAAGAAAATGGAGAGTGCCCTTGGGAGAGATCCAACTGGTTGATTTGAACATATACCATATATATGTCTTGCAAATATTTTGTCCCATGCTGTTGGTTCTCTTTCCACTATGCTGACAGTGTCCTTTCATGCACAAAAGTGTTTAGTTTTGATGAAGTTCAGTTGATCTATATTTTCTTATGTTTTGTGTTCATTCAGTAATATAGCCAAGAAATCATTTACAGATCCACAGCCAAAAAGCACATGAAAAGATGTTCAAAATCACTAGCCACTTAATACATGAATATCTAAATGAGAATAAGATTACCACTTTATCTCCATTGGAATTTTTTATTTTATTTTTTAAGGAAAAGTTTGAGAGTATGTGGAGAAATTAGAACCCTTGTACATTGCTGGTGAGATGGTGAAATGGTGGCAATGGTTGCACAAATTGAGCATAGTTAAATAGTTAATGCTTCCAAATTATACACTCAAAAATGTTTGAAATGGTACATTTGTTTACGTATGTTTTTCCAATGATGACAAAAGCTTCCTCAGAAATCATCCTAAAATAGTTGCATGTGTCATGAAAGAAGACGCTCTTCTCCTATCATGAGTAGAAGCGTATTTATTTATTCATGCTGGTATACACACTCCTGACTCTTCCACACCCCCAGCGTGATCTCATCAAGCAGAGTGAGTCCCTTCTCATCTGGCCCATTTGTGCTCCTTTCCATCACTGCATTCTCCTTTTCAACTCACTACCTGCCCACTAAAAACAACTGTAAATTACCTTGTCTGTTTACCATCTCTGTAAACATTTCTTCTCTGTAATGTAATAGAAATGAAATCATACAATATGTCATCTCCTCAGACTGGCTTTTATCACTTAGCTTCATGTATGCCTGATTCATCCATGGCTTTGCGTGACTTCATAAATCACTCCTTTTCTTTTGATGAATAGTATTTCATTTTATGAATTTACCTGGCTTGGTTAATATTGAAAGGCATCCTGATTCCTTCAAGTATTTTGCCATTGTCAAGAGAGCAGTTATACATAAGTGCATGTGGTTTTGAGTTAGATGTGACTTTCCAAATCAGTTGTCTAAATACCTAAGTGTGCAATTGTTAGCCTATATGATGAGACCATGATTGCCTTTGGAAAAAACTGCCAAACTGTGGCAGAAGAAGACAACCATATTTTAAAGTTGCTGTACCATTTTGCCTTCCATCGGCAATGAATGAGATTTCCTGTTGCAGTTTTGATTACATTTAAAAAGAAATTTAGATATAGTATAGCTGTTTAGTGCTCTCACTTTTATTTTATTTTGCCTTCCCTGAATGGAAGGTGTTGTTGAGCACTGTTTTGTTGTTATCATTTGTTCATTAATCTGTGATTGCTGCCAAAAAGCATACATGCGTTGTGCCACAGAAAACCAATTTTTAAAAAAAGTACTCTATGCTTTACCTGGTAAAAACTAATAAAATTTTTCTAGTCCACATAGTCATTTATCTTGCCATTTTTTCTAATCTTATGGTGACTACAAGAAAAGAGTGAACTGTAGCTAATAAGAGAATGTGGTGTATTGTCGTGATTTTTCACTGTGTAAAAGTCCCTTTCACTCAAGTGATTTCTTTATGGATTTCAAGGCAGCAACAAGAACGTGTAGAGTACAAACTAGTCTCTGTTGGAATTGACAAAAAGCTCTGATCTCAGTTTCTCTACATATCTTGCCATGCTGAATCATTGACAAAAATACAAAAATTAGAACTATGAAGGTTTTGGTTCTTAAACCTGCCCCTACAAAAGTAGGCCAAAATTTGAAATCACATGTGTTTGGTCTGTTAGTTTTTCATCTTTCACAAAACATTCCACTGCATCAGAATTCAATTTGAAGACTGAGATTCATTTAATAGTGTTTTACTTATTGTTGTTTCTTTTTGTGTTTGGATATCACAGGTAAAACGTCTGATTACTTCAACATTACACATTTTAAATAATAAAAGCCAGAAAGAATGACAGATGAAATTAATCCCATGAATTTTTAATGACTTGCTATTTGGTTTTTACTTATTACTGTTACTGTGTTTTCTGTCTTGAGAATACCAAAATAGTAATGCATTGTACCAAGCATTCTAAAATAACTGCCTAAAAGGGTAATTGAATCATTTTTTTTCTTTTCTTTTTTTTTGGAGATGGAGTCTTCCTCTGTTCCCATAGCTGGAGTGCAATGACGTGATCTCGGCTCCGGTAACCTCAGCTTCCTGGATTCGTGCAATTCTCCTCTCTTAGCTTCCTGAGGATCTGGGATTACAGGACTCAGCCACCACTGCTGGCTAACTTTTGTATTTTTGGTAGAGAGCTTGTTTCACCATGTTGATCAGGATGATCTCAAACACCTGACTTAAGGACATCCACCTGGCTCTACCTCCCAAAGTGCTGGGATTACAGGTATGAACCACCATGTCTGGCCATGCCAATTCTTTTATTTCTTTATGGAGACAACTGTAGGTTGAAAGCCATCTTTCCTAATACTTGTCAGTGCCTCAAGATTGTTAGGATAAAAATAAAATTTCCAACCAAAGGATACTTGTTGGTATCCAGAGTTTTAAGAAAAGTTGAGAAATAAAATATCCAGCTTCTGGCTCCTTCCCAGTGAGCATGCTCAATGTCTGGGGAATCCTTGGAACCTGGAGGAAGGGTAGAGCTGGGGTAGGTGGGGATGATCTTTGGAGCCACTGTCACTGTGGCAGCCACTGTTGCTCCTCAGGAAATGGCTTGGAGCCTCAGCCTTCAGAAGAAGTAACAAGGGCTCAGCAAGCAGTATTTTGTGTGCCAGATTTTCCATCTTCGTATCTTTTTTGCTGCTGTACCTACTGAGGTCTCTATCATTAATTTGGTCATCTTATTTCTTTGTACATTTTAACTGAAAGTCACTTCTCAGATGTGTTCCCTAAATTTTTCTCAGCCTACACCTTGTTTGTTTGATTCTCTTAACCTGAACATATTTTTTTTCTTCTTTTTGTTTTTTTTTGCCTTTTTTGAGATGGAGTCACACGCTGTCACCCAGTCTGGGGTGCAAAGCCGTGATTTTGGCCCACTGCAAACTTTGTCTACTAGGTTGAAGGGATTCTTCTGCCTCAGTTTCCTGAGTAGCTTGGATTGCATGTGCCTGCCAACAAGCCCAACTTTTTTTTTTCTTTTGTATTTTTAATAGAGACAGTGTGGCAGTCAGTTACTATGGGATGAAACAAAGGGGGTTGAATGCAGAAATGAAGACAAAGACAAAAAATATTTGTTTTAAAAGAGGGGTCAGGGGGCTCATTTCTTCTAGTCAGCAAAGGCCCTGAGCTTCTACAGGCCTTCATATTTATTAGGCAGAATCAACAGGGAGGAAAGGTAATTGTTGGTCAGCTGCTTGATTTATCACAGGCTCACATAATTGCTTTCTTTGTACTACAGACTTCAGATGTTCCTATATATAACCACAAGAAATACTATGCTTGGGGCATGACTGCCCTCAGTATTCCTTCTGGCACCAGACGTGGTGTGTCAGGTTATGAAAATGCTGCTTTCATGAGAACAGTTTGCTCTCTGCTCATAGACCCTCCACTCATTATTGAGTTGGTCACAACCCTTATTCTTTTGGCCTCCAACATCTCCATTTTGTTTTTGCATTAACTGAGTACAGGTGATTGCAGGCTGTGCAGCTCTCAATTGCTGTTTGGTGGTCCAGCTGCTTTTACTGACAATGAGCATAAAACAGAGACATAATAACATTACTCCGATAATCACAAAAAAGACATTGAGGTGATGTTTGGAGGAGGTCCAAGGGTTAAGGCTCTCTACACCTTGCTGGAATTCTGTGCAAGTTTTCAGACATGACTGAAATACTTGAGTATGCTTATTCAAGTTAAGAATTGCACATGTACCCTAAAACTTAACGTATAATAAAAAAAAGAAAAAAAAAGAATTTTACTTTGTTAATCATTAATATCAAAAGTAACATTGTATGTGAAAGCCCCATGTAAATGGACCTTTACAAGGTTCTATGGATATTCACTTTGGTTTTATTCCAAATTAGTTACACAAATATGAGTATGCTTAAAATGACAATGCAATTGCTGCTGCAACTACAAGTTTGTTCTTGTTTTCCTAGCCACAGAACTGTAGTCTTTAACATTGCTGCTTCTGTGTGTATCTCAGTGTTAAGTTTATTTTTAAGCATCCATGCCTGGTCGGCTGTACACATCCAATTTTCTACATATTGAGCTGTCTGAATGGAGCTCTACATCGCTACTAAGGATGACACAACAGAAATTATTAGTGTTCCTAAGGAGACTTTCACAATTATTTTCATGCCTAAGGCTCTACAAGCACAATGAGTAAGCTGAGTAAGAAAAAGATTTACAAAATGGAAAGCAGAGGTGGCCACCCAAGGCTCAGGCAGATTTACAGGAATCCATAATCTGGGATTGCAACCTAAAATTACTAGGGTGGATATGCTATATGTTTGTACTGTGCTATGGTTTAGGGAATAATACAGTTGACAAGAATCACAAGTCAACTGGGCATCGTTTAACTGGAGTTGGTCCATTTTGCTGCTAGAAAAACATAAGTTTAAAAACACAAAATGTAAATTGAGTGGTAATATTTTCTACAGAGTTAACATTGCAACTGCATTCAGCACAATTACTATAATTAGATAGTGTTCGAAGACAAATGCTGCCATTCATATAGTGGAGTGCTGCCTTCCCTATCGACTCTTGAATTGTACGTTTCTTTCCTTGATAATGTCATTGAGGCAAAGTTGGGCTAAAGCCTGTTCCACGCCAAGAGAAACTTGCTGCAGATTGGGATTGAATCCCAGTGCAGTGTAGTGAAGGGATGCTAACCTGTGTCAGCGAAGTTTATGCCATGAGGTCGGAGTCTCATCTCTCCCATCTAAGTGACCACAGGGACCCAGAAAATAATGTCTCCCATTAGCATGAACTGTTCTCTAGCTAGGGTGCCAAGACACTGGGTCCAATGAGGGGGGTAAGAATTATCAAAGGGAGCCCATTCTGTATAATTAATAGAATTTTGGGGATGGGGCTGGGAGTGGTTATTATCTACACCAGTAATGTTAATAAAGCTAAGGCCTAATAGGTACATAATTTTTCCATGGTAACTTAACCATACTTGGGATTAATTTGCAAGGCCACTGCAGTTGAGTGATGTACCCTGGGTGATGCATAAAGGAAGTCCCTCCAATGGCACAGCATAATTGATAATCATTGTTCTGAGAGTCTAATTACTGTTTGTCAGGGGGTGTTTGGGGTCCTGGTGCCCATCCTCCATGATCATGATAGATGTCAGGGGGAGTGTCACTCCATATTACACTCCATAATACTGGGGGATTGGGAATATATGTCCAATATGTTTTTGTCTCTGCACAAGGAAAACCTACTGGCCAGGATGTTACAGGTAGCATGGCCATAAACGTGAGGTCAGGGTTGTTTGCCTGACCCTGGTGCTCCAGCAATTTCAACTGACTCATGGCTTGTAACAGAGGAGCCGGATCCACAGTTGGGATCCATGGCTCTTTCCACTCTCCCGTTACATGGTCACAAACACATTGAGGGCACCCACACAGTTTATCCATCTCCTGTAAAAACACAAGCATACCCTTGTCCTTACATCAGTAAATCTACTGAGCCATTCCATCGTCCTTGGGGGGATTTTCATAATATCTTTGGGTATACTTTCCTTTTTCCCTATAACATTTACCAGTGTCATTCTGCCATAGTCTTACTATCTGTACCAGGAGACAAAAAATTTAAACGAAGTGAAAAAAAAATTAAAGTAAAAATAAATGTATTTTGTTTGAGGTGGTAACTGGTCTCCTGTTTCCCCTTTCTGTTTTTTTCAGCACGCGTTGTACTGTTCAATTTGACTGCTCTTTAATTCCTTGTCCTTGGGGGTTGTAAGGAATTCCTGTTTTATGAGTGATTGACCATAGCTGTAATAAATTTTAAAAAGCATGACTAACATAAGCGTGTCCATTGTCAGTTTTTAATTGCCTAGGAACCCCCATATGAGCACATGATGACAGACAATGTCATTGTAAATAACCAGCTGTTTGACCTGGTTTGCATGTAGCATGCCGCATGTGAGAATAAGTGTCTATAGTCCCATGAACAAAGGCGAGCTTGCCAATGACAGCTTTGTGAGTAACATCCATCTGTCAGATTTCATTTGAAGCTAAGTCTCATGGGTTACAGCCTTCTATGGGTGTGACTCCAGTGACATGCTGGCAAGTAGGACAGGCTTGTACAGGCTGCAGCCTGGCTGTTAGGCAAATGAAACATACGAGTAAAGACAGAGTTTTGATGCAGTAATACAGGAGAAAGTTGAGCTTGTTGAAATGCAGAACAAATCAATTTATTGGCTCCATTATTACCTAGAAATAGTGGTGTAGGGAGTTGTGTGGGAGAGCAGATATGAGAGATATAAAAAGCAGCATGAGAGCAAACAGCTTGTTGAAGCCTTAGAAACAAGTTAAACATCTCTGGTTCTAGGGTGCTTTTAATAGTGGCAGTCCCAATATGACCGGCTACATTTACAACATAGGCTGAATCATAGAGAGTGTTAATAAGAGATGAACCAGTGAGCTCTAAAACCTGATTAAGTTCCATTAGTTCTGAGCATTGAGCTGAAACTCTGGGTTTTTTTTTTTTTATTGTAGGAGCATGCTTAGTACTATAAGTAGCTTTGCGAGCTTTGGAAGAGCCATCAGTAAAATAGGTCTGGCTGCCTGAAATGGGCTTGTGATGAGGAATCACAGGGAAGATGAAAGGTTGAGTTTTTAAAATTGCAAAATTTTGTCTGATGGATAAAGTTTATGTATTATTCCTACATAATCTGAAAGAGCAATTTGACACACAGTCAACAATTCCCATGATGCAACTGTTGTTGGGAATCCAATATTTTTCCTCATACTTTTAGACTGGCTCTAAAAGGAGAACAGTAATTTTGTCTGGATCATATCTCTTAAGCATTTTTGATCTACCCCTACCCCTTGTTATAAATTGAGTAGTTAAAGAAAGATAAACTTGCAGAGATTTTACTCTCTGATTGAATTTCAAAAAAAGCCATTCTATCACAATTGCATATTTTTCTATGATCTGTCCTAAAAGTCCTTTTGGAGAATGGCGGGGTAGAAAGAACAAAGAGAACCAAAGGCTTTTGTGGCTGTGGCTGGGAGGCATGTGTTTGCTGAAGAATCTGCACTACAAGGTGTAACTCAGCTTCAGCCTCCTTAGTAAGTTGCTGGAGCAACGGGTTTGTCTCCTAAGCCCATTACTCCTAGTGAAGAATCTCCATGGATGATCTGAGTGTTTGAGTTGATGAGTAGCAATACCTAGGATTGGGCACAGCCAATTTATGTCTCCTAATAGTTGTTGGAAATCACTGAAGGTTTGTGATCTGTCCCTACAGAGGACTACTTTCTGAGGTCGAATATTTGTTTCAGTAACAATAGTGCCTAAGTATTGGTATGGGGAGGTTGTTTCTACCTTTTGTTGAACTATTTTGAGATGTCCCCCTGTTTTGCTTCTCTCAATATTTGGTGTAATCACTCTTCCATTGGAGCAGCCAAAAGGATTTCATCCATATAATGAATGATGTAGGCAGTAGGAAATATATTACGAGGCTCCTTTAAGGACTGTCCTACAAAACGCTGAAATAGTGTAGGACCGATGAGCATGCTTTGGGGCAAAACTTCGCTTATCCTTCTCATGTAAGGGTGTGGTAAGGAAATAATCTTTAAGATCTACTACTATGAGAGGTGAGTCACTTGGAATGGCTGCCAGTAATGGCAGACCTTGCTGTAATGCACCTATTGGTTTAATCTGTGCATTAATAGCTCTCAGATCACGTAGAAATTTGTGGGCAAAATGGTCTGTTTTTATATACTAAAATTTGCTGAAACTTTACACTTGTGTTCATGCTACTTAATATTTTAAATTGTCTGTGTGTGTATGTACATACACATATATATACACATACACATATATGATATGTGTATATATACATACATCTATATACACATACACATATATGATATGTGTATATATACGTACATCTATATACACATACCAGCGTGTATAGGTATACATACATAAACTCTGGGTATTATATGTGTTTGTATTACATTCATATATATATATACACACATTCATATGTATATGTGTGTATATATCTACATATACATGTTTGTGTGTATACATATACATATATGTATATGTGTGTATATATGTATAGTTGTGTGTATATACACATATACACATATGCACACACGTATGTGTGTGTATATCTGTATGTAATAACATATATGTAATACCCAGAGTTTATGTATGTATATCTATACACTCTGGTATGTGTATATACATGGTACTTGTATACGTATGTATATACATATACACATACACACACATATGTATGCGTATATATTACACATGTGCATATATATACAAACATACACACACAGATATGTGTGTATATGTAAGTATATATGTATTCTCTGTTTATATGTGTATGTATATATACGCATACACACATATGTGTATATATTACATACACATACATATATACACATATGTGTGTGTATATATGTGTGTATATGTGTGTATATGTGTGTATATGTGTAATTCCTAATTACGTGTGTGTGTGTGTGTATATATATGTATGTATGCATATATATATATATATATATATATATATATATATATATATATGTAAAATTCCATCTTTGTCTCCTGAGTCCATTCAACCCAAAAACTTCCAGGTACATGGGGGAAGCCTAAGAAAGATTATGCGGTAGTTACAGTGAAGCAACAGTCTTTAATAGAGTTTGAGTCTTTATATTATCCCTGTTTTCCCATACTATGGTCCTAGCAAAACATTGACATCCTCATAAATAAGACGGATTGACTTTGAAACTTAACATTCTCTTCTTATTTAGATATTAATGTAGCTGGATGCAGAACGGTTGCCTCAAAAATAAAAAAAAAAAGATTCCATTCCTTTCCTTCTTTTATAAAAACATCAGCAATGAGGTTGTAATTTGTCAAGGGCAGCTTCTTTTTGACTGTTGAAAGTGGAGATTTTCTGCTTAGAGATGGGACATAGAGTCTTATAATTGTCATTGAGACATTGCAGGGGGAGAAAGTTGGAAACCAGACATTTTAGGCAAAGGGCTGACAAGACTCTATATAGAGAAAAATCCTATCTTAACAAGTGGCACTGTAGGATCTGAAATATTAGATGAAAACTCTGATTACAAACACTTTTCTGTCAAAAGTTAGAAAAGAAGGGTTAGGGCTTGATAAACGTTCCCTACACTATGCCTCTTAGATTAATAGGACAGTGAAAAAGGAGAAGAAAAAAATGCAGAAGAAAGTATTCCCTCGGGGTAAGAAAACTTCTTTTACAGTGTTCTAAATGTCTATCGCTGGTTCCCAAAAAGGTTTTTACCAAGTTAAAAGTTAGACTAAAAACTCGAATTTCGTTTGTTTCCAAGACACCACCAAAACAGCAACATTTGAATAATATTCCTGATTACTAAATCACCAACTGAATTCACCCAATAAGAATATATTTCCTGGTTGCAACATTGCATAAAAAGAAGAAAATAAGAGACATGATTGCCATAAACGGAAAGGCAAGAAAATAAAATAGAAAATTCTGGAATTCCTGGTGCCATCACCCTGATGGACTGTCATTGACTGGCCTTAGTTCAGAAGGCTTTAGATAACACTGAGCTGTAGCCTTGGCCAGAAACTTTCAATTGTCTCAAGACCGATTGTAAGTCTCTGCATGCATAAGCTGCTTTGTGAAGGAAAGTGAGTTGGAACAGAGCCAAAGTTTTCATCAACTGAGGATGTTGGGGGATTGTCAAAGTTCTCTCTATCTGGCCTGTCACCTGAGTCTTATAAGGCTGGAAGTCATCTTTTTGATTTGAACTGGCTGACACTGGCTCAGTGTTGTTTGCTTGTGAGTACAAACAGGAAAAATAAACTTAGGACAAAATCCTCAGAAATAAAAGTAAAGCAAAGAATTTGAAGAAGTGCTCCTATACTCCTACTGAGTATTGTAATATATTGCTTTCTCAGAACATGTAGCAAATATATATAAATTGAAAATGGGGCTTTGGTTTGTCTTCCACTTTTTTTTTTGGACTGGTTTTCTTCTTTGCCTGGCTATGTTAAACATGCTATTTGTCTCTGAATCTCTCTGTTCCCTGTGTGGCTTCCTGTTGCTCAGCAGTACTTAAGATTTGCCTTAGGAGTGACATAACATGTGAGCATGCAAAATAAAAATTCGGGAACGATTTTGGAAAGCCTCTCTCTATTCATCCGGGTTATCATAATACTTTTCTAGGTCCCAGTCTATCTGTTTTAAGTCTTGTAATAAAAAGAGAATCAGGAATTTAGAGGCAACATGTTTTTTGGTCATTTTCTTTAGGGTTAGTGGTTTAATGGAAGGTCGGTTGGGAGAATTGAAGAATCTGAGGATGATAAAGTGACTACAGGAGTCCCTTGTCGGGGGACACAAGAAAAGGTGGAACATCTCGAAGTTTCTTCTGAGGGTTGCCTGGGGATTTGTTTCTCTGATGTTTTAGAATTGTTCACTATAGACAAGTCTGATGTGCTAAGAAGGCATGGTCAACATTACAATGTTTACAAATATCTGGGTTGTTTGCGGGACAAAGAAATCTGACATATATGGCACCTCAGACAATTTGCCTTCTCAGTTGCAGAAAATATCTAGATGTTGGATAGTATTGAGAGAAAAAAGTTAAGTAGATAGGATGGATTCTTGCTACAACTACTTTAAGCAAAGAGACAGACTG
Source organism: Homo sapiens (assembly GCF_000001405.40). Classification (NCBI taxonomy): domain Eukaryota; kingdom Metazoa; phylum Chordata; class Mammalia; order Primates; family Hominidae; genus Homo; species Homo sapiens. The sequence goes on from NC_000024.10 coordinate 17,854,111, forward strand.
AAATACCAGGCTTCATGCAGATTAAAAAAAAAAAAAATCCTGCACAAACCTGCAGTCCACTCATATAAAGGAACATAGCCTTATAAATAAACTCTTTTGTAATTATTTTTTTGGCCTAAAACATGCCTACAGATAATCTGATAAAAGAAGAAGAATAGTATGCATAAAAACGCTTCTCTTCCAGAAAATAGTCTCTATTTCTTTTACCCAGTGGTCTTCAGTGTGTTCCGATGCACACTTTTGCAGTCATGTGGGCATGCCACTGTACATATCAGTCTGCTACTTTGAAGTATCATCAGACTTTCTTTTTCTTCACTGTAATGAAGTCAGATTGATTACTTAACAGGGAAAAAAATGACTGTTCACAGCACATATAGGAGACAGATGTGTTTCTCACTATAAGGCAGGTTCTGATGTTTTTATGAATTAAGAAAAGAGTGTGCTCACTAGTCTTGAAAAAGTACTAGTTGGCTTGACTCAGAAACTTGACCCAGGACTGAAAAGTAGCTGAAGTAAAAATTTGTAGTGGCTCAGCTCACAGTAGAAAGCATATCCAGAAAGAAGAAGAAGAAGAAGGAGAAGGAGAAGGAGAAGGAGAAGGAGAAGGAGAAGAAGAAGGAGGAGGAGGAGAAGAAGAAGAAGAAGGAGGAAGAAGAAGAAGAAGAAGGAGAGAAGAAGGAAGAAGAAGAAGATGAAGAAAGAAGAAGAAGAAGAAGAAGAAGAAGAAGAAGAAGAAGAAGAAGAAGAAGAAGAAGAAGAAGAAGAAGAAGAAGAAGAAAAGTGCCCACTGAAGCACACTGAAGCTCCCTGTGTAAAAGGAATAGAAACGATTTTCTGGAAGTACGTGCGTTATTTAAGAAGAAAAGTATTTTTATGCAGAATATTCTTATTTTATCAGATTACCTGTTGGCATGTTTTAGGTAACAAAAAAGTGCAAAAAATATTTGTTTGTTAGGCTTTGTTCCTTTATATGAGTGGGCTGCAGATTTGTTCAGGTTTTTTTAAAAATCTGCCTGAAGCCTGGTATTTTAGCCTGTTTCTTTGTTCAAAGTAGTTTTAGCAAGAATCCATCCTATGTACCTAAATTTTCTCTCTCAATTCTATCCAACATCTAGATATTTTCTGTAAGTGGGAAGGTAAATTATCTGACATATTTTCTTTGTCCTGCAAACAACCCAGATATCTGTAAGCATTGTAATGTTGACCATGCCTTCTTAGCATATCAGGCTTGTCTATAGTGAACAATTCTCAAAAGTCAGAGAAACAAACCTCCAGGAAACCCTCAGAAGAAACTTCCAGATGTTCCAGCTTCTCCTGTGTCCCCCATCCACAGACTCCTCTAGTCACTTTATCATCCTTTTCTTCTTCATTTCTCCCAAGCAACCCTGCATTAAATTGTTACCCCTAAAGAAAATGTCCAATAAACACGGTGCATCTAAATTACTGGTTCTCTTTTTATTTATTTATTTATTTTTTTTTTTTTTTTGAGACGGAGTCTCGCTCTGTCGCCCAGGCTGGAGTGCAGTGGCGCGATCTCGGCTCACTGCAAGCTCCGCCTCCCGGGTTCACGCCATTCTCCTGCCTCAGCCTCCCGAGTAGCTGGGACTACAGGCGCCCGCTACCACGCCCGGCTAATTTTTTGTATTTTTAGTAGAGACGGGGTTTCACTGTGTTAGCCAGGATGGTCTCGATCTCCTGACCTCGTGATCCGCCCGCCTCGGCCTCCCAAAGTGCTGGGATTACAGGCGTGAGCCACCGCGCCCGGCCTCTTTTTATTATAAGACTTCAAACAGATAGATTGGGACCTAGAAAAGTATTCTGATAACTCAGATGAATACAGACAGGCTTTCCAAAATGTTACCCAAGTGTTTGGTTTTACATGGCAACATGTTATGTCATTCCTAAGCCAAATGTTAAGTACTGCTGAGCAACAGGAAGCCGCACAGGCAACAGAGAGTTTCAGAGACAAATAGCATGTTTAATATAGCCAGGCAAAGAAGAAAACCGGACCAAAAAAAAAAAAAATGAGGGGGAAAGAGACAGAAGCCCCATTTCCAATAAGAAGGGAGACATTGCCCCTTAAAAAACATAACTAAAGGCCTACTGATTTTATGGATGAGTGGAAACAAAAAGAGTTTCTAATGTGTGTGTTAAAAAGCTTCCAAGAAACTGGAATCAAAGCTCTTAATTAATCAAAACTGGCCATATTGAAATAAAAACCAAATCAAAATATTTCGGCCTTAATGAAAGGCTGAGAGAGGATTCTGTGGATTTTTTGAGACAATCTTCTCTATCTCCTGGTTTAAATAAAATACAGGTAATCTTATTAGGCAAGTTTATTACTCAAACTTTAAATCAGAAGATAACTACAAAAGCAGACTATGGTCCCAGATACCACAGTAGAAAAATTGTGGGTGGCATTCTTGGTCTTTTACAGCAGGGCCCACAAAGAGGCACAGGAAAGGCAGAAAAAGCAAGAGGCAGACAGAGGCATTAGTGACGCAATTACAGGTCTACAAAATCCAGGAGTTTTGAGCTGGACTGCTGAAAGTTTGGCAAGCTCCAGGACTCTTCAGGAAGAACAGCAGAGAAAAGAAAACAATGCCTCCTCAACTCTGTCCAGCCAGTGGTGGCGACCACTGGAAGGTGGAATGCCTGCAGAGACATATTTTGCATTACAGGGCCCGATTTTAGATAATCAAGTAAGACTTATGCATCCCAGGGCTCAATTCAGGCTTCAATTGTAGTCTCACCAATTCACCACATGTAGCAAATTCTCACTGTGTGACATCACAAAGAGTTATTTATCTGGGGTCCAAAAACTTGAGGAACGTGCACACAAAGTGAAGTTAGCACTGAAGTTTAAGAAGGAAATTAAAATGGCTCTCCACGGTGGAAACCCAATTTGGTTGTCCAGTGTCACCCTGGTGTTTGGGGTCCTCATGTACTGGGAGATGGAAGAATGTGATGATTGATCTCGGAAAAAGCATTACTCAGCTTGGCTTTGGACTTTTGCTTGGGACAAAACAAGTGCTGATGTGAAAGCTTGGCTCACGACCTCTACCCATGACTAATCAGAGGCTGATGTGATGATTCATACCACTTCAGGTTATATTCCAAAGCATGTCCAGAAAAGTGCCCACTAAAATTTATTGTCGCCCACCGTGTACTTTCCTCACCGAAAAAAAAGCCACTAATTTTGGAAGTCCATTGCTTATACAAAAGACAAGGGTGTTTTCTTGTTGTTCTTGTTTTTCAATCAGTCTCTTTGTGAGCATATATTTGTGCACAAAGAACAAAGTTCTGTCTATGTCGGACTGCGTTTCTTCATGTGAGTGGGCTGAAGGTTTGTGTGAGTTTACTAATATGTGTCTGTAGCCTATTTTTCAGTAAGCTGGATCTTTGTTCCTAGAAGTTATACCAAGGGCCCCCCCAACTACCTAACTTTTCTCTGCTGTTAGGGAGAGACCAACCCTACTACCTAACTAACTGCTGTTAGACAGAATTGATCTTTCTAGCTACCTCCTGCTAGGGAGAGGGGTTGTGCAATGAAACGCAACAGCTGGAGCTCTGCCTGAGGTCAGGATAAGGTTTCACAGAAACACGGTGTTTTCATAAGTGGTTTCATTTCCAGTACCATTTGGAATTTGATTTCCTCTATGTAAGAAGAAAAAAATTGGGTTATAAAAATATGTGTTTTAAAATGAGATGAGCTGAGGCAATAAACAGCTTAAAAATTCTGAGGCTGCTGACATGCCCCGAAAACTGAGGGCTATAATTATGCCAGAGAATTGTAGATGTATAGGGCTTGGCTTTGCTTAGCGTCCTTAGTCTTATCCCCACAAAGACAAACACCCCTTAACTATGAGTCCACACTTTACTTTCATTACCCGGCACGATTTGTAGAATAATTGCCCAGAAGAAAATATTGTTACATACTTTAAAATGTTAACCTTTTTTATGTTTTCTACTCAGCTGTAGCTGGAGATTTCTGACTGGCTCACAGAAATTAACAGGGCTAGTTTAAACTACAGGCAAATTCTAAAGACAACTAATGAGACTAGAAGACAATGGCCAATGTAAGATTTGAAACAAATTTTTCTATTTTCCTTGTTCATTTCTGTAAAAAACAAATATAATAGGCCTGGGTTGACAGCAAAATGGTCTATAATTTGATAGTTAAAATAACTATTGGCATAAACTGTGGGCCAAATAATTGCTCTTAAATAGGCTTTGTACACTGGTTTTGATGAAATTTTCTTCATGAGGAACCTCTGATAAAACCTCTTAAAACCAAGCACAACCATGGGTTTTACTTCCAAATACTGATGTGTTGCAGGAAATTAGGGACCCCAAGCAGAGGGACCTGCTGAAGCTGTGGTAGAAGAACATAAATTGTGAGGATTTCATGGACATTCACTAGTTCCCCAGATTAATACTCTCATAATTTCCTATGCCTGTCTTTACTTTGATCTCTTAATCCCATCGTCTTCGTAAGCTGAGGATGTATGTCACCTCAGGACCCTGTGATGATTGTGTTAACTGCACAAATTGTTTGTAAAGCATGTGTGTTTGAACAATATGAAATCTGGGCACTTTGAAAAAGGAACAGGATAACAGTGATGTTCAGGGAACATTGGAGATAACCATTAGGTCTGACTGATTGGGAGCTGGGCAGGACAGAACCATATTTGTCTTATTGCCAAAAACAGGTAAGATAAATATCACTGAATTCTTTCCCCAGTAAGGAATATTAGTAATTAACAGCCCTGGTAAAAGAACACATTCCCAGGAGGCGGCCTCTAAAATGGCCGCTCTAGGGGTGTCTGCCTTATGCAGTTGCAGGTAAGGGATGAAACACACCCTGGCCTCCTGCAGCAAGCCCAGGATTGCTAGGATTAGGAAATTCCAGCCTGCTGAATTCTAGGAAGATCAGTTCTCTGCTCTGGAACCCTGTTAAGATGTTTATCATGACAATGCATGCACAGCAGGACATGGAACTTCATTAGCAATTCTAGGTTCACCCTGTTGTTGTGATTTTGCCGTGACCTTCTGCCTTGTGATCTTTCATTGCCCTCTGAAGCATGTGCTCTCTGTCTCCCACACCCTATTTGTACACTCCCTCCCCTTTGAAAATTGCTAATAAAACTTGCTGGTTTTTGGCTTAGGGGGCATCACGGAACCTGCTGACATGTGATGTCTCTGCCAGACACACCGCTTTAAAATTCTTTCTTTTTTTTCTAACCTATCCTTTTATTTCTCAGACTGGCTGACACTTATGGAAAATAGAAAAGAACTGAGGTTGAAATATCGGGGGCTGGTTCCCTAATACCTATGCGTTGGTTAAACTTTTTCCTTCTTCAGGTCCAAGCAAATGGGATTTCTGGGCATGTTAAAAAATGACCTTCTTTGATATTTGGGGTTTTGTAAAGACTGTTGCAGGGTCTAAAATGGCCTTTGTTTTATAGCTTATTTATAATGACTTCTAGCCCTTTTCTACCTTCTGGTTTGGGAAATAATGCCTCTGGTCAGAAAAAAAATAGTGCAATCCTTAATGTAAATACAGATGCATACAGTGGTTGTAGCCCAGCAACATTTCTCTGGACATCCCATACTTCTTAGTTAATATTAGTTTCCACTTAGTGGAGACAAAGAGTTTATCCTGCAGCCATTCATATGGAGGCTTCTATATAGGCCAAAATATCTCTACCTAGTAATAAAGTGGGACTTTCAGGAATTATTAAATTGGTATGGCTAAATAGAAGGTTGTTTCAACTATAACTAATGGGCTGAGAAAATATTCCATAAAGGACTTTTGCTGACACATCCATCATTGTCACATTATGGGAGGAGAGAAAGCCTAGATTGAAAAGCAGAACAAAGACACCCACTCCAGTTTTGAGAAGGAAGTCTACTTTCCTCCCTTCCACCTTCAGAATCACCCAAGGATTTTGAAGAGTTTGGAACCCAAAGACTATGGCAGCTGTTAGAGCTGGGGAATTGATCTCCAGGAACTCTCAGTCTTGCTGGACCATTTGTGAGACTGGTCCTGGACTTAGTGGTGCATGCCTCATTAATCAGCACACCCTTCAGTGGTCACCACCACTGGTTGGAGAGTGTTGAGGTGGCTTTCTATTGTTTTCTCAGCATTTCTTGGGAAAGTGTCCTGTCTTGCCACACTGATAGCAGTTAGCAGGTGCCACTCAGGGACTTGGATTTTTACAAAACTGTATTGCATTAGCTAGAGTCTCTGTTCTTCTTTTGTCTTTACTCTTCTTCTTTTGTGCCTCCTCATGTTTCCTATTGTAAAATCTGAAGTACCCACATTCAGGAGGCTCTTTACAGTGTTACTGAGATAAGAAAGCTAGCTTGGGTTAGGGAGGCAGCAAGGAAAGTGTCCCTGGAAAACCACCGTTCTGCAGGTTCATTTCTCATTTACACGTAACACATAAGCAGCCTTAAAAAAATCAGTCTGCAGACACCAACAAGATAACTAACACAGAGGGTTGTATCTCAAGATCCGTATTGTCACAGACAGAAGAATCTTCAGTCCATTCAGAGAAAAGTCTTGTGCAAACTCTGGCTCATTGTGATAAGAGAACCAGCCATGGCTCAAAAATACCCTTGTATTTGTGTAATCGGTTGGCTCCCAGGAAGTAGTTTCTTGTCCATTTTTTTTTTGGCATAAACACAGTGGGTCCTGGTGGCTTCTGGTTGGCACATTTGTTTCCTTTTGGACTGTGAGCCCAGCCTTTATAAATTACTGTTTTAGTTCCTGATTAAGCCTGGGCCAAATTTTTGACCCAAGCTTTTACGTCAGCTCCTGATAGGTCATGGGATGAGCTGAGCAGCAGCTATAAATTATGACTACACCTCCTGATTATTTCTAGGCAGATTTCTTGGGTTAAGCTTTCGAATTATTCTCAGGCCAAGACCCTGAGCCAAGTTAAATTGCATGGTCTTCAAAGCAGCCCATTGACTAAAAACATTTCTTTCTCTTGCTAGTTTGTAATAACCCTGAACCCCAACCTCATAGTGGGAAACACATTTGAGTCCTTCTTTTGATTGGCAGAGAGCTTTCTTCTTGTGCTTTTTTTTTCTTTAATCTCAACTTTGTTTCTCAGCTTCTTTTTTTTTTTATTAAAGGAAAGATCTTTGGGTATAATTACAGACAAAGGGATACTCTTACATCTGGGTGCATTGGTGAGACTGCAACATATATTGGTGCATTGGTGAGACTATACATATGTTTCTGCATGGGCTGTGAAGGAAACAATTCATCAGAATGGTAAAAATAGACTTTAAACTTCCAAATTCATTTCAAAAATGTTTTGTTTATTTCAAGACTTTTTTTTCATAAAGAGCCTGGCAGTCACATGAGATGTAGAGGAGATCCCAGGGACACTAAAAGTTTCAGCTTGAGGCTACATCTCAGTGTTATCTGATTATCGTTAGACTAATTCTGGTCTGTGACAACTCGTCAGGCCATTAACACAAGGACTTCCCATTTTTATCTATTGAATTTAAAATTTTTCTTTTCACAGCTATAATATCTTTCATATTTTTTTTCTATGCAGCGTTGTGGGCATTTTTACAGCCTCGGTATACTAGGTATACAGGTTTGCTTAACACAGTTACTCCTTGTCTCAGTAATTAGTAGTGTAATTTAAAAAGGTTTGTTTTTGTGATTTCTGTGAAACAAGGGGAATTCAAGATTTCACTATAAATTGTTACCTATAAAAGGGCCTTTTTGTCCCTCAATAACAGATAATCGTGGCACTGTATGGGAGGGATTTGACTGCAAGTAAATACTCTTTCCTTTATGTGGAATTTTTTACAAAGATATTATTTTCCTTCACATAAAAGTTACAAGAGACAAGTTAATTTTTGCCTGTTGGGGGGCATTTAGTGGAGACAACCTATCTAACCCAAAATCTCTCTTTCTAACTTTTGAATAAAGAGAATTTTGTGTCAGAAATTTTAACATAGCATTTCTAACCTTACATCACTCCCTCGTGAAATGAGATTTCTTTTCTACCTGGAGCCTTGTGAATCCATTGTCCAAAACTTACAGTTTTGAAATTCTTTTCCCATTTACATTCTGTCATCAGTGATTAGCCCACATATCCTATCTTTAAACAGGCAGCCCCCACTATTAATTATTGGGAGAAAAACAATGTTAAAGAGCAGATTTTAGCCTCTTTGCTTTCACCATCTAATGAAGGGCCATTCAGCCATTCAGTTTCTACAGTTTTAAGCCACCTGTTCTGCATTGCAATAATTTTGGATTTAAAATGTTTGAAAGTCAATCTGTCTCATTCTCTGAGATTCTGATGTTTCACTGGGAACATAGTTACCAAAGCCAAAGTTAGTATGAAGACATTTCCTCTATTAAAATGTCTAGAACAAATTTTACTACTACATAACATTTGCAAGGCCTCTGGGGTAACTTTCAAGCCTTTGGGGTCCAGTGGGTCTAGGACAAAAGGAGGGCAGAAAGCTACAGCTTTGCACAGGTGAGTGTGGCTAGTGCTTCTGACTAGCTCCTCCAGATATATGTGTAAAAGCTATGCTTGCATTTCTGAGCAGCACCTATTACAGTTTTGGGGGCACAGATGAGACAAAGGAAAAAGATGAAAAAGGATACTGTAACACTTTCTATTTATCCTGTGTAACACCAAAAGGAGGAAGTCATCTGAATGACACCTTGTTTACCCTCTGTCTCTAGATGGCAACAAAACATCTGTAGACTGCACTCCCCTTGAGTGCACTTGGGAGCACTGGGACTCCATTGACCTTGAGTCTCTAAATTTATAAACAATAATAATGATATTCAACTGGCAACAAGGTGGCCATGTGGCCATGTTCCTGATAGGAGGACAGGTCTTCTCAAAGAAGCATAATTTCAATAATATCTAACAGCTAGGTCCTTTTGCTCTTCAAAAAAACCCTAGATTTTGTAAACATTGTAAAATTACCCCTGTGCCTTTGGGAACCATACAAGGTAAGTCTACAATACATAATTTTCCAAAGTCAAAGAGAGAAATCTCTAGAGAACTGTCAAATGCAATTTCTGAGTGCCCTATCTGACTCCTTTAACTGGGACTCAGAATAGTTGTATAAAAACACCTCTGGTTGTGCAAGCCCAGGAAAATTCCAACTTTACTGGTGCCCCTATAACAAATGCACAATGAATATGGTGCTACTAAGGTTTAAATTTCCTTCTCATTACAGTAAACTTATATACATAAAGCTGGACTTAAGACAGTTCCCTGATGAACCTGATAGACATGCACAGGCTTTCCAACATTTAAATCAGCTGTTTCCTCTTATGTGCAGAAATGCAGTGCAACTTTTAAGCCACATTTCAACTACTGCGGAAAAACAGGCAGCAGTACAGACAGCAAAGGAATTTGAAGATGAACAACTGACATCCTATAGTCAGTCAGAAAATAAACAGAAGCGAAAGATGAAAATGGATGAGTAAAGAAGACAGAATTACTATTTCCAATAGAAAGAAAAACAGTGCTGTTTGAAAACCCCAAATGAAGCCTTGGTAAACCTACAGATGAATAGAAATGAAAAACACTTTCTACTGTGCATATTATCAGGCTTCGAAAGAACCAGAACAAGACTTCTTAATTACTCTGAACTGTTCTTGTTGAAATCACAAACTAGAAAAAAACTCACAGATTCTTTGGAATGGCTGAGAGAAGCTTTAGCAATACATGTGTCTCCATCTCCTAATTTAATTAAGGGATACACAATTTTAAAATATTACTTTATTTCTCAGCCATCCTCTAATATCAGAACAAAACTACAGAAGCAGGCTGTGGGATCAGATAGCACTTTGAAAGACTTTCTGGGGTGGCTTTTATCTTTTAAAACAAGAACTGGGGAGAGGAGACCTAGAAAGAAGAGGGGAGTCGCAAGAGAATGAAAGAGGCATTACTGGCCTCTTCACAGGCCTACAAGAGCCGGAATCTCCAAGAGGCACCTGCTGATTTCTACTAGTGTGACAAGCTAGGACACTTTCAAATGAATTGCTCAGGCAGAAAAAGAATATATCTCAACTTTGTCCAGCCTGTGGGGGAGACCAGTGAAAGTAGAAGTGTTCCCAGAGCCATAGGTCACCAGGTCCAGTGTGTATTTCCCAGATTGTTCAGCAGGAATAATGGCTCCCCAGCTCTACAAGCCATTGTGATCTACAGGATTCAAGTAATTCTGGAGGTAAAATGGAAATTAAACAACAACAACAACAACAACAACAACAACATTTTTCTAAATTCTAGAGCCTGTTTCTCTCTTCTTCTCTCCAATCCAGGGTTCTCCTCCTCCAATAGTGAAGAGAGTTAGCTAGCTTGCCTTCTATAGACAGAAAGAGAAGTGTCTCCAGAAATTTCTCAGCCCACTGATCAGTGCTTCATTTCCACATAAGATACAAATCAGTCTGGAAAGAAACATTCAAGCAGCAGGCACCAATAAATGAACTAGAACAGAAAGTTGTGTCTGAAGACACGACTGCAGTTGCACAAATAAAAGAACCTCCAGCTCACTCAGAAACTTGCAGAAACTTCAAGATTACTCAAATGTGAAAACAAGGCCTGAAATAGAAATGCATTGGTCCATTTTATAATCAGTGGACATCCAGAAATATTTCTTTTCCTTTGGTGAACACAAAGAGAGTGGGAGAGTGGGAGCAAGTGCCTTCCAGGGAACAATTTTCTTTTCTTCTTGGACTGTGACCCCCACCTCTATGAATCATTACTTCAGCCTCAGATTAGTTCTGGATAAAATCCTAGGCCACAGGTTCACTTCAGCTTCTGAAAGGTTGTCTAAACTGAGTATCCCCTATGAATATTCACTTTAGCCACTAAGTACTGGGCCAAGGTCTCAGGCTAAGCTTTCTGACTGGGCTGGGATCTAAGGCCCCAGGTCGAACTACGTCACACATTTTTTAAGACAGCCCACAGACGAAGTGCATTTCTTACCATTCACAACACACAAAAACCCTAAATCCTTAATCCATCTTGAATTGATTTTTGTATAAGGTGTAAGGAAGGGATCCAGTTTCAGCTTTCTACATATGGCTAGCCAGTTTTCCCAGCACCATTTATTAAATAGGGAATCCTTTCCCCATTGCTTGTTTTTCTCAGGTTTGTCAAAGATCAGATAGTTGTAGATATGCGGCATTATTTCTGAGGGCTCTGTTCTGTTCCATTGATCTATATCTCTGTTTTGGTACCAGTACCATGCTGTTTTGGTTACTGTAGCCTTGTAGTATAGTTTGAAGTCAGGTATTACCATTCAGGACATAGGCGTGGGCAAGGACTTCATGTCCAAAACACCAAAAGCAATGGCAACAAAAGCCAAAATTGACAAATGGGATCTAATTAAACTAAAGAGCTTCTGCACAGCAAAAGAAACTACCATCAGAGTGAACAGGCAACCAACAACACGGGAAAAAATTTTCGCAACCTACTCATCTGACAAAGGGCTAATATCCAGAATCTACAATGAACTCAAACAAATTTACAAGAAAAAAACAAACAACCCCATCAAAAAGTGGGCGAAGGACATGAACAGACACTTCTCAAAAGAAGACATTTATGCAGCCAAAAAACACATGAAGAAATGCTCATCATCACTGGCCATCAGAGAAATGCAAATCAAAACCACTATGAGATATCATCTCACACCAGTTAGAATGGCAATCATTAAAAAGTCAGGAAACAACAGGTGCTGGAGAGGATGTGGAGAAATAGGAACACTTTTACACTGTTGGTGGGACTGTAAACTAGTTCAACCATTGTGGAAGTCAGTGTGGCGATTCCTCAGGGATCTAGAACTAGAAATACCATTTGACCCAGCCATCCCATTACTGGGTATATACCCAAAGGACTATAAATCATGCTGCTATAAAGACACATGCACACGTATGTTTATTGCGGCACTATTCACAATAGCAAAGACTTGGAACCAACCCAAATGTCCAACAATGATAGACTGGATTAAGAAAATGTGGCACATATACACCATGGAATACTATGCAGCCATAAAAAATGATGAGTTCATATCCTTTGTAGGGACATGGATGAAATTGGAAACCATCATTCTCAGTAAACTATCGCAAGAACAAAAAACCAAACACCGCATATTCTCACTCATAGGTGGGAATTGAACAATGAGATCACATGGACACAGGAAGGGGAATATCACACTCTGGGGACTGTGGTGGGGTCGGGGGAAGGGGGAGGGATAGCATTGGGAGATATACCTAATGCTAGATGACACATTAGTGGGTGCAGCGCACCAGCATGGCACATGTATACATATGTAACTAACCTGCACAATGTGCACATGTACCCTAAAACTTAGAGTATAATAAAAAAAATAAAAATAAATAAAAAAAAAAACCAAAACAAAACAAAAAACCCTAAATCCAAGTTTCACATTGGTTAACCCATTTTGACCACATCACTGCTGGCATCGAGCTTTTTTATTTCACTTACTAAACTTTCTCTTCAACCTTACTGCTCTTTAGCCTTCTTAAAATGTGTCTGCGATCTTTATTCTCCTAAGACATAGAAAAGAAACCCCCAGTATTACCTTAGATAAGTAGAGACTGTTATGTGTTTGTGTACTGGTGAGATAACAATAATAGCAAGATTGTGATGGGCTTCCTGGGAATGCGCTAATGCTCTGCTAAACTATCTGACAAAAATTAAAAATAAAAAGACTATTGGGTCTCAACATCTAAAGCTCAGCTCTCTCAGACTTCAGTACAGTAGCTGGATCTGGTCTTATCAGAAGAGACCAATGTACAAGGTCATGAAACAATTCAGCCCATTTTTCTTAACAGTTAAGAATATTCTTGGGCAGTACTTGATTTTTCAGATGGCAGGTACCTCCGTACAGAGAATTAGCTCGTCTTTTATACCACCTCATAGAAGAAACTAAAGCAGATAAAACTCATGTTTAACTTAATAACCTGGTACTCAAAAAAATTTAACCAGTTAAACAAACCTTACTTAAAGCAGAAGCCCTCAGTTTTTTCATAGTAAAGGCACTTAATCTCCATGTATCAGAAATAGAGAAAGCAGACGTTGAAATTACGGATGAGGCTCGAGGTCCAGATCAACATCCAGTGGTTTACCTAAGGAAGAAATTTAGCTTGGTTTCTAAAAAAAAAAAAATGGGCAACTTACCACTGAGCAGCTGCATCAGTGATATTGTTGGTGCCAGAAACCATCAGGTTAACCATGAAAATGACATATCTGTTTCTACACCACATAGCATAGCAGTACTGTGTTTCCTTAAAAAAGTCTCTTGCGAACTGACAGTCACCTCCTTAAATATCAAGCTTTGCTATTGAAGGGATCTGCAGCCCATTTGAAAGCCTGTACTTGCCTGAATCCAGCAGCTTTCTGTCAGGGGAAAGTTGAGTTGTTGAACCTGATTGTGAACACATAGTGGTGTAAACCGGTGAAATAAATAATAGACACTTCTCTTGATATTCTCTGTAAAGTTAAATTAATGAAAACACTCTTAGAAAGCAATTGGATTAATTAAAAATGGAGATTTATGCTATACATGTATTCAAGACGTTCATGATTTTCTCCTCATAAACCTTGTTTCCTTGAAAATGTTTTTTCTTTCAGTCGACTAAGTTACCTTTCTCCACTCAATCTTGACACTTTTGGTGAATGCATAAAAGGTTCTTGGATAAAAGCTGATGGTCAGGGACATCTTGAGGCTAACAGAAGAGACACCATCAATCGTCTTTTATGAGAAATCTGCATTTCTTATGTAGCTCTTGGAATTAGAAGTGAATAATACCTCTGAAAATGAAAGGCTGTCTCTTCCAGCTCTGCTTTTTTTTTTTTTTTTTTTTTTTTTTTTGAGGCGTGGTCTCACTCTGTCACCAGGCGGGAGTGCAGCAGTACACCCTTGAATCATTGCAACCTCTGCCTCCTGGGTTCAAACGGCTCTCCTTTCCTTAGCCCCCAATTAGATGAGACTAAAAGTGCACACAAACATGCCCAGCTAATTTCTATATTTTTAGTAGAGATGGGGTTTCACCATTTTGGCCATGATCTCTTGACTTCTTGATCCCCAAACATGGGCCCCCCAAAGTGCTGGGATTACAGGTGTGAGTCACCATGCCCAGCATCAGTGAGGCTTTTTTTATTAGGCCCTGGAAACTATTCATAGCCCGTTTCTTAAAGGGCCACAGCAAGAGGTCAATAATCCAATTGGAAAATTAGTAAAATAAAATTTTATGACTCCTGGAACTTCTGTTTTCTCTGTGTTTACATATGTGTTATGTATATATTTTAAAAATCTAATTAATTAACTTAGTGAAGAATAGGTAGTTGAACTAAATATTTTGCTTCCAAAGAAATGAAGGCTGTTGTACTTCTCAGTTCATGTGACTTTAACTTATGAAAAACGAAAGCCACCGAAGGCCTGAAGATGTATAAAAATAACCACTCCTTTAACTATGCTGTAATAAATCATACTTTACCTGCACCCAGCCCGTAATTTTATAAACTCACCAGGTTTTATAGTCAAGTTATTAATTGTTAAAAGATATTACTATAATGTGTAATTGAGAATACTGTATATAAATTTAATTGCCAGGTGTGGTAGAAGAGTAAAATGTGTTTGTAGTGAGAATAAATTATAGAAAGGCATGGAAATGTACATTTTGCCTAGAGTTAAAGAATTTTCTTTAATTAACTAAAATAAAGCTGTTTACACAAATTGTGAGAAATACTGCAAAAAAATTAATCTTGCAAAAGAAAACCCTGTGAACCTACTAACTAGATTGAAAAGGGTATTATGTTTATTTCTGCCATTAAGCATTGAAGTGAAAACACAACAAAAATTTCTTGAAACATTAATCTTCTCTTTAGCAAATTTGTAAAAGTTTGTTAAAATGTTGTAATAAGTTTGTGAAAATTCACTTCTTTGTCAAACTTTCTAAGGTTAAAATAATTTTACATAAGGTTTCATTAAGCTTAGGGTTAACATTAGGAGACAACTACAAGGGGAAAATTTGTCCTTCTGAAAGAGATTATCATGTAATATTGAAGGCTGATAAAAGTGTTTCTGCCCTTTCAAACATTTCTACCAACTGTATTTTGGCAAAACAAATGATTTATGGAAATCTGGAATTGGATTTCATAACATTAAGTGTCTTAATCCTCTAAAATATTTGGCAGGCTTCCCAGAATAAAATTTTAACTTCAAGGATGTATTTTCTGAACCCTATATTTTGGATGCCTCAGAGAGCCCCTGGGGCATAAAAGAAAAAGTTAAACAGGATTATAAAACACATTTAAATACATGTGATTTTGATGGTAATATTTTATTTTTTTCAGAATATATTTTAGTGGGTAACATTAACACAGGGCTCAAAACCACATGAGGTTTTTAATGTTCTTAATATCTGAATACGTGCTACCATTTTTATTTAAAGTTATTATGTTAAGCTATTGTAAACCACGGAAGTAACCAAATGTCTTTGCCTATGCTGTTTCTAACCACACTAGACATTTTGTCATTTACAGACATTTAATCTTCATCAAGAATAACGACTTATAATTAGCTGTAGAACTGTACCAGCTGTTCTCAACTGTAGGTTTTTTTATAACAGGAAAATGTACAGAACTTAGGAATAGCTAAAATGCTTATAAATGTCAAGCAGGACAAATGTTAAAATAGACTAAACTAACAGAAGAATGAAACAATCTCTTTACCTTTAGAATATTTCTAATTCTTGTTTTGTTTTTTAAAGTCAAGTGCACTTTTTTTTAAACTAGCTACAGCTTTTAAAACTGTCAATTGGTATACTCCTGTTAGCAAAACTCAAAACATGCTTTTTTTCTCTGTGCCTAGTTCCTCTAAAATTCGGAAAGTATGTGTGATTATTCTTAACTTACAACAATATAATCGTTTTACTCAGTGCAACAAAAATGTACTTTCATTTGCAGCATAACCCAATAGAATAAGCGGGTTGATTTTCTAAGGCTTTGACTGGAAGAGTGTGCCTTCTTTAATGACTTACATCTGACTTCTAGAACCAATAAAAGCCCTCTAAGAAACGCAGCCTTATACTTTGTTTACACAGTCCCAATACAGGTTTTCTAATCTGCAGTAAGAGAAAAAAAAAAAGCCACTTTCTATCAGGCCTAGGAACCACATGCACTTGGAATCTCAAAACAATAGAGGAGTTTATCCAAATAATATGTATCCAAGGGTCAAACCTATAGTTGGACTCAGCTTTATAATGTCCTATTTAAGATTCCTTGTAGAATAGAGATTCATAAAAGCCCATGAGGAAAGCACATGTAAAGGTATTTCTCACAGCACTGTACAAAAATATTCTGGCTAAGTGTAGGACAAGTCTGTTTTGCCAACAACTAACTTTTGTCATAATTCGTTCTTAACAAAAATTAGGACTAAAACAAGATAGAGGTCTCACAGCCTATCACACCTCTATCACTAACTTCTCATCTCATACGTTGTTTTTAAGATGTTTGTACAATATTAATTAACCTTTTTTTTTTTTTTCTGTGAACCAACTGGTGAGGTCCAGCTACCGTTCTTGGAAAACAGAAAGATATGAGTAATAGATAAATCTAGAACAATATTCTAATTCTGGGAACTCATTCCACAAATATTTGCAGGTCATAAAAGAAAATAGGGTTTCTGTAACAGAATTTTTGTTTCAAAGGATCAAATCAAGAAAGCTAAATAAATCCAAGTCTCATGTAACAAAATCTTAACAGGTGTAAATATAGCCACAGTTACACGGGCACGTCAGCAGCCTTGAAGTATTTCAGCTGTTCTTACTCTCCTTGTCTAGTTGTGATATGCTTTTTCTAATAATCCAAACTGGTTTTCTTTTTGTGCCTAAAGTCTATCACACTTTAAAACGTAATGCAAATAAAACCATGCATTAACAGGCCTTTCTTCTACAAACAGTTAAACCAACCCTCAGTAGATCCTACATACTGTTTTCTACACAACACTCTTCTCCAGCAGAAAGTATCCAGAAAGACCAATGCCCAATCTCCTAACAGAAGTTAGAGTTTTCATTTCTGAGGGAGGACAAAGACAACTTAACCAGCTTTTCCCATGTAAACAGCAAGGAATGGGTTCCTGGAAGACCTCCAGTAAACAAGTAAGGGCCTGATTCCAACATAACATAATAACCAGGCCAAAAAAAACGTGTGTGTACCAGTAAGAGATTTAACACAGAAGGTTGTGCCTGACAGCATGGCTGCAGCAACACAGATAACAGAACCTTCAGTCCATTCAGATAAAATCTTGTACAAACCTCCCACTGATTCAGATGGGGAACCAATGCCTGGCATAGGCTTGTTGTTTTCTGTATACACAGAGGGCTTTCAGAAAATAAAGTTGTTTTTTGTTTTGTTTTGTTTTTTTTTTGTGGGCATAAACGCAGTGGGATCTAGCGGGTATTGGATGAAATATTTATTTTTGTATTTCACTGGTTGCTCAACCCATATGAATCATCACTTCAGTCCCTGACTGGTCCTGAGCCAGCATCCCAGAACAAGCTTTTACTTTAGGTCCTGTACCAAGCTAAGCAGTCTTTGCAAATTACCACTTCAGACTGCTCCCAGGCAAAGTGCCTGGGCTAAGCTGTCTAATAGGTCCTGGGCCAGGGCAAAGCTAAGTCACCCATTCTCCAAGACAGCTTGCAAACTAAGTATATATCTTTATTTTTTAGGCCATAAAAACCTTAAACCCCAGTGGACAACTTATTCAAGCTTCTATCTCTGCTGGCAGAGAGCTGCTTTTGCCACTTATTTAAACTTTTGCTCCAAACAGTTTCCTTTGTCTACAGTCCTTAATCTTCTTAAATGTAAAATAAAAGACTCTTAGTGTAATCTCAAATGAAAGAAAGGCTGTTATGTCTTGGTGCATTGTTAAAAGAACAATATTATCTGAACCTATGACACATTTTTGCAGTTTTCTTTTGATGTCAGGGTCTGCTTGAGTAATAAACTTTTCTCTTAAGATTAACTTTATCTTAACCCAATAGGGAGATAGGAACATGTGTTTCACTAAAGCCTCTCTCAGGATTTTAAAAAAGGCTCTATAATTTTTCTGTGGTTTTAACCTATTATGAATAGTTTAGAGTAATTATGAAGTTTTGTCCTGTTCACTTATAAGCCTTCCAGTAGGCTCACTAATTTTTTTTTTCACTCCTCTATAGGACCAATAAGATTCCAATCGAGTTTTCAGCACTCCGTCCTTTCCTATTACGAATAAGAATTCTGTTATCAGTTCAACTTTTTTTATTCCTTTTCACCCTCCCTTTTTCAAGATTTTATAAAAGACATGTGGTTCATCCATGGATAACTCTGCTCTCTGTAAAGCTGCCTGCTTTAGGGCAACAGTTAGGGTTTGGTTTAGCAGTAATGTATCATCTATTCAGGCATGATTGAACACTTGAGTTAGATTTTGAAATATCTCTGTATATCCACCAGGGTCGTCAGAGGACATTTGCTTATCTTTTTCATTTCTTTGTCTAAGTCTTTGCAATGAGAAGAAAACTTCTGCTATACTAGTATCACATCTATGGAGTATTTTCCACAGGGGCAACAGTGAGGTTGGGTTTTCTTTAGTGGCACAACAAGACAAGATGATGAAATGGCTATTGGAGCTTCTAAATGAGGGTGGCAGGTATGACATTTAGAAGATACATTTGAGGGTTCCTCAGGGGCTTGTCTCTGACTTTAATGAATTATCTCTTTGGAACTTGCCTGTTATGACTGACAAGAGGGCAGAGTCAGTTTTACAATACTTAGAAAGATCTGGGTTGTCTCCCACGTCAAAGTAAGGTTGTCCAAAAAAGAAAAAAAAAATCATACTCTTTTCTTTGCCATCTGAAGAAAAGATATACCTGTTGAATAGTACTAAAGCGAACACTTCCCTCAGAAAGCTAGGCATGTCTGTCCTGGAGCTGGTAGGGCTGTCATGCCCTTGAGCAATAAATACATAAATAAGCCACTTTCATTTTTCAGAGTCTCACAGTCAGTGAAATTTCTGTGTTTCAGAATGTAATCTAGAGAGGTGCGTACTGCAGACAGTTTGTGAAGTTTCTAAAGAAATATATAAAAAAAATTCCTATTCTCTTTTTCCCCCTTTTGAAATAGCCCTGACTGAATAAAAAGATAGGATATTCCTTGTTTTTGCATTCCTCTTGTCTTTTCTGAGTCTGGTGACTGACATAGGTGTCCCCCATGGATGGAAGCTAAACCTTCACCCACAGTTCTAGAGGATCTAGACAGCAGGACAAGTAACATTTTCCTGCAGAGGCTTTAGCTCTCTACTGGTGACTCTTTGTTGATTTCTTAAGCCTACTCAACCCAGAAGATACCCAGAGTAACTTGGGAGCCTAAAAAAAAGATTATATAGTCATTGGATTCTAGCAAGACACTTGTATAGAGTAAGAATTTTAATACTATTTGTGGCTTCCCTTGCTATGGCCTAGAAAAAATACTGAAATTGCAGGAAATAAGATAGATTGAGTTGAAACATAAAATTCTCCGTTAGTTTAAATGTCAGTGCTGCTGGAGGAAGAAGGTGTGCCTCAAAGCAAGTAAAGCTTGTATGGCTGGCTTTCATAAGACAGCACTTAGCTAAAATATGTCTCTCAAAGACACCTTCTTTCTGATTATTGAAAGTGGAAATTTTCTGTTTACTGATAGGGCACAGAGTTAGAGAGATATAACAGAGAGAGGAATTAAAATCCAAGGGTTTTGTGCAAAGTACTGACAAGCCTTCCCCAAGAGAAAAACCTCATTTTACTAGGTTGCATTTTAAGATCTCAGATATTCCATGAAAATGCTGAATTCCAGGTTTATATAGTCAAAACTTAGAAAAGGAAGGTTAACGCTCTATCGCCTGTCCCCACAGTATGTGTCTCTGCAGAAAAAAGAAGATGTGTCTCACAAAGAAACTGTTTAGATATATATGGCTGTGCTGAGCTTTTTAAAGAGAAGTCACCCGCCAAACAGGGAAAATTTATTGGAATGTATGTCATTCCCAACAGAGTCATGAATGTCTATCATCGGCGGACAAAAAGACCCTTATCCAATAAAAATTTTTAGACCACAATTTTGAATTCTTCCTCTTTTGAAAGAAAAAAAAAAACACAAAATAGCAACTCTTTGAGTTATATTTCTACTGACTGACTTTTACCAGTAAGCTTGTATCTCCAGGTCTCAACATTGCATACAAAGAAGAAATAGGAGGGACATTAGCCACACAATGACAAAAAACAAATAAATAAAATGCCACAGAAAAGCCTGGAATTTTTGGTGGCAACACTCTGATGGGCTGTCAGAAACTGGAGTTAGTTTTGAGGCCTTCACGTAACACCGTGGTATAGCCTTAACCAGAAATCTTCAATTAACTTAGATATCCTTTCAGTCCTATGTGACAGCTGGATCCTCTCTGAAAGAAAACAGTTGGAACAGAGGCAACATTTTCAACAGCGGAGGGTGAAAGGAGACTGCCAATGTGTCTCCCAGCATCCCTTTCTCCTAAGCTTTGTAAGAATGGCAGGCAATCCATCGGATTTTACCTGGCACTGGCCCAGAGCTTTGTTTGCTCTTCAGAAATTAAAAAAAAAGAAAAAAACAAATAACAAAAACAAACAAACAAAAACTGAGAACAAGCTGCAGATATGAAAGCAAATAGAGGACAAGCTGAAGATATGAATGTAAATAGTTTGGAATGGCACCCCTACTCCCTTTTTTTTTCTAATGGATTCTCTGTCACTTAAACTGGAGTCCAGTTGCATGATCTTGGCTAACTGCAAGCTCCATTTCCCGGGTTTATGCCATTCTCCTGCCTTAGCCTACCAAGCAGCTGTCACTAAAGCTGCCCACCACCACACCCTGCTAATATTTTGTATTTTTGGTAGACTTCATGAGGGCTTCACCATGTTAGCCAGGATGATCTCCATCTTGATCTCCTCCTGATCTTCCCACATTGGCCACCCAAAGTGCTGCGATAACAGTCATGAGCCACCATGCCCAGCCCCTACTGACCTTTTTAATTAAGGCCTTTCCAAGTCCATGAACCAAAAACAAACTTTGCTGTCCCCCAGTGAACCACAATGTATCAGTCTCTCATTTTTAGGTGACACACAGATCTTTTTAATCTCAAGAAAATTAAAAATTAGGAATGCAAAAGGTGAGATGATAGTAAATGTTTAACATGTTAACTTCTGGTGGAGTAGAGTCAGTTGCCCACTTTGAGAAAGAGTCTGATATTTTTATGGACTCAGAAGGAAGAAAAGGTACTAACTAGTTTTGAAGAAAGCACTTCTCATCTTTTCTGGGTCCTTGTGCCTGGAACTATTAATGGCGGATGTAATGACTCAGCTTGGCTCAGGAACTTGGCCCTGAGCCACACAAGAGCTAAAGGGAAAGCATGGCCCAGGACCTTGGCCTGGGACCAGAGTCTTAAATGATAATTTACAGAAATTTGGCTCGGAGTCTGAAGTATGTTTAGTAATATAAGGTACCCTTTGTAACACATTGGAGTCCAATATGTACAAGTTCTAAAAAAGAGAGAGACTATTTCCTGGAAGCACTCTGGTTACACAAAAGACACAACATTTTAATGCGGGGTCTTGTTTGTTTTTTTTTTTTTTTAATCTGAGTAGCTGTGGGCATGTCTTAAGCACACACACACAAAAAGTTGGGCTTTTTTTAAAAAAAAATTATTTGCTTGGGCCACAGGATTGTGCAGGATTCTTAAATTTGTGTCTGCAGCCTGATATTTCAGGCTGTTTCTCTGCTTGCAGAAATTTTACCAATAATCCACCACAACTATGTAGCTTTTCTTTGTCAATACTATTGAAGACCTAGATAGTTTCTGAGAGTCAAAGGCACATTGTTTGAAGTTTCCTATGTGCAAGGCTTTTTGCCCTGTGAAACCACCCACATCTTTGTAAATACTGTAAAATTGTTCCTGCTTTCTTAGCAGTCATATCAGAAAAGCCCACAAGAAACAACTCCCAAACGTCAGAGAAACATTCTCCCTGGAAACACTCAAAACCACATTTGTTACCACAGGTTTTCTCATCTTCTTGATGCAGAGAATCTTTTAGTCACATCATCATCAGCTTTTCCAGTTTTTACATCCAACCCTCCACGTTCCTTACTACCCCTATAGGAAATGCCCAATGAATGAGGTGCCAGTAAAGTGCAAGTTTCTTTTTCATTACAGTACCTTAAACAAATAAAGTAAGACCTGGGGAAGTTTTCTGATACATCAATAAATATATAGAGCCTTTCTAATATCTAGCCCTTTTTTTGGTCTTAAATGGGAAGATGTTACCTTATTGCTGAGCCAAAATCTTACTGCTTCTGACAAATAGCCCTACAGTCAACAGAAAGATGCTGGGCCAAGATGCATTTCTTCTATAGCATGTCATAGTAAATAAAAAGCAGTCAAAGAGAGAAAGAGTGAAGAAAAGACAAGATGCTAATTTCCAGTAGAAAGAGAGACAGAGCCCTTTGAAAACCCTAATTTAAGTCATAGTGATCCCATAGATAAGAAAAAAAAAAAAGAAAAAAGGAAAAAGAAAGCAGGACATTGGCCCTTTAGATACCCCAGCTCTAAACCTTTCCCATGCCAGGGCTAGGATGACGTCCTTGGGTCTTTGCATTCTCTGGCATTTCTTCTTTTGTGGATGCCACTGCATTCTTCAGTGCCTGCAGAAGAGAAAGCTTGTGGTATGCCTGATTCACCTAAAGGTTTTCAGGGAGCTGTCACCTGTACCAGCACCTGACCTGCTTACCTCATCACAGATAACAGGCAAAGCTGTGTGCAGTGGCTGGACTGAACCAACACTCACTCATGTATCTGCCTCCAGTCTGTGCCTGGTGCATCCATAGCAAAATGAAACCTAAGCCCATAGTTTGAGCTGAGTGCAGCCTGTAAGATGGGTTTGTAAAATTAGAAAAGCAGGCTCAAGGGAACCTTGCACAAAGGTGCCATCATCCAGAGAGGTTCTTGGCTGGTGAAGTGACACACTAGAGATCTTGTGACAAAGATGACATTCATCACCAGTGGCCAGTGGATTATTCAATTATGCCTATGTAATGGAGCCTCGATAAAAACCAACAAGACAGGATTCATAGAGCTTTTGCATAACTGAGCACATACAGTGTTCTAGAAAATTGTGTGCTCATAAAAAGAGACACTGATAATTGTAAAGGTCATACAGAGTGTAGGGGTGTTTGTTTTGAAAGAAGTTTCTGCCTTTAATAATGTGTCCAGAATTTTAACTTATTAACTAGAACATACACTAAAGTAACCTAAATCTGCACATTCCACACATTAGAACCTGGATATTTCCACCAAAATGATTCCATAATTCACTAATGTGGTGTAACAAGTTTTACTTTAGAGCGATAAAGTTTTCTTTTGTTAACTGGGTAAGAACTAGACATTTATAAAGGAAAAGAAAATCAAGCGATATCTCACCACCAATTCTAGTCATGTGTTCAGTTTAGGAGAATGATCGTCAGTGGATTTTGTGCCATAAGTATTTATGCTAAAAGATAAGTCTCTTATAATTGTGTGTCTCTGAAGTGTTTGTGCCACTATAAAGTCAAGGGCACCATCTCTGATCGTTCTGTGTCTTTCTGGGAGGGAAGCTAAGGCTGCTTTATATCCCAATAGAGGTATTCTAGGATATAAAAGTAAGAAAAAATCAACATTATTACAGGATTCTCTGTCATAAACATCTAATAAAACACAACTCTGGTCTTATATATAGTAGTAGCCATAGATACATATTAGAGCTTGCAAGAAGAGTCTAGTACCCAACAGTCTGTTTTTATATTTGGGCTTAGGTGTGCCTAAAATAATCACATTTGGGCAAAGAGGCTGTTTTGTTACTCCTTGTAAAGCTACAGTGCTTAAAAATGATGTGATAATTTAAATACATAGCTTGGACATTTGCAGTTCTGTTTCCAAGCCTTAGCTATGGGTGAAATTGTTTTGGGCTATGAAGATGGATTAGGGCATCTTGCAACTCATGATGCATTTGTTGCCCCTTAGTTCTTGTGTCCTGAGCAGACAGACTGACAATTAAAACTCATCAATTTTATTTTCAACATACTTTAACATGGATTCTATCCCTTGGGCTGAGCTCCAGATCTTCCTCAGCACCTCACACTCTCTCTCATTGGCCTGTTCCAACTCCAACTTAATATTACAGCGAACGAGGGCCTTACATTCTTCCAGTACAATTGCATTGTATGAGGCAAGCTCCTTAATTTGAATCATAACCTCTTGGGTGAAAGTTCCAGTCAAAAATACCTGAGAGACCAGGCCTTTGGCGCATGCCTCCCGTGCTGTCAGCTTTCGCCCAGCAATTAACATTTCATTGGCAGATGCTTTACCCATCATTTTGGGGAATGTAATAGAAGAACAGCCATCTGGACTCTGTCCAAAGGTCGTATAAGGGGTTTGGAACCAAGCCTTTTCATTAGCCCACACGAGATCACAAAGAGGCAGGATGGATGCACCTAGTCCAATGGCAGGGCCATTGACTGATACAACAATAGGCTTTTTAAATTGAATAAAAGTATTCACAAAGTTCTTGATGGTGTCCACCATTTCAAGGCTTGCTGTGTTTCTGTCATTCCTTAAGTGCCTCACAAAGTACCCAAAATCAAGACCGCAGCAAAAGACACTTCCAGCTGCACTGAACAGCACGAGCTTGCTGTCATCTGCAGCAGCGCTATTCAGAGCATTAACCATTTCTTTAATTACTTCTGTATTCAGTGCATTTTTTTCTGTCGATCTAGTTGATAGCACTATCTGGGTGAATCCATCCTCTTTCTTCACTACAATGTCTCTGTATGTGATGGCACTTTCTGTTAGCCTTATGGTGAAGTGCATCTTCTTGATAAAAGGCTGGCCTCTGCTGTCATCAGTAATATTTCTTTGCCCACCTTTCACTCTTGGAACTGAGGTATGCATGTCTGTTGTCCCATTGGCTGCTAATGGGTCTATTAATACCACTATACCCTTTCGGGTAGCTGAACCTGTGGCCATAGAAGCAGTAACTGAGCCAGACATCTGCGACATTAGTGGGTGCATCTGAGTCTTGTTCTGTATTCCAGTCTGTTCTGCACCAGGATGTGACAAAGGGTCCCGGAGGAGTTTCCCTTCTGTCACCTTGAAGACCACCGTGTCCTGCTGATCTGCTGCAATAGGGTCCAGTTTCTCAAGTTTCTGAAAGCCACTCACAGTTTTCTTGTGGTCAAAGGGGCTGTCAGGTGCAAGGGTCTCAATAGTTGAATTTATTATCTCCATATTCTTTGTGTCGGAGAGAGTTGAAGCTGCCTTTCTCCTAACGTTCTTGCTGGCAGCAAATAACTTGCAGTTTTTGGACCTGTGGTGTTTATCAGTCACTGGAGTTTTAGGAGAGTTCTTAGAATAGTTTGCTTTTGTAGATCTGGAAGTTCTTCTTCTGGCATTGTTTGAAAAAATTCTACTGGTTGTAGTCCATGTCAGTTTTTTCTGTTTTTCAGTCTGTCGTCTATTAAAATCATGTACACATTTTTCACAGTTCATGAGGTGCTGCTCTGGTTCCCAAGTGTCATCCTGTTTGTCATAACCTTTCCACCGAACCAAATACTGTGTATTCCCATTTTTATCCTGTCTTTTGTCAACAATAGCTTCAACCTCAAACTCCTGGGAAGCCATGAGGAAAGACACGGGATTGGAACAGTTGCTGTGCCACCTTTGTTTCAGTTGCGTCTCCACATAGACACTTCTTTCTGCCTCCAGCTCTTCACCAGGTTCTGTGTATGGATGAACCTCTTCTATTTGGTCACCACTGGTGTAGTGAAAATTGTGCGAAATAGCAGCTATGCCATGTGCCTGAACCTCTCCACACTTACTGCCTGGTGGGACAGCTTGGGCTTTGTCTCGTGGTGCATGACAGCTTGCTCAGTAGCCTCAGGTGAGAGTAGCTAAATCCACAGCCCCAACCCTCTGGTGTAGTACAGAAAGCTTTCTTCCTGCCTGTTACTCTTTTGTGTTTCTTTGTTTAATTGTGGTTGCTATGACGATTATATGGAACATTCTAATGTTATAACATTTTTAAAGTTACACTAGCTTACCTTCAGTAACATACAAAGCCTTTACTCCTGTATAATGTACCTCCATTATTTCACTTACTGAGTTCTCAAAATTATACCTTTATTGATTTTATGTCAAAAACACAAATTAGTGGTAGTTTTTTTATTAAATATATTTGTGTTTTAAGTTGTGTGGAGAACAAATTGTGGAGGTGCACATTGTTAATTGTTCGTTTTGTTTTGTTTTGTTTTGTTCTGTTTTGTTTTGTTTTGAGATGGAGTCTCGCCCTGTCAACGAGGGTGGAGTGCAGTGGTGCGATCTTGGCTCACTACAAGCTCCGCCTCCCGGATTCACGCCATTCTCCTGTCTCAGCCTCCCGAGTAGCTGAGACTACAGGCACCTGCCACCTGGCCCGGCGAATTTTTTTTTGTATTTTTAGTAGAGACGGGGTTTCACCGTGTTAGCCAGGAGTGTCTCGATCTCCTGACCTCGTGATCCACGCACCTCAGCCTCCCAAAATGCTGGGATTACAGGCGTGAGCCACTGCGCCCGGCCAAATTTTTTATCTTACATATTTGTTCATGTATTTATCTTTACCTTAATCTTTGCTTGTTCATACTGCTTTTGAGTGTCTGTCCATTCTACCCTGAAGTACTCCATAAGACATTTCTTAAAGGGTAGTCTACTTGTAAAAGGTGCCAGTTTGTATATGGGAATGTCATAATTTGTCCCTCACCTTTGATGGACAGTTTGGTGGATCATAATGTTTAGGCTTGACAGTTTTTTCTGACATCACTTGCAATATATTAGGCTACTGCTTTCCATCGTTTTAGTTTTCAGATAAGAAATCTACTGCTTTTCAGTGGTTATTCAGATAAGCGATCCACTGGTTATTTTTAGGGTCCCTTTTACATGACTAGCTACTTCCCCTGCTTCCCTTGAAAATCCTCAAGATTCTCTTTGTATTTATTTTAGACAGTTTAATTATCAGGTAAGTTTGAGTTTGTTTCTTTGAGTTTTTGTTACTTGGAGTCTGTTGAGCTCCTTGGGTGCTTACTTATTGTCTTAAATTGTTGCATTCTTTATGACTATGTTGTTAAATAGTATCCATGATTTTTTGTCTCTTCCTTGGAACTTCCAAAATGCGTATGTATGGCTGCTTGATGGTGTCCCTCAGGTTTCTAGGCTGTATAAATCTGCCTTGCCCCTTTTCAGACTCCATTGGTGACCACTATATGGTTGACTGACCCCAAGGGTGTGTATCACAGTGTGGGGACAGTGTGTCAGTTGGTCTCGCAAGGCTGATGCGTCCCAGAGCTCAATTCCCAGACTTCAATCATTGCAGTCTCATTAGTGCACTACGATCTAGAAATCTCTAATTGTGAGGTATCACACAGAGTTCTTTGTCTCATGGCCAAGAAAATTCAGGAGGATGGATGCAAAAAGGTTGAATCAAAACTTTTATAAGTGAAAGTAAAAAACTCTTCACAGTGAGGGGTGAAATGTGAGTGGTTTACCTACTATGAGGCTGTGCTTTACGGTTTCTAAGGGCAGAGAAGTAAAGAAATGTGCTTAGTGTTCTTGGAGTAGGCGTTATTTGGCTTGGCCCTGAAACTTGGCCTTGGATTCATCTGGAGCTGAAGTGATGATTTGTAGAAGCTACAAGGCTCAGCCTTGGAACTTGGCCCTGGACCAAGAAGGAGCTGAAGTGACAGCTTGGCCTGAGACCTTGGCCTGGGATCAATCAAGGGATGAAGTAATGTCTCATGGCCACAATAATTAAGGAGGCTGGATGATGCAAAGTTCAAGTAGGAACTAAAGTAACACAACAGCCATCTGGACTCTGTCCAGATGTCATATAAGGGGTTTGAAACCAAGGCTTTTCATTAGCTCAGAAGAAATCACAAAGAGGCAGTGTGGATGCACCTATTCCAAAGGATGGGCCACTGACTGATACAAAAACAGGCTTTTAAAATTGATTGAAAGTATTCACAAAGTTCTTGATGGTGTTCACCATCTCAAGGCTTGTTCTGTTTCTGTCCTTCCTTAAATACTTCAGAAAGTACCCCAAATCGAGACCACAGCAAAAGACACTTCCAGCTGCACTGAACAGCACAAGCTTGCTGCCACCCACAGCAGCCCTATTCAGAGCATTAACCATTGCTTTAATTACTTCTATATTCAGTACATTTTTTATGTTGATCTAGTTTATAGGCACATCTGGGTGAATCTGTCCTCTTTCTTCACTGCAATATCTCTGTATGTGCTGGCACTTTCTGCTAGGCCTATGATGAGGTACATCTTCTGGATAAAAAGCTGGTCTCTGCCACCGTCAGTAACATTTCTTTGCCCAACTTTCACTCTTGCAACTAATGTATGCACATCTGTTTTTCCATTGGCTGCCGATTGGCCCATTAATACCACTATACCTTTTTTGGTAGCTGAGTCTGCAGCCATGGAAGCCGTAACTGAGCCAGACCTCTGAGAAAATAGTGGTTGAATCTGGGTCTTGCTCTCTATTCCACAATGTCCTGCCCTGGGATCTGATAAAGCCCTGATGATCTTCCCTTCCTCCTCCTTGAAGACCACTGTATCCTGCTGATCTGCTGCAATAGGGTCCAGATTCTAGAGTTCCTGAATGCCACTCACTGTGTTCTTGTTGTTAAAAGGGTTGTAAGGGGCAAGTGTCTTTCTTGATAGTTGAACACAGTAGCTCCATATTCTTTGGGTCGGACAGAGGTGACCCTGGATTACTGCTAACATTCTGGCTGGCAGAACATAACTGGCTGCTTTTGAATTTGTGGTGTTGGCCAGACACTAGCGTTTTAGGAGTATTCTTAGAAAAGTTGGGCTTGGTAGATGTAGAAGTTCATCTTCTGGTATTGTTTGAAAAAGTTCTAGTTGTTCTGGTCCATGCCACTTTTTTACTTTTTCTGTTTTTCAGTCTGTCATCTGTTAAAGTAATATATATATTTTTGACCGGTGCTGCTCTGGTTCCCAAGTGTCATACCGTTTCTTCTTAACCTTTGCAACACCAAAAATTTTTGTTGTTGTTGTTGTTGTTTTGTTTTGTTTTTTTTTTTAGACAAAGTCTTGAGCTATCACCCAGGCAGGAGTACAGTGGCACAATTGCACAATCTCGGCTCACTGCAACCTCCACCTCCTGGGTTCATGCGATTCTCCTGCCTCAGCCTCCCGGGTAGCTGAGATTACAGGGGCCTGCCACCACGCCTGGCTAACTTTATGATTTTTAGTAGAAAGAGGTTTTCACTGTATTAGCCAGAATGGTCTCCATCTCCTGAACTCGTAATCTGCCCGCCTCAGCCTTGCAAAGTGCTGGGATTACAGGCATGAGCCACTGTGCCTGGCCTCTGTCTTTCCATTTTTGTCTCATCTTTTGTCAACAATAGTTTCAACCTCAAACTCCTGGAAAGCCAGGAAGAAAGACACAGGATTGGAGCCATTGCTGTGCCAAATTTTTTCCATTTGCGTCTCCACATAGCCACTTCTTTCTGCCTCCAGTTCTTTACCAGGTTCTGCGTATGGATGAGCCTATTCTATTTCATCACCACTGACGTAGTGAAAATTGTTTGAAATAGCAGCTATGCTATGGGCTTTAGGCTCTCCACAATTATGCCCTGGTGGGACAGCTTGGGCTTTGTCTCATGGTGCATGATAGCTGGCTTAGTAGCCTCAAGTGAGAGTAGCTAAATCCACATCTCTTACTCTCTGGTGTAGTACAGAAAGCTTTCTACCTGTCTGTTACTCTTTTTCTTTTTTAATTGTCATTGATACTGTGATTACATTGAATATTCTAAAGGTATTCCACTTTTAAAGTTATACTAGCTGACTTTCAATAACACACAAATCCCTTAACCCTGTATAACTGCACCCCCATGATTTCCTTATTGAGTTCTCAAAATCATACCTTTATGCACTGTATGTCAAAAACGCAAGTTAGTGATAGTATTTTTATTAAATATATTTGTGTTTTAAATTGCATGGGAAACACATTGTGGAGGTGTACACTGATATTCTTTATGTTTTATAATAGCTTATATATTTATCTTTACCTTAATATATATCCATTCATACTGCTCCTTATTATCTGTTCATTTTACCGTGAAGTATCCCATAAGGCATTTTTTAAAAAGATAGTCTACTGGTAAAATGTCCCAGCTTTTATCTGGAAATGTCATAATTTCTCCCTCACTTATAAGGGACAATGTTTTGAACATAAGATATCTGTTCAAAAGTTTTTTCTCACATCATTTGGAATATGTTAATCTATTGCTTTCTGTCCTCTGAGTTTTCAGATAAGATATCTGCTGATTATTTTTGAGGGTTACTAGCCAGTAACATAACTAGCCACTTCTTTTGTTGCTTTCAGGATTTTCTCTGTCTTTCTTTTGAAGAGTTTAATTATCATATAATTTGAGTTTGTTTATTTGAGTTTCTCTTACTTGGAGTTTGTTGCCTTTGACATTCTTTAACATTATTGTTTCTAAATAGTCTTCCTGATTCTTTTTCTCATCCTTTGAACTTCCAGTATGCGTAATATGGCTGCTTGATAGTGTTCCATGGCATTTTAGGCTTTATTCCCATTGCTTTATACTTTTTCTATCATGTCCTAACTTAATTATGTCAACACCCTTTCTTTGGTTTGCTGATAGTTTGTTCTTCCCCCAGCTCAAGTCTGCTTTTAAATATCTGTAGTGAATATTTTTTTCTTTTTATCCCTAGATTTTTTTAGGTTTCAAAATAATTTTACTTTTTTATTAATTTTTGTTCATATTTTTTTTGTAGTTCTTTTGTTTCTTCTATTAGCTTATTCTGAAACTTAATTTTAAATATTATGTTTCTGTAAGACCACCATTTGGGCTGTCTAAAAAAAGTTTCAGACCATAATTTTTTTTTACTTCTTAAAATGAGCCATACTTCTCTGCTTCGCTGTGTGGTTTATCTCTAGACTTTTTTAGGTTTTAAAATAATTTTACTCTTTTGATTAATAATTTTTGTCCGTAAGTGTTTGTGCTTCTTTTGTTCATTCTATTAGCTTATTATGTAGCTAATTTTAAATATTATATTTTAGTAAGGCTGCCATTTGGGCTGTCAAAAAAAGCTTATTTTTTCATAATTATTTTGTAGTTGTTATTAAAATGAGCCATACTTGTCTATTTCACTCTGTGGTTTGTGATTTTGCTGGTGCTGAAAAAGAGCATTTAAATTTTAAAGTGCTGTGACTTTGAAAATAAGATTTTCTACTTCTATGGTTTGGTAGAGTTTTGTTTACTCATTATATAGGCTCTTTCTCTCCTGTAAATCAGCTGTACTGAGCTTCGTCTTGGGTCTCTTTTGAGGCACATTGTTTTGAGGCACATATCGTTAAAACCACAATTCATTACATATATATGTGTGTGTGTGTGTGTGTGTGTGTGTGTGTGTGTATGATTAATTTTGAATGTTTTAGTCTACAAATGTCTTAAGAGAAAAAGAAGAACAATCAGGAAAAAATATTTTCACTTTTTAAATCTATTGAAAGTTGGTTGCACAGAGGGACAAAGAGCCTGCATAATATTTGGGGAATATAATAATGACTATTCACCTCTGTCGGGACCTCCATAAGCAGAAGCAGCAATCGGCAAATGAGTCCTCCTGAGATTTGGAGGACAGGGTCCTTTTTGTTTGCCATGGCTCTTGTAAGCTGCTCCAGA
This sequence comes from Homo sapiens, assembly GCF_000001405.40. NCBI lineage: Eukaryota > Metazoa > Chordata > Mammalia > Primates > Hominidae > Homo > Homo sapiens. The sequence goes on from NC_000024.10 coordinate 17,885,985, forward strand.
AATATTTGCAAGGCAGCATCCCACAGTGGTGGTTATTAAAGAATAAGTAGCTGCTGTTGATCTGTGCTACAAAATTGATAAAATTTAATTTTTATTTACTTTACAAATCTTTTTTTGGAAGCTGTAAACCTTCAGGTAGACTCGGAATTCTATAGTAATTGCATCATAGTAATCCTGCCACTGCACCCATTGTATAGTTGAAGGGACAGATATACAGTGATCCCTTGTACATTGCAGAACTTTCCCAGAATCTAGTATTATTTTACTTCGACCTATTTGTCTTTGCACCTGAAGTATGCCTTGCATAGAAGTCACAAAAGTGACTCCTTCGTTTAAGGGTACACTTGCAACAATGTGTGCCTTTTTAAGCAAGAGCTCACATTTACAGTTCTTACAAGTAAAATATTACATACTCTGACATGGACTTACATGTTTTCCATATGCGCTTTCTCTTGCTTGATCCTCAATTTCTTTTTTGCTCATTTAAAAAATCTGGATAATTTTTAAAAACTGCTGTTGTATTTTTCATATTACAATTTGATGTACTTGGGATTTCAATTATTATTGAAAACTTAAAATAGCCTACTATGAAGAATACTAACTTGTGTGAATAATTTAATGTTTAAGGTCAGCAGTATAAAAATATGCTGCTCTTGTAGTTTTCCATCCTTCTCAATTTATATTACTTTCTCTGATTTTATCTGTGCACACAGTATTTTTTGTACTCAGCAACTTAAATGTTTGTGACCAATTCCTGGCATTTCCGACCGAGAGTGACTTCTGAGTTAGGCAAAGGAGAAATAAATGTTTATTTTATCAAATTTTCATATATCCTCTAGAAAGACTGGGAAAAAAAAACACAATAATTTAGCACATAAGGGTTTCTTTGCTTTTATGAGAAGCAGGAATCAGGTCCTCATTTTGACAATGGGGATTTCAATTCTGTAGGCTTCATCTGTGCCTAGGAGGTGATATGAAAATCCTTAAAGAAAAAAAAACTTCACCATTTTATAATTGTCTTTCTGGATTAAATGTTTACTTGGTTTATATAAACTATTGATTTTCAGGGTCCAGACTGTTTTTGATGGTTTGAAACTTTTTTTTTTTTTTTTGGAATGGTTTGAAACTGCCATCCCTGCCGTTTTACTTTTATTTTTATCTGCGAAGCACTGAGTGTTTTCTAATTTCAGAGTTTATTGTTATTTATGAGGTTTATGTTTTGTCTCTTGTTTAAAACACTTAAAGTGAATGTTACATTTCCAATTTGCAATCCCCGGTGTTAGGTTTTTGTTTTAGTGGTCATTTTATAAAGTTTTTGTTTTTTTATTAAGTGAAATTATCAATTTTGTATAAAATGTATGAGGTAAGATTCTCTGTTATAAAGTACATTTTGGTTTTTGTAAAACAAACATACAATAAGTGGCTTACAAAGTGACTTTCAAATAATTGTCTAAAGAAAATAATAAGAAAATAATGTAAGCATGCAGCAAGATCAATAAGTACAATGATTCCTGGTGGAAGGCTGTATAAATTGTTTTTAAAAAGCCAGCTCCCTGTGGCTGCAGCAGGCTGTAGAAGGGGGAAAATTATAGAGGATGAGCTCATAGAGGTAACAGACAGTCCATGTGATTTTCTAGGGTTTTTATAGGTCTTCAGATTTTACTTTAGACTTCACCCTAACCCTGGTTTGTGACTCAAAGTAGAATTGGTAAGGTTGTTACTAGCATCTATTGCTGAGAGGTTAGAAATGCTGCTAAATATCCTAAAATCTTGAGTCTCAGGCACCTTTGAGAAGTTAACAGTGTTGAAATATCTCTCGAGAAAATTATTTTTAAAAGCTCACATTTAGAACTCTTTGATGTTATATTTTGAAGATTTCTTAACTCCAAGTTTGGTTTCCGTATAGCAGAAGGATTTGAAAAAGTGTACATAAGTTCCATTGATTCAACTTAGGGTAAACATTAGTAAAGTAAGGTCAGTTCAGTTAATCAATGATTAGAAACTAAATGATATATTTCTTATTTCTCTGCTTTTCCTTCCAATTGCTTTTTCAATATTTTTGTAAAACATGAGTGTGAAAAAATAAAACCCTAGTCAGCCTCTGTTTTGGAGGTACCAAGGGAGAAATCTCAATGAATGGTATTTGGGATGGAGCTAATCTTTCATACAGTTGAAAGGCATAAATAATACACGTGCATACAGGTGCATTGGCACACTATATTATGGATACACATTGTGCGTTCAGAAAGCACAATGTGTATCCATAATACAGTCATGAATGATCCTAGTCATAATATAGTCATGAATGATCCTGGGATATTACAATAAGCAAGTCAAATGGAAACAAAGTTTGCAAGGATTATAGCTGGGGTTATAGGATTTTCAATTTTGCTAAAGTTGTTTAGTAGAACCAATATTCAAGTATCTCCTACTTTTAAAAAAATTATTTGATAGAAGTTTGCATAGTGGACAGCTTTGATCAGAATTATTAGTTCTTTGCCAACATAATAAAAGTATGCATTCACAAAAAATGCATATTAGACAATAAGAGAAAATAAAAATCAATGAATGAGGAAACTGATGTAATAGGAACAATTTCTGAAAATGTTAAGATAAATCCAAAAGGAGGTGAATTTCTACAGTGGAAAATCTTTCTCATTTCAATCAAAAATTTGTTTCAGAACATTAGCAAGTAGCAGCAACATGGTAATTATCCAGATTTACACCGTTTCCTTAGTTCCTACTTAGCGCCTGAGATGTAGGCTCTGTTGCTGATGCTAGGGCCTTCTCCATGAGGCAGAACTCCTACCCATATAGGGCTTGCTTTTTCTCCAAGGTTAATAAAATGCCATTGAACACCTAAAAGGAAACGGCAAGTTTATTTTTTTTTTTGCTTAATATACTAAGGGAGAGCTCTGCTGTTTAGACACATTCTTGGAACAATGCAGAGATTGTGAAATTGAGGCATTAACAGACATTAAGTTGTGCACAGAAGCTGGCATTATTTGTAGAAACAAAGTTGTTCAGCTAAAATTTGTAGTGAAAGAGGAATATTTATTGAAATCTGTGACTGACCTGATTTTTCAAAGTGCTGGCACTGTTTTATTATTATTAGTGTTACTATCACTATTATTACCTGTAACAGCTTTTTCACTAAGGAAGTTAAGCTTTATAGATCACTTAAATTTAAACCTGAATTTGATGGGTACATTTTACAATGATTGCAGAACCACTATTTACTAAATATTTCTGAAAGTCTAAATTGTCATTCTCTAAGAAGACATAATACACCTTTGTTTTTAAAGAAATGAAGAGTATTTACTAATTGGTAACCGTTTGTTAAATAATTACTCTGATATATGTTCAAGAGCCTTGTAAGTAAGTAAATAGGAAAATAAGTACTTTAAAGGTTTTTTTTTTTTTTTTTTTTTTTAACATAGATGCATATGGACCACTGAAGCACATACGCACATGTGTATTGTGTATATATGTCAGGATTTTTTTTATGGAATTAGTTTATGGCATCACCATCAAACAAGCTGACTTATTAAAAGAAGGTTTATAGTTTTAATATTTATTCAAATAATGTTTTTTGATTGTATCCTAGGGATAGTGATCAGCTCAAAACCTGAAGGAAGAAGATGGGTGACTTCTCCATTTCCAACTGAGGTACCAGGTTCATCTCACTGGGAGTGCTGGGAAGTGGGGCAGGACAGTGGGTGCAGTGCATCAATTGTGACCTGAAGCAAGGTGAGGCATCACCTCACCCGGGAAGCAAAAGGGGTCAGGGAATTCCTTTTCCTAGTCAAAGAAAGGGGCACCTGGAAAATCAGGTCACTCTCACCCTAGTACTGTGCTTTTCTAATGGTCTTAGCAAATGGCACACCAGAAGAAGATATCCCATGCCTGCATCAGAGGGCCCTACACTGTTGGAACCTCGCTCATTGCTAGCACAGCAATCTGAGATCAAACTGCAAGGTGGCAGCATGGCTGGGGGAGGGGCGTCCACCATTGCCAAGGCTTGAGTAGGTAAATGAAGCAGCTGGGAAGTTCGAACCCAGTGGAGCCCACCACAGCTCAAGGAGGCCTGCCAGCTTCTGTAGACTCCACCTGTGGGGGCAGGGCACAGCCAAACAAAAGGCAGCAGAAACCTCTGCAGACTTAAATGTCCCTGTCTGACAGCTTTGAAGAGTGTAGTGGTTCTCCCAGCACGCAGATGGATATCTGAGAACAGACAGACTGCCTCCTCAAGTGGGTCCCTGGCCCCCTGGTAGCCTAACTGGGAGGCACCCATCAGTAGGGGCAGACTGACACCTCACATGGCCAGGTACTCCCCTGAGACAAAAATTCCAGAGGAATGATCAGGCAGCACCAGTTGCTGTTCACCAATATCCGCTGTTCTGCAGCCTCCGCTGCTGATACCCATGAAAACAGGGTCTGCAGTGGACCTCAGCAAACTCAACAGACCTGCAGCTGAGGGTCTTGACTGTTAGAAGGAAAACTAACAAACAGAAAGGACATGGACACCAAAACCCCATCTGTACGTCACCATCACCAAAGACCAAAGATAGATAAAACCAGAAAGATGGGGAAATAATAGAGCAGAAAAACTGGATGCTCTAAAAATCAGAGCACCTCTCCCCCTCCAAAGGAACACAGCTCCTCACCAGCAATGGAACAAAGATGGACGGAGAATGACTTTGACTATTTGAGAGAAAAAGGCTTCAGATGATCAAACTACTCTGAGCTAAAGGAGGAAGATCGAACCCATGGCAAAGAAGTTGAAAACCTTGAAAAAAAATAGACGAATGGCTAACTAGAATAACCAATGCAGAGAAGTCCTTAAAGGATGTGATGGAGCTGAAAACCAAGGTACAAGAAAAACGTGATGAATGCACAAGCCTCAGTAGCTGATTTGATCAACTGGAAGAAAGGGTATCAGTGATGGAAGATCGAATGAATGAAGTGAAGTGAGAAGAGAAGTTCACAGAAAAAAGAATAAAAAGAAATGAACAAAGGTTCCAAGAAATATGGGACTATGTGAAAAGACCAAATCTACGTCTGATTGGTGTACCTGAAAGTGATGGGGAGAATGGAACCAAGTTGGAAAGCACTGCAGGATATTATCCACGAGAAGTTCCCCAATCTAGCAAGGCAGGCCAACATTCAGATTCAGGAAATGCAGAGAACACCACAAAGACACTCGTCGAGAAGAGCAGCTCCAAGACACATAATTGTCAGATTCACCAAAGTTGAAATGAAGGAAAAAATATTAAGGGCAGCCAGAGAAAAATGTCGGCTTATCCACGAAGGGAAGCCCATCAGACTAACAGCTGATCTCTTGGCAGAAATTCTACAAGCCAGAAGAGAGTGGGGGCCAATAGTCAACATTCTTATAGAAAAGAATTCTCTACCCAGAATTTCATATCCAGCCAAACTAAGCTTCATAAGTGAAGGAGAAATAAAATCCTTTACAGAAAAGCAAATGCTGGGAGATTTTGTCATCACCAGGCCTGCCCTACAAGAGCTCCTGAAGGAAGTGCTAAACATGGAAAGGAACAACCAGTAGCAACCACTGCAATAACATGCCAAATTGTGAAGACCACCGAGGCTAGGGAGAAACTGCATCAACTAGTGAGTAAAATAACCAGCTAATATCTTAATGACAAAACCAAATTCACACATAACAATATTAGCCTTAAATGTAAATGGGCTAAATGCTCCAATGAAAAGACACAGACTGGCAAATTGGATAGAGAGTCAAGACCCATCAGTGTGCTCTATTCAGGAAACCCATCTCACGTACAGAGACACACATAGGCTCAAAATAAAGGGATGGAGGAAGATCTACCAAGCAAATGGAAAACAAAAATAGACACGGGTTGCAAGCCTAGACTCTGGTAAAACAGACTTTTAACCAACAAAGATCAAAAGAGACAAAGAAGGCCATTACATAATGGTAAAGGGATCAATTCAACAAGAAGAGCTAACTATCCTAAATATATATGCACCCAGTACACGAGCACCCAGATTTATAAAGCAAGTCCTTAGAGACATACAAAGAGACTTAGACTCCCACACAATAATAGTGGGAGAATTTAACACCCTACCATCAAAATTAGACAGACAAAGTTAACAGGGATATCCAAGATTGAACTCAGCTCTGCACCAAGCTGACGTAATAGACATATAGAGAACTCTCCACCCCAAATCAACAGAATATACATTCTTTACAGCACCACACCACACCTATTCCAAAACTGACCACACAGTTGGAAGTAAAGGACTCCTCAGCAAATGTAAAGGAACAGAAATTACAAAAAACTCTCTCAGACCACAGTGCAATCAAACTAAAACTCAGGATTAGAAAATTCACTCAAAACCGCTCAACTACATGGAAACTGAACCATCTCTTCCTGAATGACTACTGTGTACATAACGAAAGGAAGCCAGAAATAAAGATGTTCTTTGAAACCAACAAACAGCATCTCAAGGATGTGTCTTTGAGAACAAAGACGCAACACACCAGAATCTCTGGGATGCATTCAAAGCAGTGTGTAGAGGGAAATTTATAGCACTAAATGCCCACAAGAGAAAGCAGGAAAGATCTAAAATTGACACCCTAACGTCACAATTAAAAGAACTAGAGAAGCAAGAGCAAACACATTCAAAAGCTAGCAGAAGGCAAGAAATAACTAAGATCAGAGCAGAACTGAAGGCGATAGAGACACAAAAAACCCATCCAAAAATCAATGAATCCGGGAGCTGGTTTTTTGAAAACTTCACCAAAATTCATAGACCATTAGCAAGACAAATACAGAAGAAAAGAGAGAAGAATCAAATAGACACAATAAAAAATGATAAAGGGGATATCACCACAGATCCCACAGAAATACAGACTACCATCAGTGAATACCGTAAACACCTCTACACAAATAAACTTGAAAATCTAGAAGAAATGGATAAATTCCTCAACACATACAACCTCCCAAGTCTAAACCAGGAAAAACTTGAATCTCTTAATAGACCAATAACAGGCTCTGAGATTGAGAAAATAATTAATAGCTTTCCAATCAAAAAAAGTCCAGAACCAGATGGATTCACAGACGAATTCTACCAGACCTCCAAGGAGGAGCTGGTACCATTCCTTCTGAAACTATTCCAATCAAGAGAAAAAGAAGGAATCCTCCCTAACTCATTTTATGAGGCCAGGATCATCCTGATACTGAAGGCTGGCAGAGACACAACAACAAAAAAAGGTAACTTTAGACCAATATCTCTGATGAAGATTGATGAAAAAATCCTCACTAAAATACTGGGAAACCGAATCCAGCAGCACATCGAACAGCTTATCCACCATGATCAAGTGGGCTTTATGCCTGGGATGCAAGGCTGGTTCAACATACGCAAATTGATAAATGTAATCCAGCATATAAACAGAAGCAACGACAAAAACCACATGATTATCTTAACAGATGAAGAAAAGTCCTTTGACAAAATTCAACATTCTTTCATGCTAAATAGTCTCAATAAATTAGGTCTTGATGGGATGTATCTCAAAATAATAAGAGCTATCTATGATAAACCCACAGCCACTGTTATACTGAATGGGCAGAAACTGGAAGCATTCCCTTTGAAAACTGGAGCAAGACAGGGATGCCCTCTCTCACCACTCCTATTCAACATAGAGTTGGAAGTTCTGACCAGGGCGATCAAGCAGGAGAAGTAAACAAAGTGTATTCAATTAGAAAAAGAGGAAGTCCAATTGCCCCTGTTTGCAGATGATAGGATTGTATATCTAGAAAACCCCATCGTCTCAGCCCAAAATCTCTTTAAGCTGATAGGCAACTTCAGCAAAGTCTCAGGATGCAAAATCAATGTGCAAAAGTCACAAGCATTCTTAAACACCAATAACAGACAAACAGAGGACCAAATCATGAGTGAACTCCCATTCACAATTGCTTCAAAGAGAATAAAATACCTAGGAATCCAACTTACAAGGGATGTGAAAGACATCTTCTAGGAGAACTGCAAACCACTGCTCAATGAAATAAAAGAGGATACAAGCAAATGGAAGAACATTCCATGCCCATGGGTAGGAAAAATCAATATCGTGAAAATGGCCACACTGCTTAAGGTAATTTATAGATTCAATGCCATCCCCATCAAGCTACCAATGACTTTCTTCACAGAATTGGGAAAATCTACTTTGAAGTTCATACGGAAGCAAAAGGAGCCCACATTGCCAAGACAATCCTAAGTCAAAAGAACAAAGCTGGAGGCATTACGCTACCAGACTTCAAATTATACTACAAGGCTACAGTAAGCAAAACAGCATGGAACTGGTACCAAAACAGAGATATAGACCAATGGAACAGAACAGAGCCCTCAGAAATAATGCCACATATCTACAACCATCTGATCTTTGATAAACCTGACAAAAACAAGAAATGGGGAAATTATTCCTTATTTAATAAATGGTGCTGGGAAAACTGGCTAGCCGTATGTAGAAAGCTGAAACTGGATCCCTTCCTTACACCTTATACAAAAATTAATTCAAGATGGATTAAAGGGTGGAGCCAAGATGGCCGAATAGGAACAGCTCTGGTCTACAGCTCCCCGTGTGAGTGACGCAGAAGACGGGTGATTCCTGCATTTCCACCTGAGGTACTGGGTTCATCTCACTAGAGAGTGCCAGGCAGTGGGTGCAGGACAGTGGGTGCCATGCACCGGGTGTGAGCTGAAGCAGAGCGAGGCATTGCCTCACTCGGGAAGTGCAAGTGGTCCGGGAGTTTCCTTTCCTAGTCAAAGAAAGGGGTGACAGATGGCACCTGGAAAATCCTGTCACTCCCACCCTAATACTGCACTTTTCCAATGGGCTTAAAAAACGGCACACCAGGAGATTATATCCCGCACATGGCATGGAGGGTCCTACGCCCATGGCACGGAGGGTCCTATGCCCATGGAGTCTCGCTGATTGCTAGCACAGCAGTCTGAGATCAAACTGCAAGGTGGCAGTGAGGCTGGAGGAGGGGCGCCTGCCATTGCCCAGGCTTGATTAAGCGAACAAAGCAGCTGGGATGCTCGAACTGGGCAGAGACCAGCGTAGCTCAAGGAGGCCTGCCTGCCTCTGCAGGCTCCACCTCCGGGGGCAGGACACAGACAAACAAAAAGACAGCAGTAACCTCTGCAGACTTAAATGTCCCAGTCTGACAGCTTTGAGGAGAGTAGTGGTTCTCCCAGCACACAGCTGGAGATCTGAGAACGGGCAGACTGCCTCCTCAAGTAGGTCCCTGACCCTCGAGCAGCCTAAGTGGAAGGCATCCCCCAGTAGGGGCAGACTGACACGTCACAAGGCCAGGTACCCCTCTGAGACAAAACTTCCAGAGGAACGATCAGGCAGCAGCATTTGTGGATCACCAATATCTGCTGTTCTACAGACACCAATATCTGCCGTTCTATAGCCACCGCTGTTCTGCAGCCACCACTGCTGATACCCAGGAAAACAGGGTCTGGAGTGGGCCTCTAGCAAATTCCAACAGAGCAGTAGCTGAGGGTTGTGTCTGTTAGAAGGAAAACTAACAAACAGAAAGGACATCCACACCAAAACCCCATCTGTACGTCACCATTATCAAAGACCAAAAGTAGAAAAAAAACCCACAAAGATGGGGAAAAAAAACAGAGCAGAAAAACTGGAAACTCTAAAAAGCAGAGTGCCTCTCCTCCTCCAAGGGAACACAGCTCCTCACCAGCAATGCAACGAAGCTGGATGGAGAATGACTTTGACCAGTTGAGAGAAGAAGGCTTCAGATGATCGAACTACTCTGAGCTACAGGAGGAAATTCAAACCAATGGCAAAGAAGTTAAAAACTTTGAAAAAAATTAGACGAATGGATATCTAGAATAACCAGTGCAGAGAAGTCCTTAAAGGAGCTGATGGAGCTGAAAGCCAAGGCACAAGGACTACGTGATGAATGCACAAGCCTCAGGAACCAATGCGATCAACTGGAAGAAAGAGTATCAGTGATGGAAGATGAAATGAATGAAATGAAGAGAGAAGGGAAGTTTAGAGAAAAAAGAATAACAAGAAATGAACAAAACCTCCAAGAAATATGGGAGTATGTGAAAAGACCAAATCTACTTCTGATTGGTGTACCTGAAAGTGACGGGGAGAATGGAACCAAGTTGGAAACTTGGTTTCCAACTGAGTGTTGGAATACTCTGCAGGATATCATCCAGGAGAATTTCCCCAATCTAGCAAGGCAGGCCAACATTCAGATTCAGGAAACACATAGAATGCCACAAAGATACCCCTCGTGAGGAGCAACTCCAAGACACATAATTGTCAGATTCACCAAAGTTGAAATGAAGGAAAAAATGTTAAGAGCAGCCAGAGAGAAAGGACGGGTTACCCACAAAGGGAAGCCCATCAGACTAAGAGCTGATCACTTGGCAGAAAGCCTACAAGCCAGAAGAGAGTGGGGGCCAATATTCAACATTCTTAAAGAAGAGAATTTTCTACCCAGAATTTCATATCCAGCCAAACTAAGCTTCATAAGTGAAGGAGAAATAAAATCCTTTACAGACAAGCAAATGCTGGGAGATTTTGTCACCACCAGGCCTGCCCTACAAGAGCTCCTGAAGGAAGCATTAAACATGGAAAGGAACAACCGGTACCAGGCACTGCAAAAACGTGCCAAAATGTAAAGACCATCAAGGCTAGGAAGAAACTGCATTGACTAATGAGCAAAATAACCAGCTAACATCATAATGACAGGACCGAATTCACACATAACAATATTAACTTTAAATGTAAGTGGGCTAAATGCCCCAATTAAAAGATACAGACTGGCAAATTGGAAAAAGAGTCAAGACCATCAGTGCTCTGTATTCTGGAAACCCGTCTCACATACAGAGGCACACATAGGCTCAAAATAAAGGGATGGAGGAAGATCTACCAAGCACATGGAAAACAAAAAAGAGGCAGGGGTTGCAATCCTAGTCTCTGCTAAAACAGACTTTCAACCAACAAAGATCAAAAGAGACAAAGAAGGCCATTATATAATGGTAAAGGGATCAATTCAAAAAGATGAGCTAACTATCCTAAATATATATGCACCCAATACAGGAGAACCCAGATTCATAAAGCAAGTCCTTAGTGACCTACAAAGAGACATAGACTCCCACACAATGATAATGGGAGATTTTAACACCCCACTGTCAACATTAGACAGATCAACGAGACAGGAATTTAACAAGGCTACGCAGGAATTGAACTCAGCTCTCCACCAAGCGGACCTAGTAGACAGCTACAAAACTCTCCACCCCAAATCAACAGAATATACATTTTTTTCAGCACCACAGCACACCTATTCCAAAACTGACCACATAGTTGGAAGTAAAGCACTCCTCCGCAAATGTAAAAGAACAGAAATCTCAACAAACTGTCTCTCAGACCACAGTGCAATCAAACTAGAACTCAGGATTAGAAAATTCACCCAAAGCCGCTCGACTACATGGAAACTGAACAACCTGCTCCTGAATGACTACTGTGTACATAACGAAATGAAGGCAGAAATAAAGATGTTCTTTGAAACCAACGAGAACAAAGACACAACATACCAGAATCTGAGGGACACATTCAAAGCAGTGGGTACAGGGAAACTTATAGCACTAAATGCCCACAAGAGAAAGCAGGAAAGATCCAAAATTGACACCCTAACATCACAATTAAAAGAACTAGAGAAGCAAGAGCAAACACACTCAGAAGCTAGCAGAAGGCAAGAAATAACTAAGATCAGAGCAGAACTGAAGGAAATAGAGACACAAAAAACACTTCAAAAAATTAACGAATCCAGGAGCTGTTTTTTTGAAAAGATCACCAAAATTGGTAGACTGCTAGGAAGATTAATAAAGAAGAAAAGAGAGAAGAACCAAACAGATGCAATAAAAAATGATAAAGGGGATATCACCACTGATCCCACAGAAATACAAACTCCCATCAGCGAATACCATAAACACCTCTACACAAATAAACTTGAAAATCTAGAAGAAATGGATAAATTCCTCGACACATACACCCTCCCAAGACTAAACAGGGAAGAAGTTGAATCTCTGAATAGACCAATAACAGGCTCTGATATTGTGGCAATAATCAAGAGCTTACCAACCAAAAAAAGTCCAGGACCAGATGGATTCACAGCCGAATTCTACCAGACCTACAAGGAGGAGCTGGTACCATTCTTTCTGAAACCATTCCAATCAATAGAAAAAGAGGGAATCTTCCCTAACTCATTTTATGAGGCCAGCATCATCCTGATACCAAAGCCTGGCAGAGACACAACCAAAAAAGAGAATTTTAGACCAATATCCTTGATGAACGTTGTTGCAAAAATCCTCAATAAATTACTGGCAAAGCGAATCTAGCAGCACATCAAAAAGCATAGCCGCCATGATCAAGTGGGCTTCATCCCTGGGATGCAAGCCTGGTTCAACATATGCAAATCGATAAATGTAATCCAGCATATAAACAGAACCAAAGACAAAAACCACATGATTCTCTCAATAGATGCAGAAAAGGCCTTTGACAAAATTCAACAATCCTTCATACAAAAAACTCTCAATAAATTAGGTATTGATGAGACGTATCTCAAATTAATAAGAGCTATCTAGGACAAACCCACAGCCAATATCATACTGAATGGGCAAAAACTGGAAACATTCCCTTTGAAAAGTGGCACAAGACAGGGATGCCCTCTCTCACCACTCCTATTCAACATAGTATTGGAAGTTCTGGCCAGGGCAATTAGGCAGGAGAAGGAAATAAAGGGTATTCAATTAGGAAAAGAGGAAGTCAAATTGTGCCTGTTTGTAGATGACATGATTGTATATCTAGAACACCTCATTGTCTCAGCCCAAAGTCTCCTTAAGCTGATAAGCAACTTCAGCAAAGTCTCAGGATACAAAATCAATGCACAAAAATCACTAGCATTCTTATACACCAATAACAGACAAACAGAGAGCCAAATCATGAGTGAACTCCCATTTACAATTGCTTCAAAGAGAATAAAATACCCAGGAATCCAACTTACAAGGGATGTGAAGGACCTTTTCAAGGAGAACTGCAAACCACTGCGCAATGAAATAAAAGAGGATACAAAGAAATGGAAGAACATTCCATGCTCATGGGTAGGAAGAATCAATATCGTGAAAAAGGCCATAATGCCCGAGGTAATTTATAGATTCAATGCCATCCCCATCAAGCTACCAATGACTTTCTTCACAGAATTGGAAAAAACTTTAAAGTTCATATGGAATCAAAAAGGAGCCTGCATCACCAAGTCAATCCTAAGCCAAAAGAGCAAAGCCAGAGGCATCATGCTACCTGACTTCAAACTCTATTACAGGGCTACAGCAACCAAAACAGCATGTTACTGGTACCAAAACAGAGATATAGATCAATGGAACAGAACCAAGCCCTCAGAAATAATCTTACATATCTACAACTATCTGACAAACCTGAGAAAAACAAGCAATGGGGAAAGGATTCCCTAATTAATAAATGGTGCTGGGAAAACAGGCTAGCCATATGTAGAAAGCTGAAACTGGCTCCCTTCCTTACACCTTATACAAAAATTAATTCAAGATGGATTAAAGACTTAAATGTTAGACCTAAAACCATAAAGACCCTAGAAGAAAACCTAGGCAATACCATTCAGGACATAGGCATGGGCAAGGACTTCATGTCTAAAACACCAAAAGCAATGCCAACAAAAGCCAAAATTGACAAATGGGATCTCTTTAAACTAAAGAGCTTCTGCACAGCAAAAGAAACTACCATCAGAGTGAAGAGGCAACCTACAGAATGGGAGAAAATTTTCACAACCTACTCATCTGACAAAGGGCTACTATCCAGAATCTACAATGAACACCAACAAATTTACAAGAAAAAAATAAACAACCCCATCAAAAAGTGGGCAAAGGACATGAACAGACACTTCTCAAAAGAAGACATTTATGCAGCCAAAAAATGCATGAAAAAATGCTCATCATCACTGGCCATCAGACAAATGCAAATCAAAACCACCATGAGATACCATCTCACACCAGTTAGAATGGCGATCATGAAAAAGTCAGGAAACAGCAGGTGCTGGAGAGGATGTGGAGAAATAGTAACACTTTTACACTGTTGGTGGGACTGTAAACTAGTTCAGCCATTGTGGAAGTCAGTGCGGTGATTCCTCAGGGATCTAGAGCTAGAAATACCATTTGACCCAGCCATCCCATTGCTGGGCATATTCCCAAAGGATTATAAATCATGCTGCTATGAAGACACATGCACACGTATGTTTATTGCGGCACTATTCACAATAACAAAGACTTGGAACCAAGCCAAATGCCCAACAATGATAGACTGGATTAAGAAAATGTGGCACGTATGTGCCATGGAATACTATGGAGCTATAAAAAATTATGAGTTCATATCTTTTGTAGGGACACGGATGAAGCTGTAAACCATCATTCTCAGCAAACTATCGCAAGGACAAAAAACCGAACACCGCATGTTCTCACTCATAGCTGGGAGTTGAACAATGAGAACACATGGACACAGGATGGGGAACATCGCACACCAGAGCCTGTTTTGGGGTGGGGGGCGTGGGGAGGGATAGCATTTGGAGATATACCTAATGTTAAATGACGAGTTAATGGGTGCAACACACCAACATGGCCCATGTATACATATGTAACTAGCCTGCACATTGTGCACATGTACCCTAAAACTTAAAGTATAATAAAAAAAGAAAGCTTTTTGAAAATACTTACAAACTCTTTTATTTTCCATCCCTTTATATATTTTTATATATGCATGTATATGTGTGAGTGTGTGTGTGTGCCTGTGTATATGTATATATAAATATTTAGGGGAGGTTATAAGTACTTACGTACATGATCACAATAGGCTGCCTGCAAGCTGAGGAACAAGGAGAGCAAGTCTGAGTCCCAAACCTGGAAGAACTTGGAGTCCACTGTCTGAGAGAAAAAGTATCCAGTATAGAAGAAAGATGTATGCTTTGGAAGCTAGTCCCATCTCGCTTTTTGACATGTTTCTGTCTGCTTGATGTTCGCTAGAAGCTCATGAGATTGTGCCCATCAGATTAATGTAGATCTTCCCATTGACTCAAATGTTAATTTTTGGGGGGGGGGAACCACCCAAGAAACTCATCCACGATTAATACTCTGTATCCCTCAATCCAATGAATGAGACACTCAGTGTTAACCATCACAAGTCCACCCCTTGTTAACTCGAATCAAATCACATCTCCTGCTATAATACATAATCTTCAAATGCAGACAGAAATGAGGTAATAATTACACCTAACATAATACAATTATCCTCTTACAGCCAGGAATGCAGCAATCCCCAATCCAAACACTATTTCATAAAGTTTACAATACACAAATGTTGATAAGAACTCAATAAATCTTACGTAGCATGATAAAGGAAAATAAAAAAAATATTTTCTTAGTACATGTGTATACATGCACAAACTTTTTTTTTAACAAAAGAAGGAGGAAATACTTAAGACAATTAACGTCCTCATTTCTGCAGCTGGTCACTTGTTTATAGCGGATATGGATGACTAACTTCTTCTAACACCCATTCTGCCTTCCTTTTGTCTTCCTCAAGCACCTCAGCAGGTTGCGGTTTTTATTGTTTTGTTGTTGTTGTTCCTTTTGTTGTTGTTACCCTGGTGAGTGACCCAAACCTTAATACCTGAAGGGTCTGATCCAACTGTAGCCCGGTCAGAATTGGGCTGTTGTAGTTTTCCACTGACCTTAATCGCACGTCATGGTAATTCTGGAACACATCTTAATGCATCTTCTGTATTTTATGCCACACTCTTTCTTCCCTCCATTGTGGAGGAGTAGGCTGATTTCATCTTGATAGTTCAGGTCAATCAACCCAGTCAACACTGTAACTGCCTTTTTACAATGCTGACGTAAAGGTAGGAGGAGGCCCAAGTGTCCAGGTGACAATCTTGACTTCCAGTTTAATGGAATCATTATTGTTTCATCTGGTGGCAGCGCTTTTCCTCGGGGAGCTAAGACCTCTAGGCCAGCAGAACATAATATCATAAGAAACAGGAAACAGAAATGTTGCTGGTGAAACACCAGGAGCGATAGTGAGTGGTGAAATTTCTACTTCTATTGCTTGATTCCTGGACCAGCGAATTTTGGCTACAGAAGTAACAATGCCATATATTGGATGCTGATTCAGAGAACATATGGTCTTCTGGAGAACTTTGCCACAGCCCTGCAAAGTATTGTCACATAGTTGGCATTGCAATTGTAACTTCAAAAGGCCACTTCACAATCTTATTAATTTAGTTGCTTCAAGATAATGAGAAACATGGTAAGACCAGCAGATTTAATGAGCAGGAGCCCACTGCCACATTTCTTTAGCTGTAAAGTTAGTGCACTGGTCAGAGGAAATGTTGTGTGGAATACTGTAATGGTGAATATGGCATTTTGTGAGTTCATGAATGGTAGTCTTATCAGAAGCATTGCATGAAGAATGGGGAAACCCATATCCACAGTAAGTGGCTATTCCAGTGAGGACAAACCTCTGCCATTTCCTTGATGAAAGAGTTCCAATATAATTAATCTGTCACCAGGTAGCTGGCTGATCACCCCAAGAAACTGGGCCATACTGAGGGCTCAGTTTTGGTCTCTGCTGCTGGCAAATTGGGCACTCAGCAGTGGCCATAGCCAGGTCAGGCTTTGTGAGTGGAAGTCCATGTTGCTGAGCACATGTGTAACCTCAGTTTCTGCCACCATGGCCACTTTGTTCATGGACCCATCGGGCAATGACAGGGGTGGCTGGGGAAAGAGGCAGAGTGGTGTCCCTGGAACCAGTGTTTTTATCCACTTGATTATTAAACTCTTTATCTACTAAGGCTGCTCGTTGGTTAGAACTCACATGGAATACAAATATTTTGACAGCTTTTGACCACTCACAAAGGTCCGTCCACATACCTCTTCCTCAAATATCTTTCTCACCAATATTCTGATCATGCATCTACCAAGTGCCTGACACCCAGACAAACCATTGGCTATGGACCATGAATCATTATATAGTCAGAAATCTGGCCATTTGGGTATTGACATAGGCTGAAGGAGAGAAGATGGGGTGGCTGCAGTGGAGATCGTGAGCATTTGAACCACTTTCTCATGTAACTTAGTTGTGCCTTAGGACCTGCTTAAGCCTGGCCACGTGTATACCACATCCATTTCATGATGAAATGCTGCTGCGCACAACCCACTTTAAGACTCGATGGGTCAGAAAGCACCAAGTTCATGATAGACAGTGTACTTCACATGGTGACTTGATGACCAACATTGAAATGTTCCACCAAAGCCCAGCAATGGGCCAGGAGCTGTCTCTCCAAAGAATACTAGTTATCTGCAGAAAATGGCAGGGCCTTGCTTCAAAATCCTAGAGGTGTATGGTCTGATTCACCTGTGGGAGCACTGCAAAGTATTGTCACATCGTTGGCATTGTAATTGTAACTTCAAAAAGCCACCTAACCGTTCTATTTATCCAGCTCCTTCAGGATAATGGGAAACAGGGTAAGACAAGTAGATTTAATGAGCAGGACACTGCTGCCACAGTTATTTAGCTCCAAACAACATCCCTATCTGCCACTGAAATTTCAAGCACCATTGAATCTCCTGGTTCACATGGCCCAAAGAGTAGAGGGGTTTGCAACGCAGCCTGAAGTAGTTGCAGAGTCTTTTCCTGTTTTGGATGCCCCTGAAAGCTGGCAGCCCTTTGGATCACTAATAAGTGGGCCAGTGGGACATATTCAAATAAAAAATGTGCTGCTTCAAAAATCCAACTAGGCCTAGTAGGTATTGTGCCTCTTTCTTGGTTATAAGAGGGGCCTCACGCAACATCTTGTTCTTCACCCTGGAAAGGATATTTTGACAGGCTTCCCAAGACTGGACCTCTAGGAACATTACGGAGGTAGAAGGTCTCTGAATTTTAGTCACATTTATTTCACATCCTCTGGTACATAAATGTCTCACCAATAATTCAAATGTGCTTGCTACTTCTTGCTCACTCATCAAATCAGCCTAATTTCATCAATGAGATGGATGAAATCATCGTGATACTTTACAGAAGTGAAGAGCAATCAAGGTCTCTCTGAGTAAGATTATGACAGGAAGCCAGAGAGTTAATATACCCCTGAGCAAGGTTAATAAATGTGTATTGCTGGCCTTGCCAGCTGAAGGCAAATTGCCTCTGGTGGTCCTTATAGACAGGAATAAAGAAAAGGGCACTGGCCAAGTGAATGGCTGTATACCATGTGACAGGAGATGTATTAATTTGCTCAAAAAATAAACCATATCTAGAATATCAGCTGCATGTTGATTCACAACTGTATTAAGTTGCAATACTCCAATGTGATTATCCAAGGTCCACCTGTCTTTTGCACAGGCCAAATGGGAGAGTTGAATTAGAATGTGCTGGTAATTACCAATCCAGCATCTTTGAAATTTTTGATGGTGGCACCCATCTTCACAATCTTCTCAGGGTTTTGATATCATTTCTTATTTACTATTTTTCTAGGTAGGGGCAGCTCTTGTGGCTTCCATTTAACCTTTTCTATTGTTGTAGCCCTCACCTTGGAGGTCATGGAAATGTGGGATTCTGCCAGCTGCTAAGTATATCTATGCCAGTTATGCAATTTAGCACTGGGAAAATGACCACAGGATGACTCCAGGGACTCACTGGGCACTCTGTAAATCTGACCTAATAAGCTAAAGCACTATTAATTACCTGACCTCCCTGAGCTCCTACTTTAACTGCAGGACCACAGTAACATTTTGGGTCCCCTGGAACCCACATCAGCACAGAGCTAGTGGCCAGTAGTTTCTCCAAAGTCTGACTATTTCCCTTTCCCTAGTACACAATTACTTTGGTAAAGCCTGGAGGTCTTCTTGGGGAAAGATTGTGTAAAGATTCACTGCATAAATAGTCAGTTGTGTTGTGGGTTTCTTGGTCAAGGGAACCCAGCCTCCTCTTCATTCGATGGATTCTCGGTCTTTAAACTGTCTCTAGCCTGGTAATTGATGGAGGGGCCGTACTTCTCTGTTTTCATCATTCCGAATAGTGATTTGTCCTTTTGACGCAACGATTTCTGTATGTATAACATAAGTA
Organism: Homo sapiens; assembly: GCF_000001405.40. Classification (NCBI taxonomy): domain Eukaryota; kingdom Metazoa; phylum Chordata; class Mammalia; order Primates; family Hominidae; genus Homo; species Homo sapiens. The sequence continues at coordinate 17,905,210 of NC_000024.10, forward strand.
TGAATGCAGTAAGCTTTCCATCAATTTCACTTGCACGAACACCGTGACTAATTAACCAATGGCAAGGCTCTACAGGAGTCACATTATTTGACTGCCACTATCCCTTCGCTGTGCCCACATTACCTTTGATGGTTGAGTGGTGCCACTTGACCCCTATCACACTGGGATCCAACTATTCTCATCATATTTAAATTTTGTCGTTGCATGACTGTGGTTTCCATAGAAGAGCAATTACAGGGCAATTGTGCCCACCAGATTAAGGGTGGAACTACCTTCTCCAGCCCACTGTCCCTAGTGTTAATCTCTTTTAGGCAACACTCACACAGACACATACCAAACTAATACTCTGTATCTCTCAATCCAGTTAAATTGATACTCAGTGTTAGCCATCACAGGCTCTTGGCGATAAATTTGCTGGTCCCCACTAAGGCTCCACCTTCAAGCCGGTTACAGCCTGAGGTCCAGGTTCCAGGCTGATGGACAAGAATGGGAACCACTGTTGCTTTTTTCTGAAACGCATGCATTGTTGCCAAATAATCCAATCAGCAAGCACTTTCTTTCCTTTGAAGCAAATAATATTCCTGGACTCAGCCACATTTGAGGACTATTCAAACTACCAGCCGTGGAGAGGAGCTACCTACCCAAGGGCCATCTCTCTCCTGCAAGCTTAGGAGATGTCAGGACTATCAGCAGTGGGCTGGAGCTACCCACCACAGTCTCTGCTGAAAGCTGGGGAGATAATGGGATGACCAGCTAGAGTGAGGAGCTACCCACTCGAGGGTCTTCTCTTTGCTGAAGTCTTAGCCAATCTTGGAACCACCAGGTGTGAAGTAGACCTACCCACTCCAGGGTCTTCACTCTGTGGAGAGCTTAACATCTCATAATATGACCAGCTGGATGGAGAAGCTACCAAGTCCAGGGTTTCTTTCCTGCTGAGAGCTGGACACTAAGCCTTGACAACTTGCCTGTAGAGATAAGCCGCCCGCTCTAAAGCCGTCTCTCCGCTGAGAGCTGGACCCTCATCAGAACATCCAGCCTGTGGAGAAGAGCTACCCAATCAGGATCTCTTTTGAGTTCTGTCCCTCAGTAAATCTTGTCTATAAAGGTCTCACTCTCCACGTGTCCATCTACCTCATTCTTCCTGGATAAAGAACTATTATTTGAGAATCACTGAATGGTGGTGCTGAAAGAACTGTAACACAAACAGGGAAAAACATGTCTCTTGCTCATCACATTGTGAAAGACAAAAATAAGAGGACAGCTAGGCTATCTCAAAACCAGGGCTGTGACACCCTCTTTAGGGCTTTGCTGTTTCTGGCATCCTGAAACTTCTGGGCACCACTACATTCCCCAGTATCAGCTGTGGAAGCTGCTTGCAGTATGCCTGGTCCAGCTGCTGCATCTCAGTGAGATGGCACTTCTGTTGGTACCTAAAATTTCCTGCTTTGCAACAGCTGGCAGGCCTGGCCGTCTATAGCGGCTGGACCCCACACTTGCTCAAACACCATTGCCACTCTACCTCACGTTTGCCCTTGGCAGCTGTTAAATCCTGGCCCATAATGCAAGCTGAGTGCAGCCTGTCAGGCAGAGTGGGTAGAGCTAGCTTAGCAGGCCTGAGAAAACACAGGCAAAGGCACCACTGGCCACAGAGGTTTTCAATTGGTAAGGTGACTCTCCCAAAATCCCATGACAAAAGGAGCATAGCTAGTTGCGTTTAAATGCCTTTCTTCTATTGGATCTTGAAATACTTAAAATTCAGTCTCCTACAATTTGGAATGTTTAAACCTTATTTGAAAATCATTATATTTCAAAATCTTTTGGAAATTAAAGTTGAAAGACTGGTATTTCCACTGAAACACCCTATCCCTCTTACTTGCACAGACATCTAGTCTCTGAGAATATACTTCTGTAATTCATGGCATTGGGCTTCAGGTTAGCACTCTTCCACTGTGTTATAAAGCTTTCTAATGAAACAGAATTTCTGATTTTGACATTTTGTACTCATAAAATTTCTTTATGTGCGGAGCTTTTGCTGTGCATTGCAGGATGATGAGCAGCATTTCGGGCCCCTTCCATTAAGTGCAATTGTAAACGCCTTTTTTTTTTTTTTTTTTTTCCCCATGGAAGAAATGCCCAAATATGTTTGTGTCTTGTGGAAGCAAAATTGATGGCTATCTTTATCGTATAAGTTAATACCCATGAAAAAACTGATGGTAGTGAGCTAGTGCAGTCATAGGAATGTTTTTACATTGTTCTTTGGAATGTCTATCAGTACAGACAATGTGGAAAAGTGTGTGGTGATTCACACTTTTAGTCTTTCAGAATGCCAATCCCACTGGATTCAGCAATTTCATTACTGGGTGTATAGTACCTGCAAAATTAGTCATTCTATTACAAGGACGCATGCTTGTGTATGTGTATTACAGCACTATTCACAAATTCAAAGTCATGGAATTAACCCAAATGCCTATGAGTGACAGACTGGATAAAGAAAGTGGGAAAACAACACCTTCAGGACAAATAGCTAATTTATGCAGAGATAAATACCTAGGTGATGGGGTAATGGGTTCAGTGAACAACCATGGCACACGTTTACCTGTGAAATAAATCTGCATGTCCTGCATACATATCATGAAACTTAATATAAATTTAAATTAAATTAAATTTAAATTAAAAGGCTTTCATTTTTGTAGCAGTTATAGTAACTTTGGAATGTGTGCCACACCTTATTTAAGAGATTTTATAAAATAACTATAAATCAGAGTTTTGACAAACTGCACCAAAAAGTAAATAAGTAGTATATTTCAATTCTCAGTTGATTGAATTTCTTTTCTTTCATTTTGAGGATGGAATCTTACACAGTGTCTTCAGCTGGAGTGCAGTGGTGCAATCTTGACATGCTGCAACCCCTGCTTCCCAGCTTCAAGGGATTAAGCTGCCTCAGCTATTTGATTAGCTGAGATTACACGTGTGCACCAACACAGCTGATGGGGTTTCACCATGTTGGCCAGGCTAGTTCCAAACTCCTGACGTCAAGTAATCTGCCTGCCTCATCATCTGAAAGTCCTGGGATTATAGGTGTGAGTCAGGATGTCTGGCCGTTGAATGAATTTCTAATTGAGAAACTTATCCATCTTGCAAAACTTTATTTTCTATATCATACTTTTATGAGTTTCTTCATATGTCTCATAAGTCAAGAAAAATAATATAATGTTAATGCATTCTCTTTTCATTGGAAATGAATGTATATCCATTTATATGTAATTAAAAGAGAAAGTCTATTTAGAATGTCATTTTTCTTTTGTGTAAAACTCTGGGGTTTTAGAAATTTCTTTAAAAATATAACTTTGGAAACTAATTACATTTCTTGACATAAATGGTTGTTTTTTAAGGATCTTTTTTGGTAAGAAAATTCAAAATTGTTTGAAGATACAATGAGTTGTTTAATTATATCAAATAAACATAAAGGTATTTTCTTTGAGAAAACAGGTTTTTCTTAATTTAGGTTTTCTACAAATAATATTATGATTACTTTCTCTTCCTAAAATTAATTTATGTTTTCATCTTCCCTGTATCAAGAGTTCACCTGCAATGTATAAGAAGTAAGAACTGCCAGCAGAACAGGCATTTCCAAGATGTAGGTCACCCACTACCATGAATCCTAGCTTGAGCTACTTGTTGCGCCAGCTATTGACTGTGTAAAAAAATCTAAAAATGAGAGTAGGCTCTTTGACTGCAATATATGACACAGACAAAGCAATAACTAGTGAGTAGTTTAAATTATAAATCTGATTTTATTCATCAATATTCATTTACTTTGGTTTGAAATACTACTTTTTCATTTAGAAAAAGAAGTAACTCACTTTTTTTTTGTTTGTTTGTTTTTGGTCAACTAGCCCAACATTTTGTAGTCATCAGGTATGTAAGTAGAAGAACTTTAATGAGAGAATACAATTTTTTTGAAGACGATGCCTTTCTTTAATGGTTTCCTATAGCTGGTTTTGGTAACTTAACACATGAGTTGTTTTTATCATATGTGAAAAAATACGGAAATGTTACATTAACGAGGGGCCAAACTTAATGCTATAAAATGTTATATTTAAAATGTATGCACTGAAGTTGCTTAATGTTATTTTAATTAAATTCTAAAAGAGGAATGGTTTTGAAAATCATGATATTAGAAGGAAACATTTGAGTGCACTTTATTACTTCTAAATGTCCAAATAAGATCCACAAAAAGGTAGCAATGTTTAAACTTACACAGAACTGAAACTCAAAGTGGGAGGTAATGTAAGCAAATTAACATACAGTAACATAAAACTTAGTGTATTTCAAGATTAAACTAAGTGTTAAGTACGTAATTAACAAACATATTCAGTATAGGCCTGTAATAAGTAAATATGAAATTATATATATATATATATATATATATATATATTTCCATGTAAGTTTTTTTTTAACACATTGTAGGAGTTTCCAGCTAACTCACTGATTAAAAGATCAAATCTTCATTTGCATTGTGAGATCCATGTAGAGGGAAAGATTTGCTTTTAAAAAACACTTTTTTTGTTAATTTATTTAATGATTGTATTGACGTGGTAAATATATATTTGCAAATGAGTGTTTTTAAACAAACACTGCTGTTGTTAAATGCTTTAGCTAACTGTTTTACATAGTTAATATATATATATATTTTCACTATACAGGATGATATATACTAACAATTATTAACTGATCACCAATTTTATATTCCTGTTCCAGAGATTATCTCTGTGCCTGCAGTAATCCATATATATAGCTATTTATTTATTTTCTTACACAAATGAATATATACAATAGACTATATTGTTAACTTTGTACTTCGTCACACATCTGTCAGTATATGAAGATCCATTTAATTTTGTTTGTAGATGCATAACTTGCAATTCAATGTGCTCTAATTTATGCAGTCCACCGCTGAGATGGATTGACGTGTAAGTGGTATTCAGTTTTACACTAAATAAAGAAGAATTTACACTTCCACCATAATTTTAAACACACCATCGCATTGACTTCATCTCACAACAAAATTCTGAGTGCAGGCAAAGTGATTATCATTATTTGCTGAGGAAAGAAGCAGATATTTGCATGAAAGTTATAGCTTTATGAGTCAGAACAATAACTTAAAGGAAGTGCTCACTTAAAACTGGGAAAACTCTCATTTTTTTTTAATGTAAAGTTCTAATGGCAATGAATTGAATACAATCATTTTAAGTGCAAAAGTTTTTAATGAGTAAACTCATAATGATCAGTTAAGTCTGCGTTTAACACATGAAAATTTAATACTACGCCGTCTTCTATAACTCAAAGAAAGCTTTTTTTTTTTTTTTTTTTTTTTTCTTATCTCAGCTTGTGAAATATTTACTGAGTGGGACTATCTGCCCCCGTTGGACCCCACCCAACAAAAGTATTTGTGGGACTCAAAGACGCTGGTGCTACTTATCAAATACATGCTGTGATCCAGCAGCTATACCTGATCCCTGTCATCGGCCACAGCATTTCTACCATTGAAAACACAGGTAGTGACATAGATGATGATCGTGGGGCTGGGAAATGAGGGTTTTCATCCTTCAGACTTCAGAATGGTTGGTCCATTGACAGCTTGATGGTGTGCCCAGAAAAGCCCGTAGACACTCAATGCCAGATAGTGAAAGCAGTTGGGAGGAAGGCTGTACCCCATAAAGCCTCATGGGGGGATCTGCTCAAGACCATGGAAACCCACCTCTTGCATCAGCATGACCTGGATATGAGACATTAAGTTAAAGAAGATCATCCTGGAGCCTTAAATTTTTAGTGCCTCATCAGATTTCAGATGTACTTAGGGCCTGTAATCCCTTTATTCTGGTCAGTTTCTCATATTTGGAATATCTGCATTTTCCCAATGCCAGTACCCCCATTATATCTAGGATGTAACTAACTCGCTTTAATTTTTGCAGGCTCATAGGCAGAAAAAACTTGCCTTGTCTCAGATAAAATCTCAGACTTTGGACTATTGAGTTAATGCTTGAATGAGTTAAGACATTGCAGTACTATTGGAAAAGCATGACTGGTTCTGAAATGTGAGGATTTGAGATTTTGGAGGGGCCAGGGTTGGAATGATATGATTTGACTATGTCCCCATCGAAATTTTATCTTGCATTTTTACATGTGGTGGAGGGGGATGAGATAGGGAGTAACCATATTGTGGGGGCAGGTGTTTTTTTGTGCTGATCTTGTGATAGTGAATAAGTCTCATCAGATCTGATGGCTTTAAACATCAGTGTATCCCTGAACCAGCTCTCTCTTTGCTTGCTGCCATCATATAAGATGTGACTTGCTCCTCTTTGCCTTGCCAGATACATAAATCTCTAAGTCCATAAACTACTCTTCCTTTTATAAATTGCCCAGTCTAGCGTATGTCTTTATAAGTGCATGAAAATGTACTAATATAGTACAAATGTCATATTGACTAATAAAGCTCTGAAACTTTAGTTTCACAGTCAAGTCAAGAAGTAAATAAAATGCAAGTATACGTAGGTCTCTGAAAATGTATATCAAACACTTTTTAGTTCAGCAACATTTTATTAACATCTTTTAATAAAAACAAGGCAGAAAGAGTTGTGAAGTCGTTATTATAATGCACTCTATACTTGTATAATTTGTACTAACTTAAGACTAAAGCCATTTTACTTTTCTTAAGAGACAATTTTCTATGCTCCAGCTGGAATGAATACAGTGGTGCCATCGTCACTAACTGCAGCTTCTAACTCCTGGACTTATGTCATCCTGCTTCCTCAGCCTCCCAGTTAGTAGCTACATCTAGAAGAAAAGGCCAGTAGGCTCAGCTAATTATTTAACATAGATAGATAGATAGATAGATAGATAGATAGATAATTTTTTTCTTAGAGTCAGAATCTTGCAGTGTTACTCAGGCTGGCCTCAAATCCTAGGCCTAAAGTGATCCACCTATCTTGGCCTCATTAAGTGCCAAGATTACCAGTGTTAAGCCACCACATCTTCTCATTTTTAAAAACTTTTTGTAAAGATGGTGTTTCAGGATTTTGACAAGCTCTGTTCCAAATTCCTGGCCTCAACTGTCCTTTTTTTCCTTGCCCTTCCAAATTATTGGAATTATCAACATGAGAAACAAAATCTGATGTAAAAACTGATCCACTTTTTAAATTATAAGTAAAGATTTTGTTTAGAATAGATAAAGCTTAATACTGAATGATAAATTAGAATAAGCTATGATACAAATTTTTTGAAGTCAGAGATAATTTTTAATTAAAAAATGCATATTTAGATTAGAGAATTTTATGTTTACCAAGAATTCTCACACAATTACTGCAAAAATGTTTTTCGCATATTTAAAAATTGAAATAATAATTTTGCTGTTAGGAAATATAAAGCAGTATAATAGACAATCAAACCAATTATAATTACATTATGAGTGAAATCCAAAGCCATGTACCAGTCACTGGCAGGAACACAAACATTTTTTGGTGTAAAATCCTGTGGTAATGATGAATATAGAGGCAATTTGTATGCTAATCATAGCAAATTCTTTTCCCTCATGCAGAAAATAATTCTACTGTTCAAAAAAAATTATATATAGAGTCAAAAACATTTGTATCTTGAAGCTGTTAATAAAATATTTGTTAGTTAAGCCAAATCTTAGTGATTACCTCACCGCTTCACTGACTCATATTTCAAACTGCTTGAGTAAAAAATAATAATTAATATAACACATAAATGCTCTTCCATATTTCCATATATTAAAAACCAATATTCTAAGGTAAAGATATCTTAAATATTTTACCTTGAAATAACTAAACCAAAAAGGCAGCACATTCATATAAATTAGATCTAATGATTTCATAAAGAAAGAAGAAGAAGATTGAAGAAATAGATTAAACACATTCGATACCTTGTAAAAACTCCTACAAGCCAAACACAAATTACTTACCATAAGAAGCAAATCTAAATTGTTACACTGAGTACAGTTTAGGTTTTAAGAAATCTGTGTTTGCAGAATCTGTAGGTGTAAAAGGTCACTTATTTGTTGTAAATTACAAAAGATTACTGACACAGACACTGATGCTTTTGTGGTTCCATATAGCCACTACTATCTGACTGTTACTGTTCTGATGTGTTTTTTATGCTATGAAGCAGAATTTGGTGTGAGTAAATTGAAGATACATGATAAGCAATAATAATAGCAGCTGATATTTATAGCACTTAAAGAGGTAATACACTAAGAGACACACAGATACTAATGAGTTTAATTCTCACAGGTTTTTTTTCTCTCTCTCTCCTCTCTCTCTCCTCTCTCTCTCTCTCTCTCTCTCTCTCTCTCTCTCTCTCTCTCTCTCTCTCCCCCCCCCCCCCCTTTCTTTCTTTCTTTCTTTCAGATGTTAGGGTTTTACTCTCTTCCCCTAGGCTGCGGTGCTATGGCAGGATCTCCGCTCAGTGTAACATATGCCTCCCACATTCAAGAAATTCACCTGTCTCAGCCTCCCCAGTATCTCATTTTACAGGCATCTGCCACGACGCCTGGCTAATTTTCATATTTTTAGCAGAGGCGGAGTTTCACCCTTTTGGCCAGGCCGGTCTCACTGTCTTATAAAAAAAACGTTTGAGACCTGGCCGGGCGCGGTGGCCTGTAATCCCACGCCTGTAATCTCAACACGTTGGGAGGCCGAGATGGGCAGATCACGAAGTCAGGAAATCCCAACCGTCCTGGCTAACACGGTTCAACCCTGTCTCTATTAAAAATACTAAAAAAAATTAGCCAGGCGTGGTGGCTGGCGCCTGTAGTCCCAGCTACTCTGGAGGCTGAGGCAGGAGAATGGCGTCAACCTGGAAGCTGGAGTTGCAGTGAGCATAGACCGGGCCACTGCACTCCAGCCTGGGTGACAGAGTGAGACTCTATCTCAAAAATAAATAAAAAATAAGTAAATAAAATAAAATACATAAAATACAACCTTAAGACCTATATATAGTTATTTTAAGAGGTTTGCATTAAGAGTGAGAGAAAGGGTGAAAAGAAATTGTTTCATTTCTCAGAGATGTGAATAGCAGGCAATATGATGTTACAAATGAACCACAATCTAAATGACAGCTAAGCTCACAACAATGCAGACAGTTTGGAGGTGAGAAGTTATGAAGTCCAAGAAAGACATCCATGTTATTTAGCTTACGACTCCCAAGAGAGTTCTTCATTCCATCTTCCAAACAAGTTCCAAAGAGGTAAAATGGGCTGGTTAGGCCTAAAGAATGAAATCTGTTTGTGAAACTACTCGTGGTTGCTAAAATCTGTTGTAACCGCATAAAATGAAGAGGTATCTGTAATAGAAAGAGAATAATGTTTTCTTCTGTCAACTCTTCAATATTCAATCATTAAATTGCAATTTATCATGGAGGACAGATGAAAACCGTCTGTGAGATCTTCTACATCGAAAATAATTCATTTAATAAGAATCATTTTTCTTCAAGTCAGTCGCTGTATTTTGTCAATATTATTTTCCTTTAAACAAATTATCATCTTAACTACCTGTCTGATACCACTAAAACAGTAAAGAGAAACCAGAAGTTAATTTTGTAGATGAGCACAAACAACTCTAATGTCTTCTGGTTTTGTTGAATGAGATCTTTGTTTTTTTCAAAACTGAAAAAAACATGCATTTTATCCCATTTTACAACAATGTGGATTTGCCCCTTCCATTGGATATACTGTTCCAAAGAATCAAGAAGATTTTGGTGACTGTTAATGTCCATATTTAAAGTGTTAAAATATTTTTCACATTTGTACCTAAAGATATTTTTAAAGAAACAAATTATAAATATATATTCTTTATGTTTTTGTTTGGTTTGGTTTGGTTTGGTTTTCCAGTGAAGATAATAGAAAATTGTCTTTCACAAAACAGGTCCCTTGTGCCAACTGTTTGCAAACAGTCACACATAGATGCATGCACACATAAATTATTGAGTAAAAGTTTTGAAGACAGAAACTCATAGTGTTATAGTAATTTGAGTGAAATAGAACAGAAATGTTGACTAGATTTCAGAAAAAAAATGTTTTGAGTAGATCAAATAAATGAAAATAACTTGTTGATGCAAGAAAAAGGGAGTGTTGGTCACACGTGAGGCTATAGAACTGAAATAGGTCAGTAAGAATTACATATGCAAATTACACTTACAACCCTAAGTTTACAGTTTAGCTATGGAATCTAGAACCTCAAACTGAGAGATACAATGGGGAGTCAGTGCATTACAGGTGCACTGCAGACATTTAAAAGAAATCTAAGTGATATGCTAATACAGAGAAGGGAGCTGCTGTGAGTGAAACAGAAGGAAGCCCAGAAATCAGAAGATCCCTTTTTCTTTCTACCTCTGAGATATCTACGAATTACCTTCCTGAAAGAACAATAAACTCTCATGAGAAGCTGCAGCTTGTTTTAGAAACTAGAAAGAGCTATATATTACAGTATACAGTAAAAAGTTGTGTGACAGTGTTTTATTGTCATGCATGCCACAAATTAGACCTTGATAAAATGAAGGAGACAAAGGAAACAGAATCAAGCTGTTATTAAGCTTTGTGTGTGTGTAAGGGTTGGAAGGGGCAGCCCTTCTCTTCATTGCACAGGTTGGAGTGCAGCAACACAATCACAGCTCAGGAGATGTTTTCATCTCACTGTCCCAGGTAGCAGGGACTACAGGTGCAGACAATTACACTCACCTAGCTAGCTTTTTGCATCTTAATAGAGATGATATATCACCACGTTACTCAGGCTGGTTCTGATCTCCTGAAATCAAGTAATCTGGCTGCCTTGGCTTCCCAAAATGTTAAGACTACCAGTGTGAAGGAACGTGCCTGGCACAAGCTTGCATTTATATATATATATGTATATATATATATATATATATATATATATATATTTACAAATATATATAGATACACACACATATATGCATATATATACACATACACATATGTATTATATAAAGGTATACATTATATATGCATATATAAGTTTATCATGTATATATTTTCTTGCAGGGCTAGAAAGGGGTACTTTCTTGACAGTGATGAAAGTGTTCATTTGATAAGAAAAAATGTTTATTTGATGATGAGTAATGTTGATCTTTGATATACATAATCTCATGGATAAACATTACTCTAGAAACTAAAAGACGTCATTGATGCACTAATCTAATTTGAAAAGAGTAATGAAGGAACTTTAAGCATACACTGAAAGTCAGTGAAATGGCATTTTACCTTCCCGAGTAGCTGATACTACAGGCTCAAACCACCACACCTGAGTAGTTTTTGTATTTTTTGTGGAGACTGGTTTTTGCCATGTTGCCCAAGCTTATGAAATAATTTTTATTATGTGTGATGACAGCACCATGGTCAAATTTTAAGGAAAATCTTTACAGATGTGTTCAAGCACTTATAGAGATAAAATTATATACTTGAGATTTGCTTCATTAGAGAACTGTTAGATCAAGGAAATGGCTACATTTTAATGTTTAGTTTATATAGAGAGTATAAATCTTATTATAATAAGAATTTAATTGTATCTTAAGTGATGAAAGAATACATGGCCTGTCTTTGCTGTGACAATTTTTGTCTCTTTCTATTCGGATAATACTAGTAGAAATGGCCAAGAAAGACAGCTATAATATTACTTTTGTTTAAATATTTAACATCAAATACATTATGGATTTTAAGATATATTTAAAATTTTTAGTTTATGTAGAGTTGATTTCATCAAAATTAAATGATAACTCACCCATAATTTACCTGAACTGTTTCCAAAAACTTTTGGGTACGTAGAATTGTAGTCAGAAAGCAGCTAAATCAAAAGATTGACCTGAAGATGTCTTAGGACACCAATATTGTACTCTTTACTATCTTCTGTCTTGTTTAATGCTAGTTTGTCTTCACATTTATGAGAATATTTAAATACATCATCGTGAGGATGAGCCTTACTCTAGAAGCCAAAAGGCATATCTTTAAAAGTATTGTGAAAGTAGTTGAATGAAATATATACCAAAACTGAGTTAATGAAATGATTCGCAATTTTTGTAGCATTTTCAAAGAACTTACTGTGTTTAATGTTTAGCGTTAGTGTTTATTTCACAGGTGGACCATCATAAAGAGTATACAGAAAAGTTATCAGTAGAAATAATAAAATAATAACATACCTCACAGGTAAGAAAATAGACTACAATCTTCTCAAGTCAACAGGATTGGAAAGAAATCAGTGCTCTGCCATAAATAACTTACAAGAACTAAGTACTTTTTTCTCCTGGAATGCAGTGGCTTCTTGTGAGTATCATGGATTTTTGAGATTTACATGGTATAATTTATGTGATGTATTGAGAATTATTACAAATCAATAAATATGGCCATTAAGAGCAGTTGTGGAAGGATCGAGAGCATACACAGAAGTTCCAAAGGTCGTAATTTCCTTGTAGCTACAGAACAAAATACAGCTGTTTTACACATATGCAACATGTTTCTCTATGCTTTGGTATGCATCTGAGGTTTATGACACAGAAATAAAAATTATCTGCTTCATGTCCTGACGAAGTTCATGGCACAGAAAAAGTAGCTAGGCAGACATGCATGCCACAGTGAAGGGCTGGGACAACATAAAGCACAAGCAGCTAAGCACAATGGTGGGGACTTAATTTGAATGCTATATTCTATCTACTTCATTCGCTTCTTGCCAGTACAATTTGCCATCTCGATCAGTTTTCAATTCCAAACCCTAGAGGAAAAACCAGCTAGAGGATCAGGACCCAAATTCTATCTTTTTGTCCAGTAGTGGCTGTTAACCAAGTAAGAGTGGACATCCCATAAGGAGATCCTACAAAAAGGAATGTTACCCAAGTTGTAATGCCTGCATAGTGTGATCTGTCATACCTAGAAAGGCAGAGACAAGTGTGTGTTTTGTAATCCCCGTAAACTTTAAGAGCTAAGATGTTATTTGAAGGCAAAGTTACTTCTGATCACTGAGGAAAAGAAATGTAGAAATTTTGGAACTGTTTACTACAGTTAAAATGTTCTAATTTCTTTCTTTAGTTTCTATCAATATCTACGCAAAAAAAAGCAAAGGAATGATAAACAGTTTGAGTGTAAACATTTCCAAAATTCAGGTTTTCTGTATTAACTTACTTAATAGCTACATCTTAAATATGTGATCTGCCACTAAAGCCTAACTTTTTGCTGCCTTATGATCAACCAAATACTTTTTATTTTCAACCAGGTGCTTTTACACCTTTAGTAGCCTTATTGTAATTGTGAAATAATGTTGATAACAGGTCCATGTAGCATTATCTGAAAAACGATTTTTTTCTTAAGCAGAAGAATAGCTAATTTGAGGAAAATATACAGAAAATCCTAAAAATAAACACAACTTATATAACACAGATAAAATTAAGGTCAAAAAATTAAATAGCATACTTCAAATACAAGATGAGAATATACTTATTAAAATAAATATTTTTTATTCTTAAAATTCTGAATTGCATTTACCATGTCATACAAATATGATTGTATCAATTGTGCTTTGAAAACAAACAAAAAATAATAAAAACTGTCAAGTAAACTTTCAAGTTATTAGATAGTGAGCATGAAAAATATGCCATTCATAGTATCTCAGATATTCTAGCCATATTGTGAAAATGCAGTCCTGACAAAATCTCATGAAAGTACAGTAATCTCAGGAAGAAAAACAGTACCTGGTATGAGAATATTAAAAACAAATAAATAATTAAAATTTAACTCACACCTTTGTTACTCATCTTTGAACAATCATTGTCTACATCACCACATGTGTTTCTAATTGTAGAACTACTGTTTCTAAGCACTAACGTTATGTATAGTTGCTAGATCACACAATTTATGTGACTAGTCACACCAGCCTCTTTGAGTCCCACAAGTCATTTTTGTGGGCAGGGTCTGATCGGGGGCAGATATTCCCACTATCTGAGTGTCTCACAACCTCAGAGAAGAAAAACTATGCTTATGCTACAAAAATGATGACTCTGTCCATAGTTCTTCTAATCAGGCTGGGAAATTCATTTTATCAGGCTAACACAGCAATTTTCAAATGGTACCTTAAATTTTTATATCACCAGAAACATGATCCAATATATGCACCATTAACTAGAGATATCTTAATTCTGCATTTTTAATGGCATTGCTTCTGTAACAGTTTTATTTGAAAAAGTCATATCAGATGGTATAATATTAAATTTCCATGTACTAACACAGACTTTAATCATTATGTGTTAACTGATTGAAAAACTTTTGTACTTAAAATAAGTGTATTCAATACACTGTCATCAGAAATTTATATAAATAGGACATTAGAGTTTTCTCAGTTCAAACTGAGCACTGCATACAAGTTATTGTTCTCAAACCTAAAAACTATAATCTTCACATAAATATCTGCTTTTTTCCTCATTACATAGTGATGATTAATTTATATTCATTTTATTATGAGATAAAGTCAATTAGGTGGTGTATTTAAAATCCCTGTGAGAACTAGAAATCTTCTCTATCTTATAAAACTGAACACAACTTACACATCAATCCATCTTAGATGTGGACTGCATAAATTAGAGCACATTGAATGCCAAGTTATGTAGCACAGAACAGAAATAAACAGATCTTCATGTATTGACAGGTGTGTCACTAAGTAAAAACAAATAACTATATTGTATATTTTATATTCTCATTTCTGTAAAAAAAGATGAGAAGAAGAAGAAGAAGAGGAAGGAGAAGAAGAAGAAGAAAAAGAAAAAGAGGAAATAGCTTTATGTATGAAGAAGTGCAAATACTTCCAAAAACATCTCTGGACCAGAAATACAATATTCGTGGCAAGTTAATAATTTTTCTTGCATGCCGTCTTATATATTTGGAAATATATATTAGCCACAAGGAAAGAAAAGATTGACTTAACGTTTCATAACAGTAGTGGCTGCTTAAAAAAAAATTTAAAATATTTATTTACTCTGCCAATACAATAGTTAAATAAATTAACAAAAGTCTGTGTTTTTAAAACGGAAACTCTCCTCTTTACATAGATCCCACAGGACAAATAAAGATCTGTCCTTTTCAACAGTGAGTTTAGCTAGAAACTCCTGCAATGTGCCAAAAAATATACTCACAGAGAGAAACATATAAACTAACATAATTTCACATTTTCAATTAAATATCTGTACAGAATACTGTTGTTAATTATATTTGTAACTCTCTGATTTCCCTTGAAATGAACTAAATTTTATGGTTTTTGTTTGTTTGTTTGTTTTGAGACGGAGTCTCCCTCTTTCGCCTAGGCTGGAGTGCAGTGGTGTGATCTCGGCTCACTGCAAGCTCCGACTCTCGGGCTCACACCATTCTCCTGCCTCAGCCTCCCGTGTAGCTGGGGCTACAGGCACCCACCAGCACGCCCGGCTAATTTTTTCTATTTTTAGTAGAGACGGGTTTCACCTTGTTAGCCAGGATGGTCTCGATCTCCTGACCTTGTGATCCGCCCTCCTTGGTCTCCCAAAAGGGCTGGGATTACAGGTGTGAGCCACCGCGCCTGGCCTATTGTTTTTCAATTTACTTACATTACCTCTCGCTATGAGTTTCAGTTCTGCGTAAGATTTGAACATTGCTATCCATTTTGTTTAATTGATGTGGACATTTAAAAGTAATAACATGCACTCAGATGATCTCTTTTCACATTATGATTTTAAAATAATACTTCTCTTGGAATTTAACTAAAACAACATTAAGCAACTTCAATGTTTGGGTTAGAAAAATCTTTTTAATGTATACATTTTTAGTATAAACTTTTTGTACCATTAAATTTGGTTTCTTCTTACTCAACAGTCTTACTATTTTTTTTTTGTATATGATTAAATCAATTCCACTGTGTTAAATTACCAAAACCATATATGAGAACATTTAAGTAATACATCTTATTTAAAAAAAAAAAAATATTCTCTGATATAAATGGTTTTAATTATATACCTGATGGCTACAAAATGTTAAGCTAGTTGATTAAAAGCAAAGCAAAACAAAAGCGATGAGTTAATTTTTTCTAAATGTAAATATAGAATTTCAAACAAAACTGTTATTAACGATAAAAAACCTCTTTATGATTTTAAATACCCACTAGTCATTTCTTTGTCCATGTAATATATTTCCATCAAACAGACTGATATCTTTTTGAGATTTTTTTACCCAGCCAATCCTGTGCTGCAGGTAGCTCAAAACCAGGGTTGATGGTAGTGGGTGAACTATGGACCAGAACAGCCTGCTCTGCTAGCAGTTCTTTATTTCTTAAATATTGCAGGTGAACTTTTGATGCTGGGAAGATTTAAACATCAATTAATTCCTAGTAACTTACAAAAAGTAGTCACACAGTATTAGTAGAAACATAGCTTAAGAAAAAGTTGTCTTTCCAAGAAAATACCTTTTAAGTTTATTTGACATAATTAAACATCTTATTGTATCTTCAAACAATTTAGAATACTCTTACAAAAGAAAATCCAAAGGAAAAAAAAATGCAAGTGTAATCAATAAATGCAATGAGTTTTCCAAATGAGATATGTAAAGCAATTTCTAAGATGTGAGAACTCTTCACCATAGAAAAATGACTTTCTACATAAACCTACTCTTTTAATTATGCATTAATGGAAATAAATTCATTTCCAATAGAGAGACAATGCACTTAAGTTATCTTTGTGAATTATGAGACATAAAACGAAACTCATCAAAAATATGATATAAAAAATAAGGTTTGTAAGACCAGTGTATTTCTCAATTGGAAACTCAGACGAGGGCCGGCAAGCCTTGGTGGCTCATGCCTGTAATTCCGGCACTTTTAGAGGCCAAAACAGGCAGAGTACTTGAAGCCAGGAGTTTGAGACCAGCATGGCCAATATGGTGAAAGCCCTTCGAGTGTGTTGGTGCATACCTGTAATCTCAGCTATTCAAGAAGCTGAGGAAGAATGAACATTTGAACTTGGGAGGCAGGGTGCTGCAGTGTGCTAAGATTGCACCACTGCACACCATCCAAAGAGACAGTGTGGGATTCCATTCTAAGAATAAAAGAAAATAAATTTGATCAATTAAGAATTGAGATATTCTACTTATTTGCTTTTCAATGCAGTTTGTGACAACCCTGATTTGTAATTAGAAAATGTCTTAAATAAAGTGTGGCACACATTTCAGTTACTGTAACCTCCCTTCTAAGAAAATAAACCCTTTCTAGTTTTATTTAATTTATTTAACTTTGTCTTGTATTAAGTTCCAGGGTACATGCAGGACATGCTGGTTCATTACATAAGTGACAGGATATTAGAACCGCAGAAAGTTAGATAAAAATAAGATCTCATATAAAATTTGCATATTTGTTTTGTTTTGTTTTGTTTTTTAAGACAGAGTTTCACTATTGTGATGCAGGCTGGAGTGCAACGGCATGATCTCAGCTCATTCTCGCCTCCTGGTTTCAATCGATTCTCCTGCCTCAACCTCCGGAGTAGCTGGGATTACAGGCGACTGTCACCATGCCCAGCTAATTTTGTTTGTTTGTTTACTTATTGTATTTTTAGTAGAGACAGGGTTACACCATGTTGGCCAGACTGGTCTCCAACTCCTGACCTAGGGTGATTCTCCCAATTTGGCCTCCCAAAGTGCTGGGATTACAGGTGTGAACCACCCTGCGCGGCCTCTGCAAAATTGTTAAAACTGGTTTTTTTATTCATTCTTCATAACTCTTTAGAATAGTCAATGTCAACAATTTAGCTTCCAGAAGACACTAAGATATTTGGACATTTCAACCATGGGAAAAGGATGTTACTATTGCACTTAGTGGAAAAGGTCAGAAATGCTGCTCAACCTCTTACAATGCACAGCAAAAGTGCCTCCACAAAAAACAAACAAACAAACAAACAAACAAACAAAAAACAACGTATGTGAGTGTATAATGTCAAAATCCAGGGATTAGAAATTGTGTTCCATTGGCAAGTTTCACAATCTGCTGAAAGAATGCTAATCTGAAGCCCAATGCTTATATTTCAGAAATATATTTTGTGAGAATCAGGTGGTTCCATGCAAATATATTCTTGGGATTCAGGTGGTTCAACGCAAATACCAATTATTCAAATTTTATTTCCAAATAATGTTGAAATATAATACTTTCCAAATAAGGATAAAATACGAAAATATTCAGGGCATTGACACTGAATTATCAGTGTCTCAGGATTTAAGAGAAGTAAGGCATTTAAACACAATTAGCTATGCTTCTTTTGTTACAGAATTTTAGGGGAGTCACTTTGCCAGATGAAAACCCCTGTGGCCAGTGGTGCCTTTGCTTGAGTTTTTCCCAGGCCTGCTACATGTGTTCTACCCACTCTGCCTGACAGGCTGCACTCAGCTTGCATTAAGAGCCAGCACTTATCACCTGCCAAGGGCAAGCATGGTGGAGTGGTGAGTGTTGTATGAGCAAGTGTGGGCTCCAACCACTAAACTCATCCAGGCATGCCAGCTGTGGCAAAACAAGAAATTTTAGGTGCCAACAGAAGTTCCGTCTCACTGAGAAGCAGCAGCTGGGCCAGGCATACTGCAGGCAGCATCCACAGCTGATACTGTGAAACGTAGTGGGGCCCAGAAGCTTGGAGATGCCAGAAAATGCAAAGCCCCTAAGAGGGTGTCACAGTCATGGCATCGAGAGCCCCTAAGTCTGTGCACCCTGAAGGGCCACAGCTGTCCTCTTATTTTTGTGTTCCACACTACGATAAGCAAGGGGGCGAGTTTTATCCATAGTTGTGTTACAGGTCATTCAGCCCTGATAGTCAGCTGATCTCAAATTATTGTTCTGCATCCCAGAAGAGAGAGGTACATGCTGCCTTCAGTCTTTCCACCTCTACCTATAGAGATAAACCATGTGCTGGCTGAGGCCACAGTGATAGCCTCCCCTGAGTCAGTTGCCAGGTATGATAATGTTGATTCTTCTCAGAGGCCACCCCCAACATCTCTGTTTGGTTCTAAGCCTATAACTAAACTAAAGTACTGGCGGGCTCTTTACGGTGATATTGAGAGTGCAACCCATGAGAAGTTGTGGTAAACTGAAGAACAACTGTTTGAGTTCTATAATATACATGAACAGCAGGCTAGAGAACACAGAAGCAAATGGATATTAAGGGTATGGGATAATAGCAGAAGGAACACAGGGTTGTATCAGGCTGAATTTATTGACTAGGGCTGACCTAGTAGGGACTCTGCATTTAAAGATGCAGCACAGGGAGCTAAGAATTTCTCATAGTTTATCTGCTTGGTTAGCTAAAATATGAATTCAAAGATGGCCCACTGTGAGTGAGCTCTATAAATGTCCGCTCTCCATTGGTTTAAAGTAAAGGATGAAATCCAAAGGCCTTGGGAGATTGGAATGGTGGAGTAGATTAGTTCACTTTAGACCTACTCATCCCAGCTGAGAGAGTCCAGAGGATATACTCTTGATCAATGCCTTGTGAAATAGAGCAGTACCCGCATCTTTGAACAGCTCTGTAATTACTCTTCTCTGTGTGTCAGATCTAAGGGTGGGAACTGCAGCCACTAACTATAACATTTAAATACACTAGGGATAATTGAATCCCAAGGTGGCAGGAACCAAGTGGCAACACTCGACCATCAGAGGCAAGGTGGGTGTAGGTACCATAATGGACAGCTGTCGCAAAGCAGCAATCAGAAGAGTCTGACACCTGTGGAACCCTGGCACTGGCTAATTAATCAAGGTGTTCCTGGAAGTGAAATTGATAGAAAGCCTACTGCATTCCTACCTAAGTTATAGAAACAGAAAACTTTGGTGTCAAATAGATGAAGAACTATTCTAAATTATAAAGACAGAACCACAGCTTCTCAACCTATTTCCACACCAGAGCCAATTTAAAGACACAGAACCCCTTGAATGAAGGGGAGGCTGGATCCCCTTGAGGAAAGACCCCACTCCATTACCAACAATTTATGCAGTGAATCTTTCTCTCCTTGTTCCTTAAGTAATGCCTGGACTTTTGTCAGGGTAACTGTGCATGGAAGAAAGGGAAATGATCAGAATTTTCGGGCTACTGGACCCTGGATCTGAGCTGATACTGACTCCAGGAGACCCGAAACATCATTGTGGTTCTACAGTTAAAATAGAACCTTATGAAGGTCAGGCAATTAATAAAGTTTTAGCTTCCGTCAGACTTACAGTGGGTCGAGCGTGTACCTAGAGTCATCCTAAGGTCATTTTCCCAGTGCCAGAATGCATTATTGGCATAGACACACTTAGCTGCTGGTAGAACCCCACATTTGCTTCCTGACCTGTAGGGTGAGGATTACTAAAATAGGAAAAGGCAAATGGAAGCCATTTGAGCTTCCTCTACCTGAAAATACAGTAAATCCAAAACAATATCACAACCCCGGAGAGATTGTGAAGATTAGTACCATCATTAAGGACTTGAAAGACACACAGTTGGTCATTACCAGCACATCTGAAAACAACTCTCCCATTTAACCTGTGCAGAAGACAAGTGGATCTTGGAGAATGACAGGAGATTTTGGTAAGCTTAACCACTTGGTGACTCGAATTGCAGCTGCTGTACCAAATGTGGTTTTATTGCTTGAGCAAATAAATATATCTCCTGGCATCTGGTATGCAGCCATTGACTTGGCAAATGCCTTTTTCTTCACTCCTGTCCATAAGACCCACCAGAGGCAACTTGCCTTCACCCGACAATACCAGAAATACACCTTTACTCTCTTACCTCAGGGGTATACCAACTCTCTACCTTTGTGCCTTAATCTTTTTCAGAGAGATCTTGATTTCTTTTGGTGGCTGCAAGATATCACACTTGTCTGTTACACTGATGACATTACGCTGATTTGATCCAGTGAGCAAGAAGTAGCAAACATACTGGACTTATTGGTGAGGCATGTTTATGCCAGATTATAGGAAATAAATCTGACTAAAATTCAGGGACCTTCTAGCTCAGTAAAATTTCTAGGGGTCCAGTGGTGTAAGACCTGTTGACATATTCCTGCTAAGGTAAAGAACAGTTTGCTGCATTTGGCCCCGATACAAACAAAAAAATGGGGGACAATGTCTAGTGGGTTTATTTGGATATTGGAGAAAACATATTCCTTATGTGAGGTTGTTACTCTCCCCCTTTTATTGAGCGACTTAAAAGGCTGCCAGTTGTGAGTAGTGTCCAGAACAGGAAAAAGCTGTGTAGAAGATCCAGGCAAGCTTTTCTGTCACTTGGGTCATATGACCTACAAGATATAATGGTGACTGAGGTGTCAGTGGTAGATAGGGGTGCTGTTTGGAGCCTAATGCCAGGATCTCACAGGTGAATCACAGCATAGGTCTCTAGGATTTTGAAGTAAGGGCCTGCCATCTTCTGCAGATAACCACTGTCCTATTGAGAGACAGCTCTTGGCCTGTTACTGGGTTTGGTGGAAGCTGAACCCTTGTCTATAAGTCATCAAGTCACCAAGTGAACTGAAATGCCTATCATGAACTGGGTGCTTTCTGATCCATCTAGCCATAAAGTGGGTTGTCCATAGCAGAATTTTATCATCAAATGGAAGTGGTACATTCGTGCCCAGTCTCAAGCCAGTCCTGAAGGCACAAGTAATTTACATGCGTAACTGACTCAAATGCTCATGTTCTCCAGTCTTGCCACCATGGCTTCTCCCCTCCAACCTGCACTGATAGTCTCATGGATAGTTCCCTGTGGTCAGTTGACAGAATAAGAGAAGACTATGGCCTGGCTCCAGATGGTTCTGCACCATATATGGAGCCACCACCCAAGAATGAACAGCTGCAGCAGTACAGATTTTTGCTGGGATATCCGTGAAGAACAGTGGTGAAGGGACCTCTTCCCAGTAGACTGAACGTCAAGGAGAAATAACCAGATGTGTGATTATATACTGGTTCATGGGCCATAACCAATGTTCTGGTTGGATGATCAGGAACTTGGAAGAAGCATTATCAGTAAATAAGTGGCAAAGTAATTTAAGAGAGAGTTACGTAGATGAGCCTCTCTGAGTGGTCAAAAACTGTGAGGATATTTATATTTCATGTGAGTGTTCAACAACGGTGACCTCAGAAGAGGAAAAATTTTGTAAGCAAATGGATAGAATAAACCATCCTGTGGAAACCACTCAGTCTCTCTCCCGAGCTTCTGCTGTCATCACCCAGAGGGCCCATAAACAAAGTGGCCATGATTGCAGGGGTGAAGATTATGCACGGGTGCAGCAAAATGGACTTTTACTCACCAAAGCTAACCTGGCTATGGCCACTGCTGCATGCCCCATTTGCAAGCAACAGAGTCCAACACTGATCCGTCGATAGGGCACCATTTCTCAGGGTGCTTTCACTGGATATACGTTTGCCTATTCTGCATCCAATGCTTCTGCCAAGACTACCATCTGTGGACACGCTAAATACCTCATCCACCAACATAGCATTCCACACAGCATTCCCTCTGACAAAGACACTCACCTTATGGCTAAAGAAGTGTGGCAGTGGGCTCCTGCTTATGTAATTCACTGGTCTTACCATGCCTCCCATCATCCTAGGGCAGCTGGATTAATAGAATGGTGAAATGGCCTTTTAAAGTTACAATTACAATACCAACCATGCGGCAAGACTTTGCAAACCTGGGGAAAAGTTCTCCAGACGGCAATGTATGTTCTGAATCAGTGTTGAACATATACTGTTTTTCCCATAGCCAGAATTATTGGGTACAGAAATCAAGGTGTGGAAGTGAAAATGTCCCCGCTCACCGTCACCCCTAGTGATCCACTAGCAAAATGTTTGCTTCCTGTTTCCTTTACATTATGTTCCGCGGGCTTACAGGTCTTAGTTCCAGGGGGAGAAATGTTGCCACCAGGAGACAGAATGACATTTCCATTAAACTGACAGTGAAGATTGTCCCCTTGGCATTTTGGGCTACTCCTGCCTTTCAGTCAACAGGCTAAGGAAGTGACAGTGTTGGCTGTGGTGACTGACTTGCATTAGCAAGATAAAGTCAGTCTACTATTTTACAATGGAGGCATGGAAGAATATACATGGAACACAGGAGATCCATTAGGGTGCCTGATAGTATTTAACTGCCCTGAGGTTAAGATCAACGGAAAATTACAACAGCCTAATTTTGACAGGACTGTGAGTGATCCAGAACCTTCAGGAATTAAGGTTTGGGTTACTCTAACAGAAAAGAAAGGAAGAAAGCAAGCAAGCAAGCCAGCAAGCAAGCCAGCCAGCAAGAAAGCAAGCAAGCAAGCAGGCAAGCAGGCAATCAGGCAAGCAGGCAAGCAGGCAAGCACGCAAGCACGCAAGCACGCAAGCACGCAAGCAAACAAGAAAGAAAGAAGAAAAGAGAGAGAGGGAGGAAGGAAGAAAAGAAGGAAGGAAGGAAGGGAGGAAGGAAAGAAGGAAGGAATAGAGGAAGCAAGGGAGGAAGGAATGGAGGAAGGAAGGAAATAAAGAAGGAAGGAAGAAAGGAAATAAGTAAGTAAGGAAGGAAGGGGATTAGGGGTCTCAGCTGAGGTGTTTGTTGAACGCCAAGGGAACACATAAAGGTTGGTAGAAGAAGGTAGACATCAACACCAGCTACAGCCAGGTGACCAGCTGCAGAAATGAGGACTTTAATTGTTCTAAACAGTTCCTCTTTTTGTTAAAAAAAAGTTTGTGTGTGTATACACATGTAATAGTACCTTCATTTTTCTTTTTCTTTATTATGTGACATTAGATTTATTGACATCAAATCAACATTTGAGTATGGTTAACTTCACATAATAGTGCTTGGATTTGGGATTGGTCAATTACTGGTTGTAATAAAGATAGTTGTATTACGTTAGGTGTAATCATGATGTTATTATTTTCTTTACTTGAGGATTAGGTATTCCCTTAGGAGATGTGTATGGGTTCAAGTTGTCAAGGGGTGGATTTGTGATGGTTAATACCGAGTGTTGACTTCGTTGGATTGAGGCATACAGGGTATTAATCCTGGGTGTATCTGTTGGAAGTTTTCCCCGAAACAATCTTTGAATCAGCGGGCTGTGGAATGCAGATCCACCTTATTCTTGTGGGCACAATCTAATCAGCTTTTAGTGAATATAAATCTGGTAGAAAAATGTAAATTCATGAGATGAGCCTAGCCTCCAAACCATGGTTAACTACCATGTTGTTGCTAGCTGCTAAAGTTTGGAAACAATTTTTTTAATCAAATGTAAAAGATTTTACGCTGTACAAATTAACCTCCTTTTTTGATTTATCTTAACATTTCCACATACATTTTTCTATTACAGCTACTTCTTCATTCACTTGTTTTTATTTTCTCTAATTGGCTCATGTAAATGTTTGTGAATGTATTTATTTCTGGTTAATTTAGAACATGAGAGAGCATAACAAATCGCGATCAAAGTTTCCCACTATAAAAATCTTCTATCAGAAACAATTTTAGAAAAGTAGAAGATACATCAGTGTTAATTCTACTCAACAACTTTAGCAAAAGCAAGAGTTCTCTAACCCCAGCTATAATCCTTGAAATCTTTGTTTTGCTTTGGCTTGGTTATTATAATGGCTTAGCAACTTTTATGTCATAAGACATATTTAATTTTTGCCTTACGATAAATATTATGCCCATTGTGCTTGCATAATGTAGTGTGCCAATCCACAAGTGTGTATGTCTTTTCTGTATGCCTTCCAGCTGTAGTCAAGTTTAGTTCTATCCCAAAAGCCATTCATTGAGTTTTCTTAATTGCCACCCCCAAAATAGAGGCTGCCTAGCTTTGCTTTTTTTTTTTTTCTTTGCTATACTAGTGTTTTACGGAAATATTTAAAAAGTAATGGGAAAAGAAAAGGGGAGAAAAATAAATATATGCTTTACTATTTAATCATTGACTAACTGAACTGACTTTGCTTTACTAACACTTACCTTAACTTGAATCAACAGAACTTTACAAAAGCTTCTTAAAATTCTTCTGATTTATAGAAACCAAAGATTGAGTTAAGTAATCTTGAAAATATAAAATCAAAGTGTGCTTTTCTTATGTACAATTTTCTGGAGAGATGATCTATCACTGTTAATTTATCAAAGAGAGGCCTGAGACTCTAGATTTTAAGATATTTATCAGCTTTTCTAATCTCTCAGGGCTAGATGCTAGTAACCACCTTACCAATTCCACTTCTAGTCATGAACCAGGCTTAGGGTAAAAAGAAAGTAAAATCTATTGACTTACAGAAACCCTAGCCACTCACATGGACTGTCTGTTACCTCCATGAGCTCAATGTCTATAACTGTTTGCCTTCCACGGTCTGCTCCAGCCACAGTGACCTGGCTGTTTTTCAAACAATTTAAGCAGACGTCTGGTGGAGGTCATCAAACTTGTTGATCTTGATGCATGCTTGTGTGATTATTACCTTATTATTTTATTTAGATATTTACTTCAAAGTCACTTTAGAGACTAATTATTTTATGCTTGTCTCACATGAGTCCAAGCTGTACTCAATAGAGAATTTTACCTCATGCATTTTATATGAAATTGATAGGATCAATTAATATAAAGCAAACAAAAAACCTTACACTATAAACACTAAAACAAACAAATAAAAAATCTAGAAACCCAAATTAAAAGTGTAACATTTAACTTCAGCATTTGAAACAACATTTTCATGGGACAAAATTTAGATCTCCTAAATAAAAATAAACTGAGATTAGAAAACAGTTCATGCTTCACAACTAAAACTGAAACAAAATTGCAGAGCAGGCAGCGTCAAACCATTCAAAGAAATCTCAAACAAATAAAAAACCGTCTACACCCAGGAAACCAATAGTTCACCAATAGTTCACATCAACCAAGGAAACACTTAATCAAGAGAGACAATTTTAAAACAGTTAATGTTTTGGATTGTCATACTGCCTCCCAGACACAGATGAAGCCTGCAAAACTGAAATCCACATTTTCAATTTGAGGCCCT
Organism: Homo sapiens; assembly: GCF_000001405.40. Classification (NCBI taxonomy): domain Eukaryota; kingdom Metazoa; phylum Chordata; class Mammalia; order Primates; family Hominidae; genus Homo; species Homo sapiens. Next base: position 17,931,267 of record NC_000024.10, read on the forward strand.
GATTCCTGATTCTAGAAGGAGTAAAACAGCCCTTATGTGCTAATTTATTGTGTTTGTTCTAGTCTTTCTAGAGAATAAACGATGAATTGATTAGTCATTTTTATTTCTGTTTTGCCAAAGTCAGAAGTCACTCTTGGTTGAAAATGCCAGGAATTGGTCACAAACATTTAGGTTCCTGAGAACCAACAATGCAGTTACTTCATATAATTGACAATCTGATAATACATATTCAGTTTTTTTTTTAATAATAGCTTGTATACTGCTCTTATACAAAATGCTATTTAAGTGGATACTAAGCTGCCAATAACTAAGAAGACACCTTGGAGAAATGAAGAACATTTATAACTTGTAAAATAATACACAAGCAGAAAATGTCTAGATAAAAATAAGCTCGAGAAATCTGTGTCTAACCCTCCCCCCACCAAAATAAAGCTATTACTATTACCTAGCAAAGATAATTACTACTATTATGCTTATTATCGGCAGCTATTACATACAAAAACTATACAAATTTAATTTCATGGACAGTCTGTGTGTGGAGACATAGTCTGAGACAATATAATATAATTTGAGAAGAACAGAAAAGTACAGGAGCAGAGTACCTTTATATTGTTGAACTTAGACTTTAGATTATTTAAATAAGGTAGTATTATCCAACGTAGGCTATTTTAAGTTTAGAATATTTATTGAGGTCCCAAATGTAACTAACTATAATATAAAATATATAGAAAAAGAAAGTTTTGAGAAATTAAGAAATTTTTCTGAAAGATCAAAGGAGAAATTTAAAAATTCAGATAAGGTAAGGAACATACAGAAAGCAAGTAATTAAATATCAGAGTGAATAGTGTTTTACGTTTAATAACTTTAAATGTGAGCTCTTTCATAAAAACGCACAGAATAATGCAAATGTACCTTTAAAAGAAGGGTTCACATATGTGATTTCCCTGCAAGTGTTGCTTTAAGTGCAAAGAGAGAGATTGAAAGTAAAATGATACAGGTTCTTGGAAAAACGAGACAATGGATTACAGAGCACTATGTATCTGTCCCTTCAACTATTCAATATGTGCAGTGGCGGAATCGCTATGACGCAAATAGTTTGGAATTATAGATCCTATCTGAAGTTTTGAAGCTTTCAAAAGACGATTTGTAAAGTCAACAACAATTAAGTTCGATCAACTTTATAGCATAGGTCAACAGCAGTTATTTATTCCTATCAACTATTGCCGTGGTGTGCAGCCTTGCAAATACTTCTGGAGCAGCTGGCAATAGCCACGATAGGCAAAAAAGACCTTATCCTCCAAATCTCAGGAGGACTGGCTAACCGATTGCTGTTTCTTATTACGGAGGTCCTGCGAGTGGTGAACAGTCATTTTTCATTTTCCAAACCTTTTACAGGCTTTTTCTCCTCCTACTCAAGTAACTTTCAGACGATTTACAAAGGCAGAGCCTTTCTTTCCTAATTTTTCTTTTCTTTTTCTCTCTCTTTAGAGGCCAGAGAATGATAGACAAAACATTCAAAGAAAACATATGTAAGTGAAAATTTAGAATAAAATGTGTTGCTACACATCTGTGCTCCACAATGATGTAGCCTCAAGAAAAGCCCCCAACAAAATCAGTAAGACTGATTGTCATGACAGAAATAGCCTAGATGATGAATAAACAAATCCCTAGCAAGCTACAGAGGGAGAAAATCTGATTTTCAAAGGTACAACACTTGAAAATTTATATGCCTGTTTTCGACACCAACAGAATCACATAGCATAAGGTGAAATAAGAAAGTGTGGTTCGGCCGGGCGCGGTGGCTCACTCCTGTAATCCCAGCACTTTGGGAGGCCGAGGTGGGCGGATCCCGAGATCAGGAGATCCAGAACCATCCTGGCTAACACGGTGAAACCCCGTCTCTACTAAAAAAATTAGCCGGGCGTGGTGGCGAGCGCCTGTAGTCCCAGCTACTCTGGAGGCTGAGGCAGGAGAGTGGCGTGAACCTGGGAGGCGGAGCTTGCAGTGAGCCGAGATCTCGCCACTGCACTCCAGCCTGGGGAACAGAGCGAGACTCCGCCTCAAAAAAAAAAAAAAAAAAAAAAAAAAAAAAGAAAGGAAAGAAAAGAAAAGAAAAGAAAAGAAAAGAAAAGAAAGAAAGAAAGAAAGAAAGAAAGAAAGAAAGAAAGAAAGAAAGAAAGAAAGAGAGTGGTTCACCCTAGAAAGAAAAAAAATCACTAACAGAAGCTTTTCCCAGGTGGCCCAAATGGCAGGCTAACTAAAAAATAATTTTTTAAATTCATGATTTTTTTTAGAAAGCTAATGCAATGAAGAAAAGCACAGAAAGCCATGAACAGAAAAAAATTATTAATAGACAGTAAACTTACAATAAAGTAAACTCACAGTAAAACTAAGAAGGAAATTCTAGGCCAGGTTCAGTGGTTCTCTCTCTCTCTCTCTCTCTCTCTCTAATCTATCTAACTACCTACCTATCTATCTATCTATACATATATCTTAGACTTTAGATTATGTTAGACTTTAGTCTATATATATATAGAATACATAAAAATATATTTCTATATTATATATAATATATTTTTATTTAATATATAATATAAATATATGTGTATATATGTGTATATATATGTGTGTGTGTATATATATTATATATATATACTTATATATCTGGAGCTGAAAAGTTAAACAACTGTCACTAAAATTTACTACAGCCTGGCACAGTGGCTCACGCCTGCAGTCTTAGCAGTTTGGGAGGCCAAGTCGGTTAGACCATGAGGTCAAATGATGAAGATTTTCCTGGCCAATATGGTGAAACCTTGTCTTTACTAAAAAACACAAAAATTAGCAGGGTGTGGTGGCATGAGCCTGTAGTCCCAGCTACTTGAGAGGCTGAGGCAGGATAATTGTTTGAAATCAGGAGGTAGAGGTTGCAGTCAGCCAAGGTGGCCTCACTGAACTCCACCCTGGTGACAGAGGAAAACTCAATCAAAAACAAACAAACAAAAAAACTCTACGGAGATTTAAAAGGACACTTGAGAAGATAGAAGAACAAACTATCAGCAGATCTAAGAAAAGGGCAGTTGAAATTGTTAAGTCAAGAAGGGAACAAATAAATAAATAAATAAATAAAAACTGTGAAAACAACCTAGAAACCAGTGGGACACCATCAAGCAGTCCTCCTAAAGGAGACTAAAACAGTAGTGGTCAGAAAGGTCATAAATTTGAGGAAATAAATAAACACCAAAGAAGTTCAACAAACTCCAAGCAGCATAAACTCAAACACATTCAAACTTACTTGATAATTAACCTTTCTAAAACAAAAACAACTTGAAACTTGAAAGTTGCAAGAGAAGTGACTGGTCATGTAAAAAGAACCCCCATGAGTAATCAGTGGATTTCTTTTCGGAAAATTCAGAGGTCAGAAAGCAGTAGACTAAGATATGCCAAATGCTGTAAGAAAAAAACTTTTAACAGAAATCTTATGCCTACACTAACTGCCCATCAAAAGTGAGAGAGATATTATAAAATTCCCATGTAAAAGCTGCAGTCTTTTACCAGTAGACTACCCTTTAAGAAATGCTTTATGGAGTATTTCAGGATAAAATGAACAGACATGAAACAGCAGTGTGAATAAGTAAAGATTAAGGAAAAGATAAATATATAAACAATATAAAAGATACAAAAATGTGCACCTCCACAATTGGAAATGGAAGTGGGAAAATGTGAAAGAAAAATGCTGCAGCTACTGTGGAAAATAGTTTGGTGGTTCTGCAAAAGCTAAACATAAAATTACCATAGAACCCCCAAAATGCACTCCAAGCTATATACACAAAAAAAAATGTAAAAGAGGTATTCAAACAAAAATATGTATGCGTATGTTCATAGCAGCATTCACAATAACTAAAATCTGGAAACACACCAAATAAATGTCCACCAACAAAAAATAAGAAACAAAATGTAGTATGTCCATACAACGGCATACTATTCAGCTGTGAAAAGGATTACAACTCTAATGCTACAATGTGAAGAAACTTAAATTTTGGCTCAAGAAGCTGAGCCAAAAGTCACATAGTGTATGATTTTATTTGTATAAATATTTAGAGTAGGTAAATCCATAGAGAAAAAATGCAGATTATTGGTGCTGGTGTCAGAAAGAGGACAGATTGGGTAGGAGCTTCTTAATAAGTAGGGTATTTCCTTTTGGAATAATGAAAATACTTTGGAACTAAGATGTGGTAGTTGCACACAAATATGCACGTACTAAAGATCACTAAGGAATTCATTAAGAAACAGTTAATTTTATATTACATGAAGGAATTTAACCTCACTAAAAAGACAAAATTTCTTCCTCAGCATTCTCTCAGCAACGTGAGCGCTCTTTCCACAGAGTGCTTGCAGCATGGGGTTCTGATCCCTCCACAGTCCAGAACTGCCTGGGGCCAGGCCAGCCACACACTAGACATGAACTCCCGCCACCCTGTCCAGCAGCCCCTCGACCTGTTACCAGTGGAAGTTATCTGAGTTACTGGCGTCAAATCTATCATGGTCTGCAGTAACCTCAACTCTTGCCTCCTCAGGAGAAAGAATTTGACTGAGGGGAGTAAAGTAGCAAAGGAGACTGAGAAAGGTTTCACAGCAAAAGGGGATGTTTGTTTAAAATATTTTAGAGTAAGAAAAAGAGAAGAGTGCGTTAGGAAGAGATCCAAGTGGGTGATATGAATATATACCATATATATGACTTGCAAATATTGTGTCCCATGCTGGTGGTTTTCTTTCCACTATACTGACAGTGTCTTTTGACGCACAAAAGTGTTTAGTTTTGATGAAGTTCAAGTGATCTATTTTTTCTTATGTTTTGTGTTCAGTCAGTGATATAGCCAAGAAATCATTTACAAATCCACAGCCAATAAGCACATGAAAAGATGTTCGAAATCACTAGCCACTTAATGCAGGAATATCTAAACCACAATGAGATTACCACTTTATCCCCATTGGAATTTTTCTTTCTTTCTTTTTCTTTTTTTTTTAAAAGAAAACTTTGAGAGTATGTGGAGAAATTGGAAGCCTTGTACATTGCTGGTGAGATTGTGAAATGGTGGTGATGTTTGCACAATTTGAGCATAGTTAATGCTTCCAAATTATACACTCAAAGTGTTTGAAATGGTACATTTGTTTATGTATGATTTTCCACTTACAACAAAAGCTTCCTCAGAAATTGTCCTAAAATAGTTCCATGAGTGATGAAAGAAGACGCTCCTCTCCTATCATGAGTAGAAGCCTATTTATTTATTCATGCCATTATACGCACTCTTGACTCTTCCACATGCCCAGCATGATCTCATCAAGCAGAATGAGTCTCTTCTCATCTGGCCCATTTGTGCTCCTTTCCATAATTGCATTCTCCTTTTCAACTCACTACCTGCCCGCTAAAAACAACTGTAAGTTACAGGCCAGTTTACTGTCTCTATAAATATTTCTTCTCTGTAACGTAATAGAAATGAAATCATACAATATGTCACCTCTTCAGACTGGCTCTTATCACTTTGCTTTGTGAATGCCCGATTCATCCATGGCTTTGCATGACTTCATAAATCACTCCTTTTGTTTTGATGAATAGTATTTCATTTTATGAATTTACCTGGCTTGGTTAATATTGAAGGGCATCCTGATTCCTTCAAGTATGTGGCCATTGTCAAGAGAGCAGTTATACATAAATGCTTGTGGTTTTTGGTTAGATGTGAGTTTCCAAATCAGTTGTTTAGATACCTAAGTGTTAACAATTGTTAGCCTATATGTTGAGACCATGTCCGCCTTTGGAAAAAACTGTCAAACTCTTTCAGAAGAAAACAACCATATTTTAAAGTTGCTGTACAATTATGCATTCCTTCAGCAATGAATGAGATTTTCTGTTGCAGTTTTGAGTATATTTAAAAAGAAATTTAGACATAGTATAGCTGTTTAGTGCTCACACTCTTATTTTAATTTGCCTTCCCCGAACGGCAGGTGTTGTTGAGCATTATTTTGTTGTTATTGTTTGTTCATTAATCTATGATTGCTGCCAAAAAGCATACATGTGTTGTGCCACAGAAACCCAATTTTAAAAAACGTACTCTCAGCTCTACTTGGTAAAAAATAAAAAAAATTAAGTGTCATACTGCCCAAGGTAATTTATAGATTCAATGCCATCCCCATCAAGCTACCAATGACTTTCTTCACTGAACTGGAAAAAAGTACTTTAAAGTTCATATGGAACCAAAAAAGAGCCCACATCACCAAGTCAATCGTAAGCCAAAAGAACAAAGCTGGAGGCATCACGCTACCTGACTTCAAACTATACTACAAGGCTACAGTAACCAAAACAGCATGGTACTGGTACCAAAACAGAGATATAGATTAATGGAACAGAAAATAATGCCGCATATCTACAACTATCTGATCTTTGACAAACCTGAGAAAAACAAGCAATGGGGAAAGGATTCCCTACTTAATAAATGGTGGGGGGAAACCTGGCTAGCCACAGGTAGAAAGCTGAAACTGGATCCCTTCCTTACACCTTATACAAAAATTAATTCAAGATGGATTAAAGACTTAAGCGTTAGACCTGAAACCGTGTAATGACTTGCTGTTTGGTTTTTACTTACTACTGTTACTGTGTTTTCTGTCTTGAGAATACCAAAATAGTAATGCATTGTACCAAGCCTTCTAAAATAACTGCCTAAAAATGTAATTGAGTCCTTTTGTTGTTGTTGTTCTGTTCTGTTTGTTGTTGTTGTTGTTTGTTTGTTTGTTTGTTTTGAGATGGAGTCTTGGTCTGTTCCCATGGCTGGAGTGCAATGACATGATCTCAGCTTTGGTAACCTCAGCTTCCCGGGTTCACGAAATTCTCCTGTCTTAGCTTCCTGAGGATCTGGGTTTACAGGACCCAGACACCACTACCGGCTAATTTTTTTTACATTTTTAGTAGAGAGTTTGTTTCACCATGTTGACCAGGATGATCTCAAACACCTGACCTAAGGACATCCACCTGGCTCAGCCTCCCAAACTGCTGGGATTACCGATGTGAGCCATCATGCCTGGCCACGCCAATTCCTTTATTTCTTTATGGAATCAAATGTAGGTTGAGAATCATCTTTCCTAATACTTGTCAGTGCCTCAAGATTGTTAGGATAAATATAAAACTTCCAACCAAAGGATACTTGTTGACATCCAGAATTTTAAGAAAAGTTGTGAAATAAAATACCCAGCTTCTGGCTCTTTCCTCGTGAGCAGGCTCAATGTCTGGGAAATCCTTGGAAACTGGAAGAAGGGTAGAGCTGGGGTAGGTGGGGATGATCTTTGAAACCACTGCCGCTCTGGCAGCCACTGTTGCTCCTCAGGAAATGGCTTGGAGCCTCAGCCTTCAGAAGAAGTAACAGGGGCTCAGCAATCGGTATTTTGTGTGCCAGGTTTTCCATCTCCATATCTGTTTTGGTGATGTATCTATTCAGGTCTCTACTTATTAATTAGGTCATCTTATTTGTTTGAATATTTTGCATAAAAGTCACTTTTCAGATGTGTTTCCTAAACTTTTCTTAGCCTGAGGCTTGTTTTTTTTGGTTCTCTTAACCAGAACATAGTTTTTGTTTGTTTTGTTTTGTATTGTTTTGTTTTCTTCTTGTTTTTTGCCTTTTTTGAGATGGAGTCACACCTTGTCACCCAACCTGGGGTGCAAAGGCATGATTTTGGCCCACTGCAACATCTGTCTCCTGGGTTGAAGGGATTCTTCTGCCTCAGGTTCCAGAGTAGCGTGGACTACATGTGTCTGCCAACAAGCCCACCTATTTTTTTTTTTTTTTTGTATTTTTAATAGAGACAGTGTGGCAGTCAGTTACTATGGGATGAAACAAAGGGGGTTGAATGCAGAAATGAAGACAAAGACAAAAAAGATCTGTTTTAAAAGAGGGGTTGAGGGCTCATTGCTTCTAATCAGCAAAGGCCCTGAGCTTCTACAGGCCTTCATATTTAGTAGGCAGAATCAACAGGGAGGAAAGGTAATTGTTGGTCAGCTGCTTGCATTATCACAGGCTCACACAATTGCTTTCTATATACTACCGGCTTCAGATGTTCCTATATATAACCACAAGAAAGACTGTGCTTGGGGCATGACTGCCCTCAGCATTCCTTCTGACACCAGACGTGGTGTGTCAGGTTGCCAACATGCTGCTTTCATGAGAACAGTTCCCTCTCTGCTCATAGACCCTCCAGTCATTACTGAGTTGGTCACGACTCTCATTCTTTTGGCCTCCAACATCTCCTCCTTTTTATTTTTGCATTAATTGAGTAAAGATAATTGCAGGCTGTGCAGCTCTCCACTGCTGTTTGGTGGTCCAGCTGCTTTTACAGACAATGAACATAAAAGAGAGACATCATGATGTTACTCTGATAATCACAAAAAAGACATTTAGGTGATGTTTGGAGGAGGTCCAAAGGCTAAGGCTCTCTAAACCTTGCTGGAATTCTGCCCAAGTTTTCAGAGACGGCTGACTTACTTGAGTATGCTTTTTCAAGTTAAGAATTTTGCTTTGTAAATCAAGTTTCCATGGATATTCCCTTTGGTTTTATTCCAAATTGGTTACACAAAGATGAGCATGCTTAAAATGACAATGCAATTGCTGCCGCAACTGCAAGTTTGTTCTTGGTTTCCTAGCCACAGAACTGTAATCTTTAACTCTTTAACATTGCTACTTCCATGTGTATCTCAGTGTTAAGTTTATTTTTAAGCATCCATGCCTGGTCGGCTGTACACATCCAATTTTCTACATATTGAGCTGTGATTTGAATGGAGCTGTACATTGCTACTAAGGACACCACAACAGAAGTTATTAATGTACCTAAGGAGACTTTCACAAAAATTTTCATGCCTAAGGCTCTACAAGCACAATGAATAAGCTGACTAAGAAAAAAGTTTACAAAATGGAAACCAGAGGTGACCACCCAAGGCTCAGGCAGATTTACAGGAATCCATAATCCGGGATTGTGACCTAGAATTACTAGGGTGGATATGCTGTATGTTTGTACTGTGCTATGATTAAGGGAATAATACAGTTAACAGGAATCACAAGTCAGTCGGGCATCGTTTACCTGGAGTTGGTCCTTTTTGCTGCCAGAAAAACATAAGTTCAAAAACACAAATTGTAAATTGAGTGGTAGTGTTTTCTACAATGGTAACATTAAAACTGTGTTCAGCACAATTACTATAATTAGATAGTGTTCCGACACAAATGCTGCCATTCATATAGTGGAGTGCTGCCTTCCCTATCGACTCCTGAGTTGGACCTCTCTTTCCTTGGTAATGCCATTGAGGCAAAGTTGAGTTAAAACCTGTTCCATGCCAAGTGAAACTTGCTGCAGGTTGGGACTGAATCCCAGCGCAATGTAGTGAAGAGATGCTGACCAGTGTCAGCGAAGTTTATGCCATGAGGTCGGATTCTCATCTCTCCCATCTAAGTGACCACAGGCACCTAGAAAATAATGTCTCCCATTAGCATGTACTCTTGTCTAGCTAGGGGACCAAGACACTGGGTCCAAGGAGGGGGGTAAGAATTATCAAAGGGAGCCCATTCTGTATAATTAATACGATTTGGGAGATGGGGCTGGGAGTGATTAGTAGCTACACCAGTAATGTTAATAGAGCTAAGGCCTAATAGGTACATATTTTTTTCCATGGTAACTCAGCCATACTTGGGATTAATTTGCAAGGCCACTGCAGTTGAGTGATGTACCCTGGGTGACTCATGAAGGAAGTCCCTCCAATGGAGCAGCATAATTGATAATCATTGTTCTGAGAGTCTAATAACTGTTTGTCAGGGGGTGTTAGGGGTCCTGGTGCCCCTGCTTCATGATCATGATAGATGTCAGGGGGAGTGTCACTCCAAATTACACTCCGTAATACTGGGGGATTGGGAATATATGCCCAATATGTTTTTGTCTCTCTGCACAAGGGAAACCTACTGCACAGGATGTTATGGGTAGCATGGCCATCAACGTGATGTCAGGGGTGTTTGCCTGACCCTGGTGCTCCAGCAATTTCAACTGACTCATGGCTTGTAATGGAGGAGTTGGATTCATAGTTGGGATCCATGGCTCTCTCCAGTCTCCCTTTACATGGTCACAAACACACAGATTATCCATCTCCTGTAAAAACACAAGCATACCCTCATCCTTACATCAGTAAATCTCCTGAGCATTTCCATCGTCCTTAGGGGGATTTTCATAATATTTTGGGGCATACTTTACTTTTTCCCTATAACATTTACCAGTGTCGTTCTGCCATAGTCTTACTATCTGTGCCAGGAGTCAAAAAAATTAAAGTAAATAAGTAAAAAAATAAATTAAAGTAAAAGTAAATGTATTTTGTTTGAGGTGGTAACTGATCTCTTGTTTCCTCTTTCGGTTTTTTTCAGCACAGCTTGTAATGTTTGATTTGCCCGCTCTATAATTCCTTGTCTTTGGGGTTTGTAAGGAATTCCTGTTTTATGAGTGATTGACCATAGCTGTAAAAAATTTTAAAAAGCATGACTAGCATAAGCTTGTCCATTGTCAGTTTTTAATTGTTTAGGGACCCCCCATATGAGCAAATGACGACAGACAATGTCATTACACATAACCAGCTGTGTGACCTGGTTTGCATGTAGCATGCCGCATATGAGAATACGTGTCTGTAGTCACACGAACAAAGGAGAACTTACCAATGGCAGCTTTGTGAGTAACATCCATCTGTCAGATTTCATTTGAAGCTAAGTCTCATGGGTTACAGCCTTCTATGAGTGTGACTCCAGTGACATGCTGGCAAGCAGGACAGGCTTGTACGGGCTGCAGCCTGGCTGTTAGGCAAATGAAACATACGAGTAGAGGCAGAGTTTTGATGCAGTAATATATGAGAAGGTTGAGCTTGTTGAAATGCAGAACAAACCAATTTATTGGCTCTATTATTACCTAGATATAGTGGTGTAGGTAGTTGTGTGGGAGAGCAAATATAAGAAATATAAAAAGCAGCACAAGAGCAAACAGCTTCTTAAAGTCTTAGAAACAAGTTAAACTGCTCTGGTTCCAGGGTGCTTTTAATAATAGTGGCCGTCCCAATATGACCGGCTACATTTACAACATAGGCTGAATCACAGAGAGTGTTAATAAGAGATGAACCAGTGAGCTGTAAAACCTGCATAACTGCCATTAGTTCTGAGCGTTGATCTGAAACTCCGGGGTTTTTTATTGTTTGAGCATGCTTAGTACCATAAGTAACTTTGCGACCTTTGGAAGAGCCATCAGTAAGTAGGTCTGGCTGCATGAAATGGGCTTGTGATGAGTAATCACGGGGAAGATGAAAGGTTGAACTTTTAAAATTGCAAAATTTTGTCTGATGGATAATGTTTATGTATTGTTCCTACACAATCTGAAAGAGCAATTTGCCACACAGTCAACATTTCCCATGCTGCAGCCTGTTGCTGGGAATCCAATATTTCTCCTCACACTTTTAGACTGGCTCTAAAAGGAGAACAATAATTTTGTGTGGATCATATCTCTTAAGCATTTTTGATCTATCCCTACCCCTTGTTATAAACTGAGTAGTTAAAGAAATATAAACTTGCAGAGATTTTACTCTCTGATTGAATTTCAAAAAAAGCCATTCTATTACAATTACATATTTTTTCTATGATCTGGCCTAAAAGTCCTGTTGGAGAATGAGGGGTAGAGAGAATAAAGGGAACCAAGGGCTTTTGTGGCTGTAGCCGGGAGGCATGTGTTTGCTGAAGAATCTGCTCTACAAGCTGTAACTCAGCTCCAGCCTCCTCAGACAAACCAGCAACTGGGTTGTCTCCTAAGCCCATTGCTCCTAATGAAGAATTTCCATGGAGTGCCTGAGTGTTTGAGTTGACGAGTAGCAATACCTAGGATTGGACACAGCCAATTTATATCTCCTAATAGTTGTTGGAAATCACTGAAGGTTTGTAATCTGTCCCTATGGAGGACTGCTTTCTGAGGTCGAACATTTGTTTCAGTAACAATAGTGCCTAAGTATTGGTATGGGGAGGTTGCTTCTACCTTTTGTTGAACTATTTTGAGATGTCCCCCTGTTTTGCTTCTCTCAACAATTGGTGTAATAGCTCTTCCATTGGAGCAGCCAAAAGAATTTCATCCATATAATGAATGATGTAGGCAGTAGGAAATATATTATGAGGCTCCTTTAAGGACTGACCTACAAAACGCTGAAATAGCGTAGGACCGGTGAGCATGCTTTGGGGTGAAACTTTGCTTATCCTTCTCATGTAAGGGTATAGTAAGGAAATAATCTTTGAGATCTACTACTGTAGGAGGTGAGTCACTTGGAATGGCTGCCAGGAATGGCAGACCTTGCTGTAATGCACCCATTGATTAAATCTGTGCATTAATCGCTCTCAAATCATGTAACAACTTGCTGGCAAATCGGTCTGTTTTTATATAGTAAAATTTTGCTGAAACCTTACACTTGTGTTGATACATATGTATATGTATATGTGTGTATATATCTCTATATGTGTGTATATATATACATATACACATGCACACACATATGTATGTGTGTACATATATGTATGTAATATGCACATATGTAATATGCACATATGTAATACCCAGAGTTTATGGATGTATACCTATACACTCTGGTATGTGTGTATAGATGGTATGTGTATATGTAGGTATATACGTATACACATACACATATGTATGTGTATATATATATATAACACGTGTATATATACACACATATATGCACACATACAGACACATATTTAAGTGAGTGTGTATATTTACATATATATGCATGCTCTGTCTATAAATGTGTTTATATATACACACACAAACATATATACATACACATATATACATATACACATATGTATACGGAGCCAAGATGGTTGAATAGGAACAGCTCCAGTCTACAGCTCCCAGCATGAGCCACACAGAAGACAGGGGATTTCTGCATTTCCAACTGAGGTACCGGATTCATCTCACTGGGGCGTGTCAGACCGTGGGTGCAGGACAGTGGGTGCAGTGCACCGAGGGTGAGCCAAAGCACAGCGAGGCATCACCTCACCCAGGGAGCACAAGGGGTCAGGGAATTCCCTTTCCTATTCAAAGAAAGGGCTGGCAGACAGCACCTGGAAAATCAGGTCACTCCCACATTAATACTGCGCTTCTCCAGTGGTCTTAGCAAACGGCACACCAGGAGATTATATCACACACCTGGCTTGGAAGGCCTACACCCACGGAGCCTCACTCTTTGCTAGCACAGCAGTCTGAGATCAAACTGCAAGGCGACAATGAGGCTGGGGAAGGGGAGCCCATCATTGCTGCCGCTTGAGTAGGTAAACAAAGTGGCCAGGAATTTCGAACTGGGTGGAGCCCACTGCAGCTCAAGGAGGCCTGCCTGCCTCTGTAGACTCCACCTGTGGGGGCAGGGCATAGCCAAACAAAAGGCAGCAGAAACCTATGCAGACTTAAATATCCCTGTCTGACAGCTTTGAAGAGAATAGTGGTTCTCCCAGCACGCAGCTTGAAATCTCAGAACGGACAGACTGCCTCTTCAAGTGGGTCCCTGAACCCCACATAGCCTAACTGGGAGGCACCCCCCAGTAGCTGCAGACTGACACCTCACACGGCTGGGTACTCCTCTGAGGCCAAACTTCCAGAGGAACAATCAGCCAGCAATAGTTGCTGTTCACCAGTATCTGCTGTTCTGCAGGCTCCGCTGCTGATACCTAGGGAAACAGGGTCTGGAGTGGACCTCCAGCAAACTCCAACAGACTTGCAGCTGAGAGTCCTGATTGTTAGAAGGAAAATTAACAAACAGAAAGGACATCCACACCAAAACCCCATCTGTATGTCACCGTCATCAAAGACCAAAGGTAGATAAAACCACAAAGATTGGGAAAAAACAGAGCAGAAAAACTGGAAACTCTAAAAATCAGAGCGCCTCTCCTCCTCCAAAGGAATGCAGCTCCTCACCAGCAACAGAACAAAGCTGGATGGAGCATGACTTTGACGACTTGAAAGAAGAAGGTTTCAGATGATCAAACTACTCCGAGCTAAAGGAGGAAGTTCGAACCCATGGCAAAGGTGCTGAAAACCTTGAAAAAAAAATTAGATGAATGGCTAACTAGAATAACCAAAGCAGAGAAGCCCTTAAAGGACCTGATGGAGCTGAAAACCATGGCACGAGAACTACGTGATGAACGCACAAGCCTCAGTAGCCGATTTGATCAACTGGAAGAAAGGGTATCAGTGACGGAAGATCAAGTGAATGAAATGTAGTGAGAAGAGAAGTTAAGAGAAAAAAGAATAAAAAGAAATGAACAAAGCCTCCAAAAAATATGGGACTATGTGAAAAGACCAAAGCGACATCTGATTGGTGTACCTGAAAGTGACGGGGAGAATGGATCTATTATCCGGGAGAACTTCCCAAATGTAGCGAGGCAGGCCAACACTCAGATTCAGGAAATACAGAGGAACGCCACAAAGATACACCTCAAGAAGAGCGACTCCAAGACACATAACTGTCAGGTTCACCAAAGTTGAAATGAAGGAAAAGATGTTAAGGGAAGCCAGAGAGAAGGTAGGGTCACCCACAAAGGGAAGCCCATCAGACTAACAGCTGATCACTTGGAGAAACTCTACAAGCCACAAGAGAGTGAGGGCCAATATTCAACATTCTTAAAGAAAGGAATTTTCAACCCAGAATTTCATATCCAGCCAAACTAAGCATCATAAGTGAAGGAGACATAAAATCCTTTACAGGCAAGCAAATGCTGAGAGATTTTGTCATCACCAGGCCTGCCCTAAAGGAGCTCCTGAAGGAAGAGCCAAACATGGAAAGGAACAACCGGTACCAGCCACTGCAAAGACATGCCAAATTGTAAAGACCATCGAGGCTAGGAAGAAGCTGCATCAACTAACTAGCAAAATAACCAGCTAACATCAAAGTGACAGAATCAAATTCACACATAACAATATTAACCTTAAATGTAAACGGGCTAAATGCTCCAATTAAAAGACACAGACTGGCAAATTGGATAAAGAGTCAAGACCCATCAGTGTGCTCTATTCAGGAAACCCATCTGACGTGCAGAGACACACATGGGCTTAGAATAAAGGGACGGAGGAAGATCTACCAAGCAAATGGAAGACAAAAAAAGGCAAGGGTTGCAATCCTAGTCTCCGATAAAACAGACTTTAAACCAACAAAGATCAAGAGGTCAAATCAACAAGAAGAGCTAACTATCCTAAATATATACGTACTCAATACAGGAGCACCCAGATTCATAAAGCAAGTCCTTAGAGACCTACAAAGAGACTTAGACTCCCACACAATGATAATGGGAGACTTTAATGCCCCACTGTCAACATTAGACAGATCAACGAGACAGAAAGTTAACAAGGATATGCAGGAAATGAAGTCAGCTCTGCACCAAGTGGACCTAATAGACATCTACAGAACTCTCCACCCCAAATCAACAGAATATACGTTCTTTTCAGCATCACACCACACCTATTCCAAAACTGACTCCATAGTTGGAAGTAAAGCACTCCACAGCAAATGTAAAAGAACAGAAATTATAACAAACTGTCTCTCAGACCACAGTGAAATCAAACTAGAACTCAGGATTAAGAAACTCACTCAAAACCGCTCAACTGCATGGAAACTGAACAACCTGCTCCTGAATGACTACTAGGTACATAACGAAATGAAGGCAGAAATAAAGATGTTCCTTGAAACCAACAAGAACTAAGATACAATATACCAGAATCTCTGGGACACGTTCAAAGCTGCATGTAGAGGGAAATGTGTAGCACTAAATGCCCACAGGAGAAAACAGGAAAGATCTAAAATTGACACCCTGACATGACAATTAAAAGAACTAGAGAAGCAAGACCAAACACATTCAAAAGCTAGCAGAAGGCAAGAAATAACTAAGATCAGAGCAGAACTGAAGGAAATAGAGACACAAAAGCCCCTTCAAAAAATCAATGAATCTAGGAGTTGGTTTTTTGAAAAGATCAACAAAATTGATAGACCGCTAGCAGTACTAACAAAGAAGAAAAAAGAAGAATCAAATAGACGCAATAAAAAATGACAAAAGGGATATCACCACCGACCCCACAGAAATACAAACTACCATCAGAGAATACTATAAACACCTCTACACAAATGAAGTAGAAAACCTAAAAGAAATGGATAAATTCCTCGACACATACACCCTCCCAAGACTAAACCGGGAAGAAGTTGGATCTCTGAATAGACAAGTAACAGGCTCTGAAATTCAGGCAATAAGTAATATTGCAAAAAAAAAGTCCAGGACCAGATGGATTCACATCCGAATTCTACCAGAGGTACAAGGAGGAGCTGGTACCATTCCTTCTGAAACGATTCCAATCAATAGAAGAAGAGGGAGCCCTCTCTAACTCATTTTATGAGGCCAGCATCATCCTGATACCAAAGCCTGGCAGAGACACAGCAAAAATAGAGAATTTTAGACCAAAATCCCTGATGAACATCAATGCAAGAATCGTCAATAAAATACTGGCAAACCGAATCCAGCAGCACATCTAAAAGCTTACCCACCGTGATCAAGTGGGCTTCATCCCTGGGATGCAAGGCTGGTTCAACATATGCAAATCAATAAACATAATCCAGCATATAAACAGAACCAATGACAAAAGCCACATGATTAACTCAATAGATGCAGAAAAGGCCTTCAACAAAGTTCAACAGCACTTCATGCTAAAAACTCTCAATAAATTAGGTATGGATGGGACGTATTTCAAAATAATAAGAGCTATCCATGACAAACGCACAGCCACTTCATACTGAATGGGCAGAAACTGGAAGCATTCCCTTTGAAAACTGGCACAAGACAGGGATGCCCTCTCTCACCATTCCTATTCAACCTAGTGTTGGAAGTTCTGTCCTGGGCAATCAGGCAGGAGAAGTAAACAAAGGGTATTCAATTAGTAAAATAGGAAGTCAAATTCTCCCTGTTTGCAGATGACATGATTGTATATTTAGAAAACCCCATCGTCTCAGTCTAAAATCTCCTTAAGCTTGTAAACAACTTCAGCAAAGTCTCAGGATACAAAATCAATGTGCAAAAAATCACAAACATTCTTATACACCAATAACAGACAAGCAGAGAGCTAAATCATGAGTGAACTCCCATTCACAATTGCTTCAAAGAGAATAGAATACCTAGGAATCCAACTTACAGGGGATGTGAAGGACCTCTTCAAGGAGAACTACAAACCACTGCTTAATGAAATAAAAGAGGTTACAAACAAATGGGAGAACATGCCATGCTCATGGATAGGAAGAATCAACATCGTGAAAATGGCCATACTGCCCAACGTAATTTATAGATTCAATGCCATCCCCATCAAGCTACCAATGACTTTCTTCACAGAATGGAAAAGCTCATATGGAACCAAAAAAGAGCCCACATTGCCAAGTCATTCCTAAGTCAAAAGAACAAAGCTGGAGGCATCACACTACCTGACTTCAAACTATGCTACAAGGCTACAACCAATGGAAGAGAACCAGGCACTCAGAAATAATGCCACATATCCACAACTATCTGATCTTTGGCAAACCAGACAAAAACAAGAAATGGGGAAAGGAATCCCTATTTAATAAATGGTGCTGGGAAAACTGGTTAGCCATATGTAGAAAGCTGTAGCTGGAGCCCTTCCTTACACCTTATACAAAAATTAATTCAAGATGCATTGGGGACTTACATGTTAGACCTAAAACCATAAAAACCCTAGAAGAAAACCTAGGCAATACCATTCAGGACATAGGCATGGGCAAGGACTTCATGTCTAAAACGCCAAACACAATGACAACAAAAGCCAAAATTGACAAATGGGATCTAACTAAACTAAAGAGCTTCTGCACAGCAAAAGAAACTACCATCAGAGTCAACAGGTAACCTACAGAATGGGAGAAAATTTTTGCAATCTACCCATCTGACAAAGGGCTAATATCCAGAATCTACAAAGAACTTAAACAAATTTACAAGAAAAAAACAAACAACCCCATCCAAAAGTGGGCAAAGGATATGAACAGACATTTCTCAAAAGAACACATTCATGCAGCCAAAAAACACATGAAAAAATGCTCATCATCACTGGCCGTCAGAGAAATGCAAATCAAAACCACAATGAGACACCATCTCACACCAGTTAGAATGGTGATCATGAAAAAGTCAGGAAACAACAGGTGCTGGAGAGGATGTGGAGAAACAGGAACACTTTTACACTCTTGGTGGGACTGTAAACTAGTTCAGCCATTGTGCAAGTCCGTGTGGCGATTCCTCGGGGATCTAGAACTAGAAATCCCATTTGACCCAGCCATCCCATTACTGGGTATATACCCAAAGGATTACAAATCATGCTGCTATAAAGACACAAGCACACGTATATTTATCACGGCACAATTCACAATAGCAAAGACTTGGAACCAACCTAAATGTCTAAAAACGACAGACTGGATTAAGAAAATGTGGCACATATACACTATGGAAACTAGGCAGCCATAAAAAATGATGAGTTCATGTCCTTTGTAGGGACATGGATCAAACTGGAAACCATCATTCTCAGCAAACTATGGCAAGAACAAAAAACCAAACACCGCAAGTTCTCACTCATAGGTGGGAACTGAACACTGAGAACACGTGGACACAGGAAGGGGAACATCACACTCCAGGGACTGTTCTGGGGTGGGGGAAGGGGTGAGGGATAGCGTTAGGAGCTATACCTAATGCTAAATGATGAGTTAATGGGTGCAGCACACCAGCATGGCGCATGTGTACATATGTAACAAACCTGCACGTTGTGCACATGTACCCTAAAATGTAAAGTACAATTTAAAAAAAGAAAAAAGTATGCTTCCATCGTTTTGTTTTGAGCCTATGTGTGCCTTTGCACGTCAGATGTGTCTCCTGAATAAAGCACACTTGGTGTATTTATATTTAAGATTAATATTGTTACGTGTCAATTTGACCATGGTATGGTGATGCTAGCTGGTTCTTTTGCATATTCTTGATGCAGTTTCTTCATAGTGTTGTTGGACTTTTTATTTGTTATTTTTTGCAGTAGCTGTTACCAGATGTCCCCTTACATATTTAATATTCCCTTTAGGAACTCTTGTAAGGCACTCATGGTGGTGACAAAATGTTTGTACACTTAACTTGTCTGAAAATTATTTTATTTCTCCTTTGGCCATAAAGCTTAGTTTGGATGCCTATAAAATTCTGGTCTGAAAATTCTTTCCTTTAAGATCGGTGAATATTTGCCGCCTCTCTCTTGTGGCTTGTAGGGTTTCTGCAGAATTATCTGCTGTTAGTCTAATGGGCTTCCCTTTGTAGGTAACCTGATCTTTCTCTTGGGCTGCTGTAAACATTTTTTTTTTCCTTTTTTTCTGCCTTGGAGAATCTGCCAGTTATGTGTCTTGGGGGTTGTCTTCTCATGAAGTATCTCAGTGGTGTCCTCTATATTTCCCGAAAGTGTACGTTGGCCTGTCTTTGTAGGTTGGCCTACATAACATCTGTCTACGTAGGCCTGTCTATGTAGGCCTGCATAACATCCTGAAGTTTGTTTTTCAAGTTGGTTCAATTGTCCTCATCACTTTTGGGTACACAAATCAATCACAGGTTTGGTCTTCTCACGTAATCCCGTATTTCTGGGAGGCTTTGTTGCTTCCTTTTCATACTTTGTTCTCTAATCTTGTCTTCATGCTTTATTTCATTGTCTTTAATCTGTGATATCCTTCCTTCTGCTTGATCAATTCAGCTATTGATCCTTGGGTATGCTGTGCAAAGTTCTTGCACTGTGTTTTTTAGCTACATCAGGACATTTATGTTTTCCTCTAAACTAGTTATAATCATAATTATTACTATTTTTGAGACGGAGTCTCACTCTGTCACCAGCCTGAAGTGCAGTGGTGTCAACTCAGCTCACTTCAACCTCCACCTCCCGTGGATTCAGCTGCTCTTAGCTGAGACTACATAGCGGGCCATCTTGGCACCCTAAAGTGAAGCCTGAGCTGTCCAACCATGGAGTAAATGTAGAGAGCCTAATCGACATAGTATAGTTGCTTCTTCACACAACTCTTTCTACACCACAGGCCACAAACTGGAAGAGGCTCATTCACACCCCAGGTCTGCTGAAGCACTGGAGGCAGAATGCAGTGACTATGTAGAGAGTCAACTGAAAGAAAGATGACACAGCAGCTGCTTCAATACCATCTCTTTCTTTCTAGCTTCCCAAAAGTTTCGGGCTCAAAATATTGTTGACAAAAGACAAGACAAAAATTGGAAGACATAGTATTTCATTCAGTGGAGAGGCTATGACAAACAGGGTGACACATGGCAACCGGAACAGAACTTCGTAAACTGTAAGAAATATTATGACTTTAACAGATGATAGAAAAACAGAGACAAAGGACACGGGACTGGGTGTGATGGCTGACGCCTATAATCACAGAACATTTGGAGATTGAGGCAGGCAGATTATGTGGTCATGAATTCCAGATCAGCCTGAACAACATGGTGAAACCACATCTCTACTAAAAATACAAAAATTAGCTGAGCATGGTGGCATGCATCTGTACTCCCAGCTACTCAGGAGGCTGAGGCAGGAGAATCCCTTGAATTCAGGAGGTGGAGATTGCAGTGAGCTGAGATGGCACCACTGAACTCCAGCATGAGTGACAGAGTGGGACCCCATCTAAAAAAAAAAAAAAAAAAGACGTGGACGAGAATGAGCAGAAGTTTTTCAAACAATACCAGAAAAGGAACGTTTGGATCTACCTTCACCAACTTTTCTAAGTACGTTTCTAAAATGCTAATGACTCGCAAACACCACACATCCAAACACAGCCAGATGTATGCTGCTGGCCACAACATTAGGATGAATGCAGCTTTACCTTTCTTTGACCCAAAAATATGAAGCTAGGAAGTTAACCTCTCAAGACACTTGCACTTCAGAGCCCATTTAACAGCAAGAACTCAGTGAGTGGCTTTCTGGAACTCTGGAAACTGGACCCTATTGTGTCACATCAGCTGGACATGGTGGTGCACAAGATGGCAGCAGAGAAGCATATCAGAGATTTATCAGATTCCAGTGCAGAAGAGGCTGGAAGTAAGGATAGGTCCCACATACACCCACTAATGTCTCTGGTGTCTGGCTCGATTAACACTTCCATGGTTACAGGCTCAGCTAACAAGGAAGGTACATTGGCATTAACGAATTCATTAACAGCCAATGGGACAAAAAACATTCATATAGCTGTTTGAAGAGGGAGAGATGGGAAAATAAAGATTATTGATGATTGAAAAAAACAGCCTTTTATCAAAAGGATGTACTTTACACTAAGGTTAACAGAAAATGCCAGCAGATTCAGAGACATTGTGGTGAGGAAAGAGAGCTTCATTACCCAAAAATTACTATCAACTAGATTGACAGAGAATACCTCACTAAATACAGAGGGGATGAAAGAAATTGAGAATGCCCTGAATAGGGTTGCTGTGGATGACAGGAAATTTGTGCTCCTTGCTCAGTGCAGCCGGCAGTGTCCTTTGCTGTGGTCTTGATTTTGTGTGCATTTAAGAAATGACAGGAAGAGATCAAGCATTGAAATGGGGGACACCACAAAGACCTGGTACATAGTTTTATTCAGTTTAAGAAATCTATTTTTGCATCAGGCAGTAGCATGGTAATTTGACTAGGTGCGTCCATATTGCCTCTTTGTGATTTGCTTTGGGGCTAACAGAAAGGCTTGGCTTGAAACTTCTTTTACGACATTTGGACAGAGTTCAGGTGGCTGTTCTATCATTACATTTCCCAAGATGCTGGGTGGAGCATCAGCCAGTGAAATGTGGTTTGGTGGGAGAAAGCTGACAGCACTGGATGCATGTGCCAAGGGCCTGGTCTCTTAAGTGTCTTGGACTGAAAATTTCACACAAGAGGTTATGATCCAAATTAAAGAGCTTTCCTCTTGTAATCCAGTTGTTCTGGAGAAAGGTAAGGCCTTTGTTCGCTGTAAAATTAAAATGATGTTGGAACAGGCCAAGGAGAGAGTGTGAAATGCTGAAAAAAAGTCTGAGCCTCAGCGCAAGGGATAGAATCCATGGTCAACTATGTACAAAGAAAAATTGATGAGTTCTAATAGTCTGTCTGCTCAGGACCCAAGACCTGAGCTAAGCAGAATACATCATTAGCTGCAAGATGCCCTAATGCATGTTCATAGCCCAAAACAATTTCAACCATAGATAAGGCTTGAAAGGAGACTGAAAATATCCAAGGTACTTATTTAATATTATCAATTCACTTCAAGCACTGTAACTGTAAAATAAATAATGAAACAGCTTTTCTGTCCAAATGTCATTACTTTATGCACAAGCCCAAATATAAGAGCAGACAGATGAGCATCAGATTGTTCTTGCAAGCTCTAATTTTTTTTCCTTTTTCTGAGACAGCATCTCACTCTGTCACCCAAGCTAGAATGCAGTGGCATAGTCTCCGCTCTTTGCAACCTCCGACTCTCGGGTTAACGCCGTTCTCCTGCCTTAGCCTCCCAAGTAGCTGGGACAACTGGCGCTTGCCACCATGCCCAGCCATTTTTTTTCTATTCTTACCAGAGACGATATTTCACCATGTTAGCTAAAATGATCTCAATCTCCTGACCTCGTGATTCACCTGCCTCAGCCCCCCCAAAGTGCTGGGATTACAGGTTTTGCCACCGCGCCTGGAAGAGCTCTAATTTTTATCTATAGCTACTACTATATAAAAGACCAGAATTGTTTTTTGTTAGATTTGGATGACTGAAAGTCTGTAATAGTGTTTATTATTATTATTATTTAATTTTAAGTATCCTAGAATGCAGAGTCTAATGGGGCATAAGGCGGTTTCTGCTGCCCTCCCCTAAACAGAGACACAAAAACAACTGAGATGGTGATTTGAATTTACCAAGTCACAAATATCTCAGAGACACAAAATTCTAAACTGAACATATGGTTAGAATTTTTGCTGAGATATCAGTTGATTTGTATTTTGTTTTTTGCATAAGGCTCTAGATCTTACACTGTTAACATGAATAAAGAGCTACCTCTTTAAAGGAAACCTTGAGCAGGATTAGTCAATCATGGAATCATTTAGGTAGAAATATCTAAGTTTTTATGGTCATAAAGTGTGCTTTTTAGATTAACTTAGATTATATTCTATTTAATAAGCTAAAATTCTTTACACATGATTAAATGCAGAAACTTGCTTCAAAACAAAGGAAAAACACGTACATATTCTTAGACGTTTAAAATGATTAATGTCTGGTTTTATATGCACACAATTGTCTAGGATAATCTATAAGTTCAGATTTCCAGAAGCTCTCTGGTGACAGAGTGAGACTCCGTCTCAAAAATAGTAATAATTATGATTATAACTAGTTTAGAGGAAAACATAAATGTCCTGATGTAGCTAAAAAACACAGTGCAAGAACTTTGCACAGCATACCCAAGGATCAATAGCTGAATTGATCAAGCAGAAGGAAGGATATCACAGATTAAAGACAATGAAATAAAGCATGAAGACAAGATTAGAGAACAAAGTATGAAAAGGAAGCAACAAAGCCTCCCAGAAATACGGGATTACGTGAGAAGACCAAACCTGTGATTGATTTGTGTACCCAAAAGTGATGAGGACAATTGAACCAACTTGAAAAACAAACTTCAGGATGTTATGCAGGCCTACATAGACAGGCCTACGTAGACAGATGTTATGTAGGCCAACCTACAAAGACAGGCCAACGTACACTTTCGGGAAATATAGAGGACACCACTGAGATACTTCATGAGAAGACAACCCCCAAGACACATAACTGGCAGATTCTCCAAGGCAGAAAAAAAGGAAAAAAAAAATGTTTACAGCAGCCCAAGAGAAAGATCAGGTTACCTACAAAGGGAAGCCCATTAGACTAACAGCAGATAATTCTGCAGAAACCCTACAAGCCACAAGAGAGAGGCGGCAAATATTCACCGATCTTAAAGGAAAGAATTTTCAGACCAGAATTTTATAGGCATCCAAACTAAGCTTTATGGCCAAAGGAGAAATAAAATAATTTTCAGACAAGTTAAGTGTACAAACATTTTGTCACCACCATGAGTGCCTTACAAGAGTTCCTAAAGGGAATATTAAATATGTAAGGGGACATCTGGTAACAGCTACTGCAAAAAATAACAAATAAAAAGTCCAACAACACTATGAAGAAACTGCATCAAGAATATGCAAAAGAACCAGCTAGCATCACCATACCATGGTCAAATTGACACGTAACAATATTAATCTTAAATATAAATACACCAAGTGTGCTTTATTCAGGAGACACATCTGACGTGCAAAGGCACACATAGGCTCAAAACAAAACGATGGAAGCATACTTTTTTCTTTTTTTAAATTGTACTTTACATTTTAGGGTACATGTGCACAACGTGCAGGTTTGTTACATATGTACACATGCGCCATGCTGGTGTGCTGCACCCATTAACTCATCATTTAGCATTAGGTATAGCTCCTAACGCTATCCCTCACCCCTTCCCCCACCCCAGAACAGTCCCTGGAGTGTGATGTTCCCCTTCCTGTGTCCACGTGTTCTCAGTGTTCAGTTCCCACCTATGAGTGAGAACTTGCGGTGTTTGGTTTTTTGTTCTTGCCATAGTTTGCTGAGAATGATGGTTTCCAGTTTGATCCATGTCCCTACAAAGGACATGAACTCATCATTTTTTATGGCTGCCTAGTTTCCATAGTGTATATGTGCCACATTTTCTTAATCCAGTCTGTCGTTTTTAGACATTTAGGTTGGTTCCAAGTCTTTGCTATTGTGAATTGTGCCGTGATAAATATACGTGTGCTTGTGTCTTTATAGCAGCATGATTTGTAATCCTTTGGGTATATACCCAGTAATGGGATGGCTGGGTCAAATGGGATTTCTAGTTCTAGATCCCCGAGGAATCGCCACACGGACTTGCACAATGGCTGAACTAGTTTACAGTCCCACCAAGAGTGTAAAAGTGTTCCTGTTTCTCCACATCCTCTCCAGCACCTGTTGTTTCCTGACTTTTTCATGATCACCATTCTAACTGGTGTGAGATGGTGTCTCATTGTGGTTTTGATTTGCATTTCTCTGACGGCCAGTGATGATGAGCATTTTTTCATGTGTTTTTTGGCTGCATGAATGTGTTCTTTTGAGAAATGTCTGTTCATATCCTTTGCCCACTTTTGGATGGGGTTGTTTGTTTTTTTCTTGTAAATTTGTTTAAGTTCTTTGTAGATTCTGGATATTAGCCCTTTGTCAGATGGGTAGATTGCAAAAATTTTCTCCCATTCTGTAGGTTACCTGTTGACTCTGATGGTAGTTTCTTTTGCTGTGCAGAAGCTCTTTAGTTTAGTTAGATCCCATTTGTCAATTTTGGCTTTTGTTGTCATTGTGTTTGGCGTTTTAGACATGAAGTCCTTGCCCATGCCTATGTCCTGAATGGTATTGCCTAGGTTTTCTTCTAGGGTTTTTATGGTTTTAGGTCTAACATGTAAGTCCCCAATGCA
Organism: Homo sapiens; assembly: GCF_000001405.40. Classification (NCBI taxonomy): domain Eukaryota; kingdom Metazoa; phylum Chordata; class Mammalia; order Primates; family Hominidae; genus Homo; species Homo sapiens. Next base: position 17,956,926 of record NC_000024.10, read on the forward strand.
TCTTGAATTAATTTTTGTATAAGGTGTAAGGAAGGGCTCCAGCTACAGCTTTCTACATATGGCTAACCAGTTTTCCCAGCACCATTTATTAAATAGGGATTCCTTTCCCCATTTCTTGTTTTTGTCTGGTTTGCCAAAGATCAGATAGTTGTGGATATGTGGCATTATTTCTGAGTGCCTGGTTCTCTTCCATTGGTTGTAGCCTTGTAGCATAGTTTGAAGTCAGGTAGTGTGATGCCTCCAGCTTTGTTCTTTTGACTTAGGAATGACTTGGCAATGTGGGCTCTTTTTTGGTTCCATATGAGCTTTTCCATTCTGTGAAGAAAGTCATTGGTAGCTTGATGGGGATGGCATTGAATCTATAAATTACGTTGGGCAGTATGGCCATTTTCACGATGTTGATTCTTCCTATCCATGAGCATGGCATGTTCTCCCATTTGTTTGTAACCTCTTTTATTTCATTAAGCAGTGGTTTGTAGTTCTCCTTGAAGAGGTCCTTCACATCCCCTGTAAGTTGGATTCCTAGGTATTCTATTCTCTTTGAAGCAATTGTGAATGGGAGTTCACTCATGATTTAGCTCTCTGCTTGTCTGTTATTGGTGTATAAGAATGTTTGTGATTTTTTGCACATTGATTTTGTATCCTGAGACTTTGCTGAAGTTGTTTACAAGCTTAAGGAGATTTTAGACTGAGACGATGGGGTTTTCTAAATATACAATCATGTCATCTGCAAACAGGGAGAATTTGACTTCCTATTTTACTAATTGAATACCCTTTGTTTACTTCTCCTGCCTGATTGCCCAGGACAGAACTTCCAACACTAGGTTGAATAGGAATGGTGAGAGAGGGCATCCCTGTCTTGTGCCAGTTTTCAAAGGGAATGCTTCCAGTTTCTGCCCATTCAGTATGAAGTGGCTGTGCGTTTGTCATGGATAGCTCTTATTATTTTGAAATACGTCCCATCCATACCTAATTTATTGAGAGTTTTTAGCATGAAGTGCTGTTGAACTTTGTTGAAGGCCTTTTCTGCATCTATTGAGTTAATCATGTGGCTTTTGTCATTGGTTCTGTTTATATGCTGGATTATGTTTATTGATTTGCATATGTTGAACCAGCCTTGCATCCCAGGGATGAAGCCCACTTGATCACGGTGGGTAAGCTTTTAGATGTGCTGCTGGATTCGGTTTGCCAGTATTTTATTGACGATTCTTGCATTGATGTTCATCAGGGATTTTGGTCTAAAATTCTCTATTTTTGCTGTGTCTCTGCCAGGCTTTGGTATCAGGATGATGCTGGCCTCATAAAATGAGTTAGAGAGGGCTCCCTCTTCTTCTATTGATTGGAATCGTTTCAGAAGGAATGGTACCAGCTCCTCCTTGTACCTCTGGTAGAATTCGGATGTGAATCCATCTGGTCCTGGACTTTTTTTTTGCAATATTACTTATTGCCTGAATTTCAGAGCCTGTTACTTGTCTATTCAGAGATCCAACTTCTTCCCGGTTTAGTCTTGGGAGGGTGTATGTGTCGAGGAATTTATCCATTTCTTTTAGGTTTTCTACTTCATTTGTGTAGAGGTGTTTATAGTATTCTCTGATGGTAGTTTGTATTTCTGTGGGGTCGGTGGTGATATCCCTTTTGTCATTTTTTATTGCGTCTATTTGATTCTTCTTTTTTCTTCTTTGTTAGTACTGCTAGCGGTCTATCAATTTTGTTGATCTTTTCAAAAAACCAACTCCTAGATTCATTGATTTTTTGAAGGGGCTTTTGTGTCTCTATTTCCTTCAGTTCTGCTCTGATCTTAGTTATTTCTTGCCTTCTGCTAGCTTTTGAATGTGTTTGGTCTTGCTTCTCTAGTTCTTTTAATTGTCATGTCAGGGTGTCAATTTTAGATCTTTCCTGTTTTCTCCTGTGGGCATTTAGTGCTACACATTTCCCTCTACATGCAGCTTTGAACGTGTCCCAGAGATTCTGGTATATTGTATCTTAGTTCTTGTTGGTTTCAAGGAACATCTTTATTTCTGCCTTCATTTCGTTATGTACCTAGTAGTCATTCAGGAGCAGGTTGTTCAGTTTCCATGCAGTTGAGCGGTTTTGAGTGAGTTTCTTAATCCTGAGTTCTAGTTTGATTTCACTGTGGTCTGAGAGACAGTTTGTTATAATTTCTGTTCTTTTACATTTGCTGTGGAGTGCTTTACTTCCAACTATGGAGTCAGTTTTGGAATAGGTGTGGTGTGATGCTGAAAAGAACGTATATTCTGTTGATTTGGGGTGGAGAGTTCTGTAGATGTCTATTAGGTCCACTTGGTGCAGAGCTGACTTCATTTCCTGCATATCCTTGTTAACTTTCTGTCTCGTTGATCTGTCTAATGTTGACAGTGGGGCATTAAAGTCTCCCATTATCATTGTGTGGGAGTCTAAGTCTCTTTGTAGGTCTCTAAGGACTTGCTTTATGAATCTGGGTGCTCCTGTATTGAGTACGTATATATTTAGGATAGTTAGCTCTTCTTGTTGATTTGACCTCTTGATCTTTGTTGGTTTAAAGTCTGTTTTATCGGAGACTAGGATTGCAACCCTTGCCTTTTTTTGTCTTCCATTTGCTTGGTAGATCTTCCTCCGTCCCTTTATTCTAAGCCCATGTGTGTCTCTGCACGTCAGATGGGTTTCCTGAATAGAGCACACTGATGGGTCTTGACTCTTTATCCAATTTGCCAGTCTGTGTCTTTTAATTGGAGCATTTAGCCCGTTTACATTTAAGGTTAATATTGTTATGTGTGAATTTGATTCTGTCACTTTGATGTTAGCTGGTTATTTTGCTAGTTAGTTGATGCAGCTTCTTCCTAGCCTCGATGGTCTTTACAATTTGGCATGTCTTTGCAGTGGCTGGTACCGGTTGTTCCTTTCCATGTTTGGCTCTTCCTTCAGGAGCTCCTTTAGGGCAGGCCTGGTGATGACAAAATCTCTCAGCATTTGCTTGCCTGTAAAGGATTTTATGTCTCCTTCACTTATGATGCTTAGTTTGGCTGGATATGAAATTCTGGGTTGAAAATTCCTTTCTTTAAGAATGTTGAATATTGGCCCTCACTCTCTTGTGGCTTGTAGAGTTTCTCCAAGTGATCAGCTGTTAGTCTGATGGGCTTCCCTTTGTGGGTGACCCTACCTTCTCTCTGGCTTCCCTTAACATCTTTTCCTTCATTTCAACTTTGGTGAACCTGACAGTTATGTGTCTTGGAGTCGCTCTTCTTGAGGTGTATCTTTGTGGCGTTCCTCTGTATTTCCTGAATCTGAGTGTTGGCCTGCCTCGCTACATTTGGGAAGTTCTCCCGGATAATAGATCCATTCTCCCCGTCACTTTCAGGTACACCAATCAGATGTCGCTTTGGTCTTTTCACATAGTCCCATATTTTTTGGAGGCTTTGTTCATTTCTTTTTATTCTTTTTTCTCTTAACTTCTCTTCTCACTACATTTCATTCACTTGATCTTCCGTCACTGATACCCTTTCTTCCAGTTGATCAAATCGGCTACTGAGGCTTGTGCGTTCATCACGTAGTTCTCGTGCCATGGTTTTCAGCTCCATCAGGTCCTTTAAGGGCTTCTCTGCTTTGGTTATTCTAGTTAGCCATTCATCTAATTTTTTTTTCAAGGTTTTCAGCACCTTTGCCATGGGTTCGAACTTCCTCCTTTAGCTCGGAGTAGTTTGATCATCTGAAACCTTCTTCTTTCAAGTCGTCAAAGTCATGCTCCATCCAGCTTTGTTCTGTTGCTGGTGAGGAGCTGCATTCCTTTGGAGGAGGAGAGGCGCTCTGATTTTTAGAGTTTCCAGTTTTTCTGCTCTGTTTTTTCCCAATCTTTGTGGTTTTATCTACCTTTGGTCTTTGATGACGGTGACATACAGATGGGGTTTTGGTGTGGATGTCCTTTCTGTTTGTTAATTTTCCTTCTAACAATCAGGACTCTCAGCTGCAAGTCTGTTGGAGTTTGCTGGAGGTCCACTCCAGACCCTGTTTCCCTAGGTATCAGCAGCGGAGCCTGCAGAACAGCAGATACTGGTGAACAGCAACTATTGCTGGCTGATTGTTCCTCTGGAAGTTTGGCCTCAGAGGAGTACCCAGCCGTGTGAGGTGTCAGTCTGCAGCTACTGGGGGGTGCCTCCCAGTTAGGCTATGTGGGGTTCAGGGACCCACTTGAAGAGGCAGTCTGTCCGTTCTGAGATTTCAAGCTGCGTGCTGGGAGAACCACTATTCTCTTCAAAGCTGTCAGACAGGGATATTTAAGTCTGCATAGGTTTCTGCTGCCTTTTGTTTGGCTATGCCCTGCCCCCACAGGTGGAGTCTACAGAGGCAGGCAGGCCTCCTTGAGCTGCAGTGGGCTCCACCCAGTTCGAAATTCCTGGCCACTTTGTTTACCTACTCAAGCGGCAGCAATGATGGGCTCCCCTTCCCCAGCCTCATTGTCGCCTTGCAGTTTGATCTCAGACTGCTGTGCTAGCAAAGAGTGAGGCTCCGTGGGTGTAGGCCTTCCAAGCCAGGTGTGTGATATAATCTCCTGGTGTGCCGTTTGCTAAGACCACTGGAGAAGCGCAGTATTAATGTGGGAGTGACCTGATTTTCCAGGTGCTGTCTGCCAGCCCTTTCTTTGAATAGGAAAGGGAATTCCCTGACCCCTTGTGCTCCCTGGGTGAGGTGATGCCTCGCTGTGCTTTGGCTCACCCTCGGTGCACTGCACCCACTGTCCTGCACCCACGGTCTGACACGCCCCAGTGAGATGAATCCGGTACCTCAGTTGGAAATGCAGAAATCCCCTGTCTTCTGTGTGGCTCATGCTGGGAGCTGTAGACTGGAGCTGTTCCTATTCAACCATCTTGGCTCCGTATACATATGTGTATATGTATATATGTGTATGTATATATGTTTGTGTGTGTATATATAAACACATTTATAGACAGAGCATGCATATATATGTAAATATACACACTCACTTAAATATGTGTCTGTATGTGTGCATATATGTGTGTATATATACACGTGTTATATATATATATACACATACATATGTGTATGTGTATACGTATATACCTACATATACACATACCATCTATACACACATACCAGAGTGTATAGGTATACATCCATAAACTCTGGGTATTACATATGTGCATATTACATATGTGCATATTACATACATATATGTACACACATACATATGTGTGTGCATGTGTATATGTATATATATACACACATATAGAGATATATACACACATATACATATACATATGTATCAACACAAGTGTAAGGTTTCAGCAAAATTTTACTATATAAAAACAGACCGATTTGCCAGCAAGTTGTTACATGATTTGAGAGCGATTAATGCACAGATTTAATCAATGGGTGCATTACAGCAAGGTCTGCCATTCCTGGCAGCCATTCCAAGTGACTCACCTCCTACAGTAGTAGATCTCAAAGATTATTTCCTTACTATACCCTTACATGAGAAGGATAAGCAAAGTTTCACCCCAAAGCATGCTCACCGGTCCTACGCTATTTCAGCGTTTTGTAGGTCAGTCCTTAAAGGAGCCTCATAATATATTTCCTACTGCCTACATCATTCATTATATGGATGAAATTCTTTTGGCTGCTCCAATGGAAGAGCTATTACACCAATTGTTGAGAGAAGCAAAACAGGGGGACATCTCAAAATAGTTCAACAAAAGGTAGAAGCAACCTCCCCATACCAATACTTAGGCACTATTGTTACTGAAACAAATGTTCGACCTCAGAAAGCAGTCCTCCATAGGGACAGATTACAAACCTTCAGTGATTTCCAACAACTATTAGGAGATATAAATTGGCTGTGTCCAATCCTAGGTATTGCTACTCGTCAACTCAAACACTCAGGCACTCCATGGAAATTCTTCATTAGGAGCAATGGGCTTAGGAGACAACCCAGTTGCTGGTTTGTCTGAGGAGGCTGGAGCTGAGTTACAGCTTGTAGAGCAGATTCTTCAGCAAACACATGCCTCCCGGCTACAGCCACAAAAGCCCTTGGTTCCCTTTATTCTCTCTACCCCTCATTCTCCAACAGGACTTTTAGGCCAGATCATAGAAAAAATATGTAATTGTAATAGAATGGCTTTTTTTGAAATTCAATCAGAGAGTAAAATCTCTGCAAGTTTATATTTCTTTAACTACTCAGTTTATAACAAGGGGTAGGGATAGATCAAAAATGCTTAAGAGATATGATCCACACAAAATTATTGTTCTCCTTTTAGAGCCAGTCTAAAAGTGTGAGGAGAAATATTGGATTCCCAGCAACAGGCTGCAGCATGGGAAATGTTGACTGTGTGGCAAATTGCTCTTTCAGATTGTGTAGGAACAATACATAAACATTATCCATCAGACAAAATTTTGCAATTTTAAAAGTTCAACCTTTCATCTTCCCCGTGATTACTCATCACAAGCCCATTTCATGCAGCCAGACCTACTTACTGATGGCTCTTCCAAAGGTCGCAAAGTTACTTATGGTACTAAGCATGCTCAAACAATAAAAAACCCCGGAGTTTCAGATCAACGCTCAGAACTAATGGCAGTTATGCAGGTTTTACAGCTCACTGGTTCATCTCTTATTAACACTCTCTGTGATTCAGCCTATGTTGTAAATGTAGCCGGTCATATTGGGACGGCCACTATTATTAAAAGCACCCTGGAACCAGAGCAGTTTAACTTGTTTCTAAGACTTTAAGAAGCTGTTTGCTCTTGTGCTGCTTTTTATATTTCTTATATTTGCTCTCCCACACAACTACCTACACCACTATATCTAGGTAATAATAGAGCCAATAAATTGGTTTGTTCTGCATTTCAACAAGCTCAACCTTCTCATATATTACTGCATCAAAACTCTGCCTCTACTCGTATGTTTCATTTGCCTAACAGCCAGGCTGCAGCCCGTACAAGCCTGTCCTGCTTGCCAGCATGTCACTGGAGTCACACTCATAGAAGGCTGTAACCCATGAGACTTAGCTTCAAATGAAATCTGACAGATGGATGTTACTCACAAAGCTGCCATTGGTAAGTTCTCCTTTGTTCGTGTGACTACAGACACGTATTCTCATATGCGGCATGCTACATGCAAACCAGGTCACACAGCTGGTTATGTGTAATGACATTGTCTGTCGTCATTTGCTCATATGGGGGGTCCCTAAACAATTAAAAACTGACAATGGACAAGCTTATGCTAGTCATGCTTTTTAAAATTTTTTACAGCTATGGTCAATCACTCATAAAACAGGAATTCCTTACAAACCCCAAAGACAAGGAATTATAGAGCGGGCAAATCAAACATTACAAGCTGTGCTGAAAAAAACCGAAAGAGGAAACAAGAGATCAGTTACCACCTCAAACAAAATACATTTACTTTTACTTTAATTTATTTTTTTACTTATTTACTTTAATTTTTTTGACTCCTGGCACAGATAGTAAGACTATGGCAGAACGACACTGGTAAATGTTATAGGGAAAAAGTAAAGTATGCCCCAAAATATTATGAAAATCCCCCTAAGGACGATGGAAATGCTCAGGAGATTTACTGATGTAAGGATGAGGGTATGCTTGTGTTTTTACAGGAGATGGATAATCTGTGTGTTTGTGACCATGTAAAGGGAGACTGGAGAGAGCCATGGATCCCAACTATGAATCCAACTCCTCCATTACAAGCCATGAGTCAGTTGAAATTGCTGGAGCACCAGGGTCAGGCAAACACCCCTGACATCACGTTGATGGCCATGCTACCCATAACATCCTGTGCAGTAGGTTTCCCTTGTGCAGAGAGACAAAAACATATTGGGCATATATTCCCAATCCCCCAGTATTACGGAGTGTAATTTGGAGTGACACTCCCCCTGACATCTATCATGATCATGAAGCAGGGGCACCAGGACCCCTAACACCCCCTGACAAACAGTTATTAGACTCTCAGAACAATGATTATCAATTATGCTGCTCCATTGGAGGGACTTCCTTCATGAGTCACCCAGGGTACATCACTCAACTGCAGTGGCCTTGCAAATTAATCCCAAGTATGGCTGAGTTACCATGGAAAAAAATATGTACCTATTAGGCCTTAGCTCTATTAACATTACTGGTGTAGCTACTAATCACTCCCAGCCCCATCTCCCAAATCGTATTAATTATACAGAATGGGCTCCCTTTGATAATTCTTACCCCCCTCCTTGGACCCAGTGTCTTGGTCCCCTAGCTAGACAAGAGTACATGCTAATGGGAGACATTATTTTCTAGGTGCCTGTGGTCACTTAGATGGGAGAGATGAGAATCCGACCTCATGGCATAAACTTCGCTGACACTGGTCAGCATCTCTTCACTACATTGCGCTGGGATTCAGTCCCAACCTGCAGCAAGTTTCACTTGGCATGGAACAGGTTTTAACTCAACTTTGCCTCAATGGCATTACCAAGGAAAGAGAGGTCCAACTCAGGAGTCGATAGGGAAGGCAGCACTCCACTATATGAATGGCAGCATTTGTGTCGGAACACTATCTAATTATAGTAATTGTGCTGAACACAGTTTTAATGTTACCATTGTAGAAAACACTACCACTCAATTTACAATTTGTGTTTTTGAACTTATGTTTTTCTGGCAGCAAAAAGGACCAACTCCAGGTAAACGATGCCCGACTGACTTGTGATTCCTGTTAACTGTATTATTCCCTTAATCATAGCACAGTACAAACATACAGCATATCCACCCTAGTAATTCTAGGTCACAATCCCGGATTATGGATTCCTGTAAATCTGCCTGAGCCTTGGGTGGTCACCTCTGGTTTCCATTTTGTAAACTTTTTTCTTAGTCAGCTTATTCATTGTGCTTGTAGAGCCTTAGGCATGAAAATTTTTGTGAAAGTCTCCTTAGGTACATTAATAACTTCTGTTGTGGTGTCCTTAGTAGCAATGTACAGCTCCATTCAAATCACAGCTCAATATGTAGAAAATTGGATGTGTACAGCCGACCAGGCATGGATGCTTAAAAATAAACTTAACACTGAGATACACATGGAAGTAGCAATGTTAAAGAGTTAAAGATTACAGTTCTGTGGCTAGGAAACCAAGAACAAACTTGCAGTTGCGGCAGCAATTGCATTGTCATTTTAAGCATGCTCATCTTTGTGTAACCAATTTGGAATAAAACCAAAGGGAATATCCATGGAAACTTGATTTACAAAGCAAAATTCTTAACTTGAAAAAGCATACTCAAGTAAGTCAGCCGTCTCTGAAAACTTGGGCAGAATTCCAGCAAGGTTTAGAGAGCCTTAGCCTTTGGACCTCCTCCAAACATCACCTAAATGTCTTTTTTGTGATTATCAGAGTAACATCATGATGTCTCTCTTTTATGTTCATTGTCTGTAAAAGCAGCTGGACCACCAAACAGCAGTGGAGAGCTGCACAGCCTGCAATTATCTTTACTCAATTAATGCAAAAATAAAAAGGAGGAGATGTTGGAGGCCAAAAGAATGAGAGTCGTGACCAACTCAGTAATGACTGGAGGGTCTATGAGCAGAGAGGGAACTGTTCTCATGAAAGCAGCATGTTGGCAACCTGACACACCACGTCTGGTGTCAGAAGGAATGCTGAGGGCAGTCATGCCCCAAGCACAGTCTTTCTTGTGGTTATATATAGGAACATCTGAAGCCGGTAGTATATAGAAAGCAATTGTGTGAGCCTGTGATAATGCAAGCAGCTGACCAACAATTACCTTTCCTCCCTGTTGATTCTGCCTACTAAATATGAAGGCCTGTAGAAGCTCAGGGCCTTTGCTGATTAGAAGCAATGAGCCCTCAACCCCTCTTTTAAAACAGATCTTTTTTGTCTTTGTCTTCATTTCTGCATTCAACCCCCTTTGTTTCATCCCATAGTAACTGACTGCCACACTGTCTCTATTAAAAATACAAAAAAAAAAAAAAAATAGGTGGGCTTGTTGGCAGACACATGTAGTCCACGCTACTCTGGAACCTGAGGCAGAAGAATCCCTTCAACCCAGGAGACAGATGTTGCAGTGGGCCAAAATCATGCCTTTGCACCCCAGGTTGGGTGACAAGGTGTGACTCCATCTCAAAAAAGGCAAAAAACAAGAAGAAAACAAAACAATACAAAACAAAACAAACAAAAACTATGTTCTGGTTAAGAGAACCAAAAAAAACAAGCCTCAGGCTAAGAAAAGTTTAGGAAACACATCTGAAAAGTGACTTTTATGCAAAATATTCAAACAAATAAGATGACCTAATTAATAAGTAGAGACCTGAATAGATACATCACCAAAACAGATATGGAGATGGAAAACCTGGCACACAAAATACCGATTGCTGAGCCCCTGTTACTTCTTCTGAAGGCTGAGGCTCCAAGCCATTTCCTGAGGAGCAACAGTGGCTGCCAGAGCGGCAGTGGTTTCAAAGATCATCCCCACCTACCCCAGCTCTACCCTTCTTCCAGTTTCCAAGGATTTCCCAGACATTGAGCCTGCTCACGAGGAAAGAGCCAGAAGCTGGGTATTTTATTTCACAACTTTTCTTAAAATTCTGGATGTCAACAAGTATCCTTTGGTTGGAAGTTTTATATTTATCCTAACAATCTTGAGGCACTGACAAGTATTAGGAAAGATGATTCTCAACCTACATTTGATTCCATAAAGAAATAAAGGAATTGGCGTGGCCAGGCATGATGGCTCACATCGGTAATCCCAGCAGTTTGGGAGGCTGAGCCAGGTGGATGTCCTTAGGTCAGGTGTTTGAGATCATCCTGGTCAACATGGTGAAACAAACTCTCTACTAAAAATGTAAAAAAAATTAGCCGGTAGTGGTGTCTGGGTCCTGTAAACCCAGATCCTCAGGAAGCTAAGACAGGAGAATTTCGTGAACCCGGGAAGCTGAGGTTACCAAAGCTGAGATCATGTCATTGCACTCCAGCCATGGGAACAGACCAAGACTCCATCTCAAAACAAACAAACAAACAAACAACAACAACAACAAACAGAACAGAACAACAACAACAAAAGGACTCAATTACATTTTTAGGCAGTTATTTTAGAAGGCTTGGTACAATGCATTACTATTTTGGTATTCTCAAGACAGAAAACACAGTAACAGTAGTAAGTAAAAACCAAACAGCAAGTCATTACACGGTTTCAGGTCTAACGCTTAAGTCTTTAATCCATCTTGAATTAATTTTTGTATAAGGTGTAAGGAAGGGATCCAGTTTCAGCTTTCTACCTGTGGCTAGCCAGGTTTCCCCCCACCATTTATTAAGTAGGGAATCCTTTCCCCATTGCTTGTTTTTCTCAGGTTTGTCAAAGATCAGATAGTTGTAGATATGCGGCATTATTTTCTGTTCCATTAATCTATATCTCTGTTTTGGTACCAGTACCATGCTGTTTTGGTTACTGTAGCCTTGTAGTATAGTTTGAAGTCAGGTAGCGTGATGCCTCCAGCTTTGTTCTTTTGGCTTACGATTGACTTGGTGATGTGGGCTCTTTTTTGGTTCCATATGAACTTTAAAGTACTTTTTTCCAGTTCAGTGAAGAAAGTCATTGGTAGCTTGATGGGGATGGCATTGAATCTATAAATTACCTTGGGCAGTATGACACTTAATTTTTTTTATTTTTTACCAAGTAGAGCTGAGAGTACGTTTTTTAAAATTGGGTTTCTGTGGCACAACACATGTATGCTTTTTGGCAGCAATCATAGATTAATGAACAAACAATAACAACAAAATAATGCTCAACAACACCTGCCGTTCGGGGAAGGCAAATTAAAATAAGAGTGTGAGCACTAAACAGCTATACTATGTCTAAATTTCTTTTTAAATATACTCAAAACTGCAACAGAAAATCTCATTCATTGCTGAAGGAATGCATAATTGTACAGCAACTTTAAAATATGGTTGTTTTCTTCTGAAAGAGTTTGACAGTTTTTTCCAAAGGCGGACATGGTCTCAACATATAGGCTAACAATTGTTAACACTTAGGTATCTAAACAACTGATTTGGAAACTCACATCTAACCAAAAACCACAAGCATTTATGTATAACTGCTCTCTTGACAATGGCCACATACTTGAAGGAATCAGGATGCCCTTCAATATTAACCAAGCCAGGTAAATTCATAAAATGAAATACTATTCATCAAAACAAAAGGAGTGATTTATGAAGTCATGCAAAGCCATGGATGAATCGGGCATTCACAAAGCAAAGTGATAAGAGCCAGTCTGAAGAGGTGACATATTGTATGATTTCATTTCTATTACGTTACAGAGAAGAAATATTTATAGAGACAGTAAACTGGCCTGTAACTTACAGTTGTTTTTAGCGGGCAGGTAGTGAGTTGAAAAGGAGAATGCAATTATGGAAAGGAGCACAAATGGGCCAGATGAGAAGAGACTCATTCTGCTTGATGAGATCATGCTGGGCATGTGGAAGAGTCAAGAGTGCGTATAATGGCATGAATAAATAAATAGGCTTCTACTCATGATAGGAGAGGAGCGTCTTCTTTCATCACTCATGGAACTATTTTAGGACAATTTCTGAGGAAGCTTTTGTTGTAAGTGGAAAATCATACATAAACAAATGTACCATTTCAAACACTTTGAGTGTATAATTTGGAAGCATTAACTATGCTCAAATTGTGCAAACATCACCACCATTTCACAATCTCACCAGCAATGTACAAGGCTTCCAATTTCTCCACATACTCTCAAAGTTTTCTTTTAAAAAAAAAAGAAAAAGAAAGAAAGAAAAATTCCAATGGGGATAAAGTGGTAATCTCATTGTGGTTTAGATATTCCTGCATTAAGTGGCTAGTGATTTCGAACATCTTTTCATGTGCTTATTGGCTGTGGATTTGTAAATGATTTCTTGGCTATATCACTGACTGAACACAAAACATAAGAAAAAATAGATCACTTGAACTTCATCAAAACTAAACACTTTTGTGCGTCAAAAGACACTGTCAGTATAGTGGAAAGAAAACCACCAGCATGGGACACAATATTTGCAAGTCATATATATGGTATATATTCATATCACCCACTTGGATCTCTTCCTAACGCACTCTTCTCTTTTTCTTACTCTAAAATATTTTAAACAAACATCCCCTTTTGCTGTGAAACCTTTCTCAGTCTCCTTTGCTACTTTACTCCCCTCAGTCAAATTCTTTCTCCTGAGGAGGCAAGAGTTGAGGTTACTGCAGACCATGATAGATTTGACGCCAGTAACTCAGATAACTTCCACTGGTAACAGGTCGAGGGGCTGCTGGACAGGGTGGCGGGAGTTCATGTCTAGTGTGTGGCTGGCCTGGCCCCAGGCAGTTCTGGACTGTGGAGGGATCAGAACCCCATGCTGCAAGCACTCTGTGGAAAGAGCGCTCACGTTGCTGAGAGAATGCTGAGGAAGAAATTTTGTCTTTTTAGTGAGGTTAAATTCCTTCATGTAATATAAAATTAACTGTTTCTTAATGAATTCCTTAGTGATCTTTAGTACGTGCATATTTGTGTGCAACTACCACATCTTAGTTCCAAAGTATTTTCATTATTCCAAAAGGAAATACCCTACTTATTAAGAAGCTCCTACCCAATCTGTCCTCTTTCTGACACCAGCACCAATAATCTGCATTTTTTCTCTATGGATTTACCTACTCTAAATATTTATACAAATAAAATCATACACTATGTGACTTTTGGCTCAGCTTCTTGAGCCAAAATTTAAGTTTCTTCACATTGTAGCATTAGAGTTGTAATCCTTTTCACAGCTGAATAGTATGCCGTTGTATGGACATACTACATTTTGTTTCTTATTTTTTGTTGGTGGACATTTATTTGGTGTGTTTCCAGATTTTAGTTATTGTGAATGCTGCTATGAACATACGCATACATATTTTTGTTTGAATACCTCTTTTACATTTTTTTTTGTGTATATAGCTTGGAGTGCATTTTGGGGGTTCTATGGTAATTTTATGTTTAGCTTTTGCAGAACCACCAAACTATTTTCCACAGTAGCTGCAGCATTTTTCTTTCACATTTTCCCACTTCCATTTCCAATTGTGGAGGTGCACATTTTTGTATCTTTTATATTGTTTATATATTTATCTTTTCCTTAATCTTTACTTATTCACACTGCTGTTTCATGTCTGTTCATTTTATCCTGAAATACTCCATAAAGCATTTCTTAAAGGGTAGTCTACTGGTAAAAGACTGCAGCTTTTACATGGGAATTTTATAATATCTCTCTCACTTTTGATGGGCAGTTAGTGTAGGCATAAGATTTCTGTTAAAAGTTTTTTTCTTACAGCATTTGGCATATCTTAGTCTACTGCTTTCTGACCTCTGAATTTTCCGAAAAGAAATCCACTGATTACTCATGGGGGTTCTTTTTACATGACCAGTCACTTCTCTTGCAACTTTCAAGTTTCAAGTTGTTTTTGTTTTAGAAAGGTTAATTATCAAGTAAGTTTGAATGTGTTTGAGTTTATGCTGCTTGGAGTTTGTTGAACTTCTTTGGTGTTTATTTATTTCCTCAAATTTATGACCTTTCTGACCACTACTGTTTTAGTCTCCTTTAGGAGGACTGCTTGATGGTGTCCCACTGGTTTCTAGGTTGTTTTCACAGTTTTTATTTATTTATTTATTTATTTGTTCCCTTCTTGACTTAACAATTTCAACTGCCCTTTTCTTAGATCTGCTGATAGTTTGTTCTTCTATCTTCTCAAGTGTCCTTTTAAATCTCCGTAGAGTTTTTTTGTTTGTTTGTTTTTGATTGAGTTTTCCTCTGTCACCAGGGTGGAGTTCAGTGAGGCCACCTTGGCTGACTGCAACCTCTACCTCCTGATTTCAAACAATTATCCTGCCTCAGCCTCTCAAGTAGCTGGGACTACAGGCTCATGCCACCACACCCTGCTAATTTTTGTGTTTTTTAGTAAAGACAAGGTTTCACCATATTGGCCAGGAAAATCTTCATCATTTGACCTCATGGTCTAACCGACTTGGCCTCCCAAACTGCTAAGACTGCAGGCGTGAGCCACTGTGCCAGGCTGTAGTAAATTTTAGTGACAGTTGTTTAACTTTTCAGCTCCAGATATATAAGTATATATATATAATATATATACACACACACATATATATACACATATATACACATATATTTATATTATATATTAAATAAAAATATATTATATATAATATAGAAATATATTTTTATGTATTCTATATATATATAGACTAAAGTCTAACATAATCTAAAGTCTAAGATATATGTATAGATAGATAGATAGGTAGGTAGTTAGATAGATTAGAGAGAGAGAGAGAGAGAGAGAGAGAACCACTGAACCTGGCCTAGAATTTCCTTCTTAGTTTTACTGTGAGTTTACTTTATTGTAAGTTTACTGTCTATTAATAATTTTTTTCTGTTCATGGCTTTCTGTGCTTTTCTTCATTGCATTAGCTTTCTAAAAAAAATCATGAATTTAAAAAATTATTTTTTAGTTAGCCTGCCATTTGGGCCACCTGGGAAAAGCTTCTGTTAGTGATTTTTTTTCTTTCTAGGGTGAACCACTCTCTTTCTTTCTTTCTTTCTTTCTTTCTTTCTTTCTTTCTTTCTTTCTTTCTTTCTTTTCTTTTCTTTTCTTTTCTTTTCTTTTCTTTCCTTTCTTTTTTTTTTTTTTTTTTTTTTTTTTTTTTTGAGGCGGAGTCTCGCTCTGTTCCCCAGGCTGGAGTGCAGTGGCGAGATCTCGGCTCACTGCAAGCTCCGCCTCCCAGGTTCACGCCACTCTCCTGCCTCAGCCTCCAGAGTAGCTGGGACTACAGGCGCTCGCCACCACGCCCGGCTAATTTTTTTAGTAGAGACGGGGTTTCACCGTGTTAGCCAGGATGGTTCTGGATCTCCTGATCTCGGGATCCGCCCACCTCGGCCTCCCAAAGTGCTGGGATTACAGGAGTGAGCCACCGCGCCCGGCCGAACCACACTTTCTTATTTCACCTTATGCTATGTGATTCTGTTGGTGTCGAAAACAGGCATATAAATTTTCAAGTGTTGTACCTTTGAAAATCAGATTTTCTCCCTCTGTAGCTTGCTAGGGATTTGTTTATTCATCATCTAGGCTATTTCTGTCATGACAATCAGTCTTACTGATTTTGTTGGGGGCTTTTCTTGAGGCTACATCATTGTGGAGCACAGATGTGTAGCAACACATTTTATTCTAAATTTTCACTTACATATGTTTTCTTTGAATGTTTTGTCTATCATTCTCTGGCCTCTAAAGAGAGAGAAAAAGAAAAGAAAAATTAGGAAAGAAAGGCTCTGCCTTTGTAAATCGTCTGAAAGTTACTTGAGTAGGAGGAGAAAAAGCCTGTAAAAGGTTTGGAAAATGAAAAATGACTGTTCACCACTCGCAGGACCTCCGTAATAAGAAACAGCAATCGGTTAGCCAGTCCTCCTGAGATTTGGAGGATAAGGTCTTTTTTGCCTATCGTGGCTATTGCCAGCTGCTCCAGAAGTATTTGCAAGGCTGCACACCACGGCAATAGTTGATAGGAATAAATAACTGCTGTTGACCTATGCTATAAAGTTGATCGAACTTAATTGTTGTTGACTTTACAAATCGTCTTTTGAAAGCTTCAAAACTTCAGATAGGATCTATAATTCCAAACTATTTGCGTCATAGCGATTCCGCCACTGCACATATTGAATAGTTGAAGGGACAGATACATAGTGCTCTGTAATCCATTGTCTCGTTTTTCCAAGAACCTGTATCATTTTACTTTCAATCTCTCTCTTTGCACTTAAAGCAACACTTGCAGGGAAATCACATATGTGAACCCTTCTTTTAAAGGTACATTTGCATTATTCTGTGCGTTTTTATGAAAGAGCTCACATTTAAAGTTATTAAACGTAAAACACTATTCACTCTGATATTTAATTACTTGCTTTCTGTATGTTCCTTACCTTATCTGAATTTTTAAATTTCTCCTTTGATCTTTCAGAAAAATTTCTTAATTTCTCAAAACTTTCTTTTTCTATATATTTTATATTATAGTTAGTTACATTTGGGACCTCAATAAATATTCTAAACTTAAAATAGCCTACGTTGGATAATACTACCTTATTTAAATAATCTAAAGTCTAAGTTCAACAATATAAAGGTACTCTGCTCCTGTACTTTTCTGTTCTTCTCAAATTATATTATATTGTCTCAGACTATGTCTCCACACACAGACTGTCCATGAAATTAAATTTGTATAGTTTTTGTATGTAATAGCTGCCGATAATAAGCATAATAGTAGTAATTATCTTTGCTAGGTAATAGTAATAGCTTTATTTTGGTGGGGGGAGGGTTAGACACAGATTTCTCGAGCTTATTTTTATCTAGACATTTTCTGCTTGTGTATTATTTTACAAGTTATAAATGTTCTTCATTTCTCCAAGGTGTCTTCTTAGTTATTGGCAGCTTAGTATCCACTTAAATAGCATTTTGTATAAGAGCAGTATACAAGCTATTATTAAAAAAAAAACTGAATATGTATTATCAGATTGTCAATTATATGAAGTAACTGCATTGTTGGTTCTCAGGAACCTAAATGTTTGTGACCAATTCCTGGCATTTTCAACCAAGAGTGACTTCTGACTTTGGCAAAACAGAAATAAAAATGACTAATCAATTCATCGTTTATTCTCTAGAAAGACTAGAACAAACACAATAAATTAGCACATAAGGGCTGTTTTACTCCTTCTAGAATCAGGAATCAGGGCCTCAAATTGAAAATGTGGATTTCAGTTTTGCAGGCTTCATCTGTGTCTGGGAGGCAGTATGACAATCCAAAACATTAACTGTTTTAAAATTGTCTCTCTTGATTAAGTGTTTCCTTGGTTGATGTGAACTATTGGTGAACTATTGGTTTCCTGGGTGTAGACGGTTTTTTATTTGTTTGAGATTTCTTTGAATGGTTTGACGCTGCCTGCTCTGCAATTTTGTTTCAGTTTTAGTTGTGAAGCATGAACTGTTTTCTAATCTCAGTTTATTTTTATTTAGGAGATCTAAATTTTGTCCCATGAAAATGTTGTTTCAAATGCTGAAGTTAAATGTTACACTTTTAATTTGGGTTTCTAGATTTTTTATTTGTTTGTTTTAGTGTTTATAGTGTAAGGTTTTTTGTTTGCTTTATATTAATTGATCCTATCAATTTCATATAAAATGCATGAGGTAAAATTCTCTATTGAGTACAGCTTGGACTCATGTGAGACAAGCATAAAATAATTAGTCTCTAAAGTGACTTTGAAGTAAATATCTAAATAAAATAATAAGGTAATAATCACACAAGCATGCATCAAGATCAACAAGTTTGATGACCTCCACCAGACGTCTGCTTAAATTGTTTGAAAAACAGCCAGGTCACTGTGGCTGGAGCAGACCGTGGAAGGCAAACAGTTATAGACATTGAGCTCATGGAGGTAACAGACAGTCCATGTGAGTGGCTAGGGTTTCTGTAAGTCAATAGATTTTACTTTCTTTTTACCCTAAGCCTGGTTCATGACTAGAAGTGGAATTGGTAAGGTGGTTACTAGCATCTAGCCCTGAGAGATTAGAAAAGCTGATAAATATCTTAAAATCTAGAGTCTCAGGCCTCTCTTTGATAAATTAACAGTGATAGATCATCTCTCCAGAAAATTGTACATAAGAAAAGCACACTTTGATTTTATATTTTCAAGATTACTTAACTCAATCTTTGGTTTCTATAAATCAGAAGAATTTTAAGAAGCTTTTGTAAAGTTCTGTTGATTCAAGTTAAGGTAAGTGTTAGTAAAGCAAAGTCAGTTCAGTTAGTCAATGATTAAATAGTAAAGCATATATTTATTTTTCTCCCCTTTTCTTTTCCCATTACTTTTTAAATATTTCCGTAAAACACTAGTATAGCAAAGAAAAAAAAAAAAAGCAAAGCTAGGCAGCCTCTATTTTGGGGGTGGCAATTAAGAAAACTCAATGAATGGCTTTTGGGATAGAACTAAACTTGACTACAGCTGGAAGGCATACAGAAAAGACATACACACTTGTGGATTGGCACACTACATTATGCAAGCACAATGGGCATAATATTTATCGTAAGGCAAAAATTAAATATGTCTTATGACATAAAAGTTGCTAAGCCATTATAATAACCAAGCCAAAGCAAAACAAAGATTTCAAGGATTATAGCTGGGGTTAGAGAACTCTTGCTTTTGCTAAAGTTGTTGAGTAGAATTAACACTGATGTATCTTCTACTTTTCTAAAATTGTTTCTGATAGAAGATTTTTATAGTGGGAAACTTTGATCGCGATTTGTTATGCTCTCTCATGTTCTAAATTAACCAGAAATAAATACATTCACAAACATTTACATGAGCCAATTAGAGAAAATAAAAACAAGTGAATGAAGAAGTAGCTGTAATAGAAAAATGTATGTGGAAATGTTAAGATAAATCAAAAAAGGAGGTTAATTTGTACAGCGTAAAATCTTTTACATTTGATTAAAAAAATTGTTTCCAAACTTTAGCAGCTAGCAACAACATGGTAGTTAACCATGGTTTGGAGGCTAGGCTCATCTCATGAATTTACATTTTTCTACCAGATTTATATTCACTAAAAGCTGATTAGATTGTGCCCACAAGAATAAGGTGGATCTGCATTCCACAGCCCGCTGATTCAAAGATTGTTTCGGGGAAAACTTCCAACAGATACACCCAGGATTAATACCCTGTATGCCTCAATCCAACGAAGTCAACACTCGGTATTAACCATCACAAATCCACCCCTTGACAACTTGAACCCATACACATCTCCTAAGGGAATACCTAATCCTCAAGTAAAGAAAATAATAACATCATGATTACACCTAACGTAATACAACTATCTTTATTACAACCAGTAATTGACCAATCCCAAATCCAAGCACTATTATGTGAAGTTAACCATACTCAAATGTTGATTTGATGTCAATAAATCTAATGTCACATAATAAAGAAAAAGAAAAATGAAGGTACTATTACATGTGTATACACACACAAACTTTTTTTTAACAAAAAGAGGAACTGTTTAGAACAATTAAAGTCCTCATTTCTGCAGCTGGTCACCTGGCTGTAGCTGGTGTTGATGTCTACCTTCTTCTACCAACCTTTATGTGTTCCCTTGGCGTTCAACAAACACCTCAGCTGAGACCCCTAATCCCCTTCCTTCCTTACTTACTTATTTCCTTTCTTCCTTCCTTCTTTATTTCCTTCCTTCCTCCATTCCTTCCTCCCTTGCTTCCTCTATTCCTTCCTTCTTTCCTTCCTCCCTTCCTTCCTTCCTTCTTTTCTTCCTTCCTCCCTCTCTCTCTTTTCTTCTTTCTTTCTTGTTTGCTTGCGTGCTTGCGTGCTTGCGTGCTTGCGTGCTTGCCTGCTTGCCTGCTTGCCTGATTGCCTGCTTGCCTGCTTGCTTGCTTGCTTTCTTGCTGGCTGGCTTGCTTGCTGGCTTGCTTGCTTGCTTTCTTCCTTTCTTTTCTGTTAGAGTAACCCAAACCTTAATTCCTGAAGGTTCTGGATCACTCACAGTCCTGTCAAAATTAGGCTGTTGTAATTTTCCGTTGATCTTAACCTCAGGGCAGTTAAATACTATCAGGCACCCTAATGGATCTCCTGTGTTCCATGTATATTCTTCCATGCCTCCATTGTAAAATAGTAGACTGACTTTATCTTGCTAATGCAAGTCAGTCACCACAGCCAACACTGTCACTTCCTTAGCCTGTTGACTGAAAGGCAGGAGTAGCCCAAAATGCCAAGGGGACAATCTTCACTGTCAGTTTAATGGAAATGTCATTCTGTCTCCTGGTGGCAACATTTCTCCCCCTGGAACTAAGACCTGTAAGCCCGCGGAACATAATGTAAAGGAAACAGGAAGCAAACATTTTGCTAGTGGATCACTAGGGGTGACGGTGAGCGGGGACATTTTCACTTCCACACCTTGATTTCTGTACCCAATAATTCTGGCTATGGGAAAAACAGTATATGTTCAACACTGATTCAGAACATACATTGCCGTCTGGAGAACTTTTCCCCAGGTTTGCAAAGTCTTGCCGCATGGTTGGTATTGTAATTGTAACTTTAAAAGGCCATTTCACCATTCTATTAATCCAGCTGCCCTAGGATGATGGGAGGCATGGTAAGACCAGTGAATTACATAAGCAGGAGCCCACTGCCACACTTCTTTAGCCATAAGGTGAGTGTCTTTGTCAGAGGGAATGCTGTGTGGAATGCTATGTTGGTGGATGAGGTATTTAGCGTGTCCACAGATGGTAGTCTTGGCAGAAGCATTGGATGCAGAATAGGCAAACGTATATCCAGTGAAAGCACCCTGAGAAATGGTGCCCTATCGACGGATCAGTGTTGGACTCTGTTGCTTGCAAATGGGGCATGCAGCAGTGGCCATAGCCAGGTTAGCTTTGGTGAGTAAAAGTCCATTTTGCTGCACCCGTGCATAATCTTCACCCCTGCAATCATGGCCACTTTGTTTATGGGCCCTCTGGGTGATGACAGCAGAAGCTCGGGAGAGAGACTGAGTGGTTTCCACAGGATGGTTTATTCTATCCATTTGCTTACAAAATTTTTCCTCTTCTGAGGTCACCGTTGTTGAACACTCACATGAAATATAAATATCCTCACAGTTTTTGACCACTCAGAGAGGCTCATCTACGTAACTCTCTCTTAAATTACTTTGCCACTTATTTACTGATAATGCTTCTTCCAAGTTCCTGATCATCCAACCAGAACATTGGTTATGGCCCATGAACCAGTATATAATCACACATCTGGTTATTTCTCCTTGACGTTCAGTCTACTGGGAAGAGGTCCCTTCACCACTGTTCTTCACGGATATCCCAGCAAAAATCTGTACTGCTGCAGCTGTTCATTCTTGGGTGGTGGCTCCATATATGGTGCAGAACCATCTGGAGCCAGGCCATAGTCTTCTCTTATTCTGTCAACTGACCACAGGGAACTATCCATGAGACTATCAGTGCAGGTTGGAGGGGAGAAGCCATGGTGGCAAGACTGGAGAACATGAGCATTTGAGTCAGTTACGCATGTAAATTACTTGTGCCTTCAGGACTGGCTTGAGACTGGGCACGAATGTACCACTTCCATTTGATGATAAAATTCTGCTATGGACAACCCACTTTATGGCTAGATGGATCAGAAAGCACCCAGTTCATGATAGGCATTTCAGTTCACTTGGTGACTTGATGACTTATAGACAAGGGTTCAGCTTCCACCAAACCCAGTAACAGGCCAAGAGCTGTCTCTCAATAGGACAGTGGTTATCTGCAGAAGATGGCAGGCCCTTACTTCAAAATCCTAGAGACCTATGCTGTGATTCACCTGTGAGATCCTGGCATTAGGCTCCAAACAGCACCCCTATCTACCACTGACACCTCAGTCACCATTATATCTTGTAGGTCATATGACCCAAGTGACAGAAAAGCTTGCCTGGATCTTCTACACAGCTTTTTCCTGTTCTGGACACTACTCACAACTGGCAGCCTTTTAAGTCGCTCAATAAAAGGGGGAGAGTAACAACCTCACATAAGGAATATGTTTTCTCCAATATCCAAATAAACCCACTAGACATTGTCCCCCATTTTTTTGTTTGTATCGGGGCCAAATGCAGCAAACTGTTCTTTACCTTAGCAGGAATATGTCAACAGGTCTTACACCACTGGACCCCTAGAAATTTTACTGAGCTAGAAGGTCCCTGAATTTTAGTCAGATTTATTTCCTATAATCTGGCATAAACATGCCTCACCAATAAGTCCAGTATGTTTGCTACTTCTTGCTCACTGGATCAAATCAGCGTAATGTCATCAGTGTAACAGACAAGTGTGATATCTTGCAGCCACCAAAAGAAATCAAGATCTCTCTGAAAAAGATTAAGGCACAAAGGTAGAGAGTTGGTATACCCCTGAGGTAAGAGAGTAAAGGTGTATTTCTGGTATTGTCGGGTGAAGGCAAGTTGCCTCTGGTGGGTCTTATGGACAGGAGTGAAGAAAAAGGCATTTGCCAAGTCAATGGCTGCATACCAGATGCCAGGAGATATATTTATTTGCTCAAGCAATAAAACCACATTTGGTACAGCAGCTGCAATTCGAGTCACCAAGTGGTTAAGCTTACCAAAATCTCCTGTCATTCTCCAAGATCCACTTGTCTTCTGCACAGGTTAAATGGGAGAGTTGTTTTCAGATGTGCTGGTAATGACCAACTGTGTGTCTTTCAAGTCCTTAATGATGGTACTAATCTTCACAATCTCTCCGGGGTTGTGATATTGTTTTGGATTTACTGTATTTTCAGGTAGAGGAAGCTCAAATGGCTTCCATTTGCCTTTTCCTATTTTAGTAATCCTCACCCTACAGGTCAGGAAGCAAATGTGGGGTTCTACCAGCAGCTAAGTGTGTCTATGCCAATAATGCATTCTGGCACTGGGAAAATGACCTTAGGATGACTCTAGGTACACGCTCGACCCACTGTAAGTCTGACGGAAGCTAAAACTTTATTAATTGCCTGACCTTCATAAGGTTCTATTTTAACTGTAGAACCACAATGATGTTTCGGGTCTCCTGGAGTCAGTATCAGCTCAGATCCAGGGTCCAGTAGCCCGAAAATTCTGATCATTTCCCTTTCTTCCATGCACAGTTACCCTGACAAAAGTCCAGGCATTACTTAAGGAACAAGGAGAGAAAGATTCACTGCATAAATTGTTGGTAATGGAGTGGGGTCTTTCCTCAAGGGGATCCAGCCTCCCCTTCATTCAAGGGGTTCTGTGTCTTTAAATTGGCTCTGGTGTGGAAATAGGTTGAGAAGCTGTGGTTCTGTCTTTATAATTTAGAATAGTTCTTCATCTATTTGACACCAAAGTTTTCTGTTTCTATAACTTAGGTAGGAATGCAGTAGGCTTTCTATCAATTTCACTTCCAGGAACACCTTGATTAATTAGCCAGTGCCAGGGTTCCACAGGTGTCAGACTCTTCTGATTGCTGCTTTGCGACAGCTGTCCATTATGGTACCTACACCCACCTTGCCTCTGATGGTCGAGTGTTGCCACTTGGTTCCTGCCACCTTGGGATTCAATTATCCCTAGTGTATTTAAATGTTATAGTTAGTGGCTGCAGTTCCCACCCTTAGATCTGACACACAGAGAAGAGTAATTACAGAGCTGTTCAAAGATGCGGGTACTGCTCTATTTCACAAGGCATTGATCAAGAGTATATCCTCTGGACTCTCTCAGCTGGGATGAGTAGGTCTAAAGTGAACTAATCTACTCCACCATTCCAATCTCCCAAGGCCTTTGGATTTCATCCTTTACTTTAAACCAATGGAGAGCGGACATTTATAGAGCTCACTCACAGTGGGCCATCTTTGAATTCATATTTTAGCTAACCAAGCAGATAAACTATGAGAAATTCTTAGCTCCCTGTGCTGCATCTTTAAATGCAGAGTCCCTACTAGGTCAGCCCTAGTCAATAAATTCAGCCTGATACAACCCTGTGTTCCTTCTGCTATTATCCCATACCCTTAATATCCATTTGCTTCTGTGTTCTCTAGCCTGCTGTTCATGTATATTATAGAACTCAAACAGTTGTTCTTCAGTTTACCACAACTTCTCATGGGTTGCACTCTCAATATCACCGTAAAGAGCCCGCCAGTACTTTAGTTTAGTTATAGGCTTAGAACCAAACAGAGATGTTGGGGGTGGCCTCTGAGAAGAATCAACATTATCATACCTGGCAACTGACTCAGGGGAGGCTATCACTGTGGCCTCAGCCAGCACATGGTTTATCTCTATAGGTAGAGGTGGAAAGACTGAAGGCAGCATGTACCTCTCTCTTCTGGGATGCAGAACAATAATTTGAGATCAGCTGACTATCAGGGCTGAATGACCTGTAACACAACTATGGATAAAACTCGCCCCCTTGCTTATCGTAGTGTGGAACACAAAAATAAGAGGACAGCTGTGGCCCTTCAGGGTGCACAGACTTAGGGGCTCTCGATGCCATGACTGTGACACCCTCTTAGGGGCTTTGCATTTTCTGGCATCTCCAAGCTTCTGGGCCCCACTACGTTTCACAGTATCAGCTGTGGATGCTGCCTGCAGTATGCCTGGCCCAGCTGCTGCTTCTCAGTGAGACGGAACTTCTGTTGGCACCTAAAATTTCTTGTTTTGCCACAGCTGGCATGCCTGGATGAGTTTAGTGGTTGGAGCCCACACTTGCTCATACAACACTCACCACTCCACCATGCTTGCCCTTGGCAGGTGATAAGTGCTGGCTCTTAATGCAAGCTGAGTGCAGCCTGTCAGGCAGAGTGGGTAGAACACATGTAGCAGGCCTGGGAAAAACTCAAGCAAAGGCACCACTGGCCACAGGGGTTTTCATCTGGCAAAGTGACTCCCCTAAAATTCTGTAACAAAAGAAGCATAGCTAATTGTGTTTAAATGCCTTACTTCTCTTAAATCCTGAGACACTGATAATTCAGTGTCAATGCCCTGAATATTTTCGTATTTTATCCTTATTTGGAAAGTATTATATTTCAACATTATTTGGAAATAAAATTTGAATAATTGGTATTTGCGTTGAACCACCTGAATCCCAAGAATATATTTGCATGGAACCACCTGATTCTCACAAAATATATTTCTGAAATATAAGCATTGGGCTTCAGATTAGCATTCTTTCAGCAGATTGTGAAACTTGCCAATGGAACACAATTTCTAATCCCTGGATTTTGACATTATACACTCACATACGTTGTTTTTTGTTTGTTTGTTTGTTTGTTTGTTTGTTTTTTGTGGAGGCACTTTTGCTGTGCATTGTAAGAGGTTGAGCAGCATTTCTGACCTTTTCCACTAAGTGCAATAGTAACATCCTTTTCCCATGGTTGAAATGTCCAAATATCTTAGTGTCTTCTGGAAGCTAAATTGTTGACATTGACTATTCTAAAGAGTTATGAAGAATGAATAAAAAAACCAGTTTTAACAATTTTGCAGAGGCCGCGCAGGGTGGTTCACACCTGTAATCCCAGCACTTTGGGAGGCCAAATTGGGAGAATCACCCTAGGTCAGGAGTTGGAGACCAGTCTGGCCAACATGGTGT
This sequence comes from Homo sapiens, assembly GCF_000001405.40. Lineage (NCBI taxonomy): Eukaryota > Metazoa > Chordata > Mammalia > Primates > Hominidae > Homo > Homo sapiens. The sequence goes on from NC_000024.10 coordinate 17,983,117, forward strand.
AACCCTGTCTCTACTAAAAATACAATAAGTAAACAAACAAACAAAATTAGCTGGGCATGGTGACAGTCGCCTGTAATCCCAGCTACTCCGGAGGTTGAGGCAGGAGAATCGATTGAAACCAGGAGGCGAGAATGAGCTGAGATCATGCCGTTGCACTCCAGCCTGCATCACAATAGTGAAACTCTGTCTTAAAAAACAAAACAAAACAAAACAAATATGCAAATTTTATATGAGATCTTATTTTTATCTAACTTTCTGCGGTTCTAATATCCTGTCACTTATGTAATGAACCAGCATGTCCTGCATGTACCCTGGAACTTAATACAAGACAAAGTTAAATAAATTAAATAAAACTAGAAAGGGTTTATTTTCTTAGAAGGGAGGTTACAGTAACTGAAATGTGTGCCACACTTTATTTAAGACATTTTCTAATTACAAATCAGGGTTGTCACAAACTGCATTGAAAAGCAAATAAGTAGAATATCTCAATTCTTAATTGATCAAATTTATTTTCTTTTATTCTTAGAATGGAATCCCACACTGTCTCTTTGGATGGTGTGCAGTGGTGCAATCTTAGCACACTGCAGCACCCTGCCTCCCAAGTTCAAATGTTCATTCTTCCTCAGCTTCTTGAATAGCTGAGATTACAGGTATGCACCAACACACTCGAAGGGCTTTCACCATATTGGCCATGCTGGTCTCAAACTCCTGGCTTCAAGTACTCTGCCTGTTTTGGCCTCTAAAAGTGCCGGAATTACAGGCATGAGCCACCAAGGCTTGCCGGCCCTCGTCTGAGTTTCCAATTGAGAAATACACTGGTCTTACAAACCTTATTTTTTATATCATATTTTTGATGAGTTTCGTTTTATGTCTCATAATTCACAAAGATAACTTAAGTGCATTGTCTCTCTATTGGAAATGAATTTATTTCCATTAATGCATAATTAAAAGAGTAGGTTTATGTAGAAAGTCATTTTTCTATGGTGAAGAGTTCTCACATCTTAGAAATTGCTTTACATATCTCATTTGGAAAACTCATTGCATTTATTGATTACACTTGCATTTTTTTTTCCTTTGGATTTTCTTTTGTAAGAGTATTCTAAATTGTTTGAAGATACAATAAGATGTTTAATTATGTCAAATAAACTTAAAAGGTATTTTCTTGGAAAGACAACTTTTTCTTAAGCTATGTTTCTACTAATACTGTGTGACTACTTTTTGTAAGTTACTAGGAATTAATTGATGTTTAAATCTTCCCAGCATCAAAAGTTCACCTGCAATATTTAAGAAATAAAGAACTGCTAGCAGAGCAGGCTGTTCTGGTCCATAGTTCACCCACTACCATCAACCCTGGTTTTGAGCTACCTGCAGCACAGGATTGGCTGGGTAAAAAAATCTCAAAAAGATATCAGTCTGTTTGATGGAAATATATTACATGGACAAAGAAATGACTAGTGGGTATTTAAAATCATAAAGAGGTTTTTTATCGTTAATAACAGTTTTGTTTGAAATTCTATATTTACATTTAGAAAAAATTAACTCATCGCTTTTGTTTTGCTTTGCTTTTAATCAACTAGCTTAACATTTTGTAGCCATCAGGTATATAATTAAAACCATTTATATCAGAGAATATTTTTTTTTTTTTAAATAAGATGTATTACTTAAATGTTCTCATATATGGTTTTGGTAATTTAACACAGTGGAATTGATTTAATCATATACAAAAAAAAAATAGTAAGACTGTTGAGTAAGAAGAAACCAAATTTAATGGTACAAAAAGTTTATACTAAAAATGTATACATTAAAAAGATTTTTCTAACCCAAACATTGAAGTTGCTTAATGTTGTTTTAGTTAAATTCCAAGAGAAGTATTATTTTAAAATCATAATGTGAAAAGAGATCATCTGAGTGCATGTTATTACTTTTAAATGTCCACATCAATTAAACAAAATGGATAGCAATGTTCAAATCTTACGCAGAACTGAAACTCATAGCGAGAGGTAATGTAAGTAAATTGAAAAACAATAGGCCAGGCGCGGTGGCTCACACCTGTAATCCCAGCCCTTTTGGGAGACCAAGGAGGGCGGATCACAAGGTCAGGAGATCGAGACCATCCTGGCTAACAAGGTGAAACCCGTCTCTACTAAAAATAGAAAAAATTAGCCGGGCGTGCTGGTGGGTGCCTGTAGCCCCAGCTACACGGGAGGCTGAGGCAGGAGAATGGTGTGAGCCCGAGAGTCGGAGCTTGCAGTGAGCCGAGATCACACCACTGCACTCCAGCCTAGGCGAAAGAGGGAGACTCCGTCTCAAAACAAACAAACAAACAAAAACCATAAAATTTAGTTCATTTCAAGGGAAATCAGAGAGTTACAAATATAATTAACAACAGTATTCTGTACAGATATTTAATTGAAAATGTGAAATTATGTTAGTTTATATGTTTCTCTCTGTGAGTATATTTTTTGGCACATTGCAGGAGTTTCTAGCTAAACTCACTGTTGAAAAGGACAGATCTTTATTTGTCCTGTGGGATCTATGTAAAGAGGAGAGTTTCCGTTTTAAAAACACAGACTTTTGTTAATTTATTTAACTATTGTATTGGCAGAGTAAATAAATATTTTAAATTTTTTTTTAAGCAGCCACTACTGTTATGAAACGTTAAGTCAATCTTTTCTTTCCTTGTGGCTAATATATATTTCCAAATATATAAGACGGCATGCAAGAAAAATTATTAACTTGCCACGAATATTGTATTTCTGGTCCAGAGATGTTTTTGGAAGTATTTGCACTTCTTCATACATAAAGCTATTTCCTCTTTTTCTTTTTCTTCTTCTTCTTCTCCTTCCTCTTCTTCTTCTTCTTCTCATCTTTTTTTACAGAAATGAGAATATAAAATATACAATATAGTTATTTGTTTTTACTTAGTGACACACCTGTCAATACATGAAGATCTGTTTATTTCTGTTCTGTGCTACATAACTTGGCATTCAATGTGCTCTAATTTATGCAGTCCACATCTAAGATGGATTGATGTGTAAGTTGTGTTCAGTTTTATAAGATAGAGAAGATTTCTAGTTCTCACAGGGATTTTAAATACACCACCTAATTGACTTTATCTCATAATAAAATGAATATAAATTAATCATCACTATGTAATGAGGAAAAAAGCAGATATTTATGTGAAGATTATAGTTTTTAGGTTTGAGAACAATAACTTGTATGCAGTGCTCAGTTTGAACTGAGAAAACTCTAATGTCCTATTTATATAAATTTCTGATGACAGTGTATTGAATACACTTATTTTAAGTACAAAAGTTTTTCAATCAGTTAACACATAATGATTAAAGTCTGTGTTAGTACATGGAAATTTAATATTATACCATCTGATATGACTTTTTCAAATAAAACTGTTACAGAAGCAATGCCATTAAAAATGCAGAATTAAGATATCTCTAGTTAATGGTGCATATATTGGATCATGTTTCTGGTGATATAAAAATTTAAGGTACCATTTGAAAATTGCTGTGTTAGCCTGATAAAATGAATTTCCCAGCCTGATTAGAAGAACTATGGACAGAGTCATCATTTTTGTAGCATAAGCATAGTTTTTCTTCTCTGAGGTTGTGAGACACTCAGATAGTGGGAATATCTGCCCCCGATCAGACCCTGCCCACAAAAATGACTTGTGGGACTCAAAGAGGCTGGTGTGACTAGTCACATAAATTGTGTGATCTAGCAACTATACATAACGTTAGTGCTTAGAAACAGTAGTTCTACAATTAGAAACACATGTGGTGATGTAGACAATGATTGTTCAAAGATGAGTAACAAAGGTGTGAGTTAAATTTTAATTATTTATTTGTTTTTAATATTCTCATACCAGGTACTGTTTTTCTTCCTGAGATTACTGTACTTTCATGAGATTTTGTCAGGACTGCATTTTCACAATATGGCTAGAATATCTGAGATACTATGAATGGCATATTTTTCATGCTCACTATCTAATAACTTGAAAGTTTACTTGACAGTTTTTATTATTTTTTGTTTGTTTTCAAAGCACAATTGATACAATCATATTTGTATGACATGGTAAATGCAATTCAGAATTTTAAGAATAAAAAATATTTATTTTAATAAGTATATTCTCATCTTGTATTTGAAGTATGCTATTTAATTTTTTGACCTTAATTTTATCTGTGTTATATAAGTTGTGTTTATTTTTAGGATTTTCTGTATATTTTCCTCAAATTAGCTATTCTTCTGCTTAAGAAAAAAATCGTTTTTCAGATAATGCTACATGGACCTGTTATCAACATTATTTCACAATTACAATAAGGCTACTAAAGGTGTAAAAGCACCTGGTTGAAAATAAAAAGTATTTGGTTGATCATAAGGCAGCAAAAAGTTAGGCTTTAGTGGCAGATCACATATTTAAGATGTAGCTATTAAGTAAGTTAATACAGAAAACCTGAATTTTGGAAATGTTTACACTCAAACTGTTTATCATTCCTTTGCTTTTTTTTGCGTAGATATTGATAGAAACTAAAGAAAGAAATTAGAACATTTTAACTGTAGTAAACAGTTCCAAAATTTCTACATTTCTTTTCCTCAGTGATCAGAAGTAACTTTGCCTTCAAATAACATCTTAGCTCTTAAAGTTTACGGGGATTACAAAACACACACTTGTCTCTGCCTTTCTAGGTATGACAGATCACACTATGCAGGCATTACAACTTGGGTAACATTCCTTTTTGTAGGATCTCCTTATGGGATGTCCACTCTTACTTGGTTAACAGCCACTACTGGACAAAAAGATAGAATTTGGGTCCTGATCCTCTAGCTGGTTTTTCCTCTAGGGTTTGGAATTGAAAACTGATCGAGATGGCAAATTGTACTGGCAAGAAGCGAATGAAGTAGATAGAATATAGCATTCAAATTAAGTCCCCACCATTGTGCTTAGCTGCTTGTGCTTTATGTTGTCCCAGCCCTTCACTGTGGCATGCATGTCTGCCTAGCTACTTTTTCTGTGCCATGAACTTCGTCAGGACATGAAGCAGATAATTTTTATTTCTGTGTCATAAACCTCAGATGCATACCAAAGCATAGAGAAACATGTTGCATATGTGTAAAACAGCTGTATTTTGTTCTGTAGCTACAAGGAAATTACGACCTTTGGAACTTCTGTGTATGCTCTCGATCCTTCCACAACTGCTCTTAATGGCCATATTTATTGATTTGTAATAATTCTCAATACATCACATAAATTATACCATGTAAATCTCAAAAATCCATGATACTCACAAGAAGCCACTGCATTCCAGGAGAAAAAAGTACTTAGTTCTTGTAAGTTATTTATGGCAGAGCACTGATTTCTTTCCAATCCTGTTGACTTGAGAAGATTGTAGTCTATTTTCTTACCTGTGAGGTATGTTATTATTTTATTATTTCTACTGATAACTTTTCTGTATACTCTTTATGATGGTCCACCTGTGAAATAAACACTAACGCTAAACATTAAACACAGTAAGTTCTTTGAAAATGCTACAAAAATTGCGAATCATTTCATTAACTCAGTTTTGGTATATATTTCATTCAACTACTTTCACAATACTTTTAAAGATATGCCTTTTGGCTTCTAGAGTAAGGCTCATCCTCACGATGATGTATTTAAATATTCTCATAAATGTGAAGACAAACTAGCATTAAACAAGACAGAAGATAGTAAAGAGTACAATATTGGTGTCCTAAGACATCTTCAGGTCAATCTTTTGATTTAGCTGCTTTCTGACTACAATTCTACGTACCCAAAAGTTTTTGGAAACAGTTCAGGTAAATTATGGGTGAGTTATCATTTAATTTTGATGAAATCAACTCTACATAAACTAAAAATTTTAAATATATCTTAAAATCCATAATGTATTTGATGTTAAATATTTAAACAAAAGTAATATTATAGCTGTCTTTCTTGGCCATTTCTACTAGTATTATCCGAATAGAAAGAGACAAAAATTGTCACAGCAAAGACAGGCCATGTATTCTTTCATCACTTAAGATACAATTAAATTCTTATTATAATAAGATTTATACTCTCTATATAAACTAAACATTAAAATGTAGCCATTTCCTTGATCTAACAGTTCTCTAATGAAGCAAATCTCAAGTATATAATTTTATCTCTATAAGTGCTTGAACACATCTGTAAAGATTTTCCTTAAAATTTGACCATGGTGCTGTCATCACACATAATAAAAATTATTTCATAAGCTTGGGCAACATGGCAAAAACCAGTCTCCACAAAAAATACAAAAACTACTCAGGTGTGGTGGTTTGAGCCTGTAGTATCAGCTACTCGGGAAGGTAAAATGCCATTTCACTGACTTTCAGTGTATGCTTAAAGTTCCTTCATTACTCTTTTCAAATTAGATTAGTGCATCAATGACGTCTTTTAGTTTCTAGAGTAATGTTTATCCATGAGATTATGTATATCAAAGATCAACATTACTCATCATCAAATAAACATTTTTTCTTATCAAATGAACACTTTCATCACTGTCAAGAAAGTACCCCTTTCTAGCCCTGCAAGAAAATATATACATGATAAACTTATATATGCATATATAATGTATACCTTTATATAATACATATGTGTATGTGTATATATATGCATATATGTGTGTGTATCTATATATATTTGTAAATATATATATATATATATATATATATATATATATACATATATATATATAAATGCAAGCTTGTGCCAGGCACGTTCCTTCACACTGGTAGTCTTAACATTTTGGGAAGCCAAGGCAGCCAGATTACTTGATTTCAGGAGATCAGAACCAGCCTGAGTAACGTGGTGATATATCATCTCTATTAAGATGCAAAAAGCTAGCTAGGTGAGTGTAATTGTCTGCACCTGTAGTCCCTGCTACCTGGGACAGTGAGATGAAAACATCTCCTGAGCTGTGATTGTGTTGCTGCACTCCAACCTGTGCAATGAAGAGAAGGGCTGCCCCTTCCAACCCTTACACACACACAAAGCTTAATAACAGCTTGATTCTGTTTCCTTTGTCTCCTTCATTTTATCAAGGTCTAATTTGTGGCATGCATGACAATAAAACACTGTCACACAACTTTTTACTGTATACTGTAATATATAGCTCTTTCTAGTTTCTAAAACAAGCTGCAGCTTCTCATGAGAGTTTATTGTTCTTTCAGGAAGGTAATTCGTAGATATCTCAGAGGTAGAAAGAAAAAGGGATCTTCTGATTTCTGGGCTTCCTTCTGTTTCACTCACAGCAGCTCCCTTCTCTGTATTAGCATATCACTTAGATTTCTTTTAAATGTCTGCAGTGCACCTGTAATGCACTGACTCCCCATTGTATCTCTCAGTTTGAGGTTCTAGATTCCATAGCTAAACTGTAAACTTAGGGTTGTAAGTGTAATTTGCATATGTAATTCTTACTGACCTATTTCAGTTCTATAGCCTCACGTGTGACCAACACTCCCTTTTTCTTGCATCAACAAGTTATTTTCATTTATTTGATCTACTCAAAACATTTTTTTTCTGAAATCTAGTCAACATTTCTGTTCTATTTCACTCAAATTACTATAACACTATGAGTTTCTGTCTTCAAAACTTTTACTCAATAATTTATGTGTGCATGCATCTATGTGTGACTGTTTGCAAACAGTTGGCACAAGGGACCTGTTTTGTGAAAGACAATTTTCTATTATCTTCACTGGAAAACCAAACCAAACCAAACCAAACAAAAACATAAAGAATATATATTTATAATTTGTTTCTTTAAAAATATCTTTAGGTACAAATGTGAAAAATATTTTAACACTTTAAATATGGACATTAACAGTCACCAAAATCTTCTTGATTCTTTGGAACAGTATATCCAATGGAAGGGGCAAATCCACATTGTTGTAAAATGGGATAAAATGCATGTTTTTTTCAGTTTTGAAAAAAACAAAGATCTCATTCAACAAAACCAGAAGACATTAGAGTTGTTTGTGCTCATCTACAAAATTAACTTCTGGTTTCTCTTTACTGTTTTAGTGGTATCAGACAGGTAGTTAAGATGATAATTTGTTTAAAGGAAAATAATATTGACAAAATACAGCGACTGACTTGAAGAAAAATGATTCTTATTAAATGAATTATTTTCGATGTAGAAGATCTCACAGACGGTTTTCATCTGTCCTCCATGATAAATTGCAATTTAATGATTGAATATTGAAGAGTTGACAGAAGAAAACATTATTCTCTTTCTATTACAGATACCTCTTCATTTTATGCGGTTACAACAGATTTTAGCAACCACGAGTAGTTTCACAAACAGATTTCATTCTTTAGGCCTAACCAGCCCATTTTACCTCTTTGGAACTTGTTTGGAAGATGGAATGAAGAACTCTCTTGGGAGTCGTAAGCTAAATAACATGGATGTCTTTCTTGGACTTCATAACTTCTCACCTCCAAACTGTCTGCATTGTTGTGAGCTTAGCTGTCATTTAGATTGTGGTTCATTTGTAACATCATATTGCCTGCTATTCACATCTCTGAGAAATGAAACAATTTCTTTTCACCCTTTCTCTCACTCTTAATGCAAACCTCTTAAAATAACTATATATAGGTCTTAAGGTTGTATTTTATGTATTTTATTTTATTTACTTATTTTTTATTTATTTTTGAGATAGAGTCTCACTCTGTCACCCAGGCTGGAGTGCAGTGGCCCGGTCTATGCTCACTGCAACTCCAGCTTCCAGGTTGACGCCATTCTCCTGCCTCAGCCTCCAGAGTAGCTGGGACTACAGGCGCCAGCCACCACGCCTGGCTAATTTTTTTTAGTATTTTTAATAGAGACAGGGTTGAACCGTGTTAGCCAGGACGGTTGGGATTTCCTGACTTCGTGATCTGCCCATCTCGGCCTCCCAACGTGTTGAGATTACAGGCGTGGGATTACAGGCCACCGCGCCCGGCCAGGTCTCAAACGTTTTTTTTATAAGACAGTGAGACCGGCCTGGCCAAAAGGGTGAAACTCCGCCTCTGCTAAAAATATGAAAATTAGCCAGGCGTCGTGGCAGATGCCTGTAAAATGAGATACTGGGGAGGCTGAGACAGGTGAATTTCTTGAATGTGGGAGGCATATGTTACACTGAGCGGAGATCCTGCCATAGCACCGCAGCCTAGGGGAAGAGAGTAAAACCCTAACATCTGAAAGAAAGAAAGAAAGAAAGGGGGGGGGGGGGAGAGAGAGAGAGAGAGAGAGAGAGAGAGAGAGAGAGAGAGAGAGGAGAGAGAGAGGAGAGAGAGGAGAGAGAGAGAAAAAAAACCTGTGAGAATTAAACTCATTAGTATCTGTGTGTCTCTTAGTGTATTACCTCTTTAAGTGCTATAAATATCAGCTGCTATTATTATTGCTTATCATGTATCTTCAATTTACTCACACCAAATTCTGCTTCATAGCATAAAAAACACATCAGAACAGTAACAGTCAGATAGTAGTGGCTATATGGAACCACAAAAGCATCAGTGTCTGTGTCAGTAATCTTTTGTAATTTACAACAAATAAGTGACCTTTTACACCTACAGATTCTGCAAACACAGATTTCTTAAAACCTAAACTGTACTCAGTGTAACAATTTAGATTTGCTTCTTATGGTAAGTAATTTGTGTTTGGCTTGTAGGAGTTTTTACAAGGTATCGAATGTGTTTAATCTATTTCTTCAATCTTCTTCTTCTTTCTTTATGAAATCATTAGATCTAATTTATATGAATGTGCTGCCTTTTTGGTTTAGTTATTTCAAGGTAAAATATTTAAGATATCTTTACCTTAGAATATTGGTTTTTAATATATGGAAATATGGAAGAGCATTTATGTGTTATATTAATTATTATTTTTTACTCAAGCAGTTTGAAATATGAGTCAGTGAAGCGGTGAGGTAATCACTAAGATTTGGCTTAACTAACAAATATTTTATTAACAGCTTCAAGATACAAATGTTTTTGACTCTATATATAATTTTTTTTGAACAGTAGAATTATTTTCTGCATGAGGGAAAAGAATTTGCTATGATTAGCATACAAATTGCCTCTATATTCATCATTACCACAGGATTTTACACCAAAAAATGTTTGTGTTCCTGCCAGTGACTGGTACATGGCTTTGGATTTCACTCATAATGTAATTATAATTGGTTTGATTGTCTATTATACTGCTTTATATTTCCTAACAGCAAAATTATTATTTCAATTTTTAAATATGCGAAAAACATTTTTGCAGTAATTGTGTGAGAATTCTTGGTAAACATAAAATTCTCTAATCTAAATATGCATTTTTTAATTAAAAATTATCTCTGACTTCAAAAAATTTGTATCATAGCTTATTCTAATTTATCATTCAGTATTAAGCTTTATCTATTCTAAACAAAATCTTTACTTATAATTTAAAAAGTGGATCAGTTTTTACATCAGATTTTGTTTCTCATGTTGATAATTCCAATAATTTGGAAGGGCAAGGAAAAAAAGGACAGTTGAGGCCAGGAATTTGGAACAGAGCTTGTCAAAATCCTGAAACACCATCTTTACAAAAAGTTTTTAAAAATGAGAAGATGTGGTGGCTTAACACTGGTAATCTTGGCACTTAATGAGGCCAAGATAGGTGGATCACTTTAGGCCTAGGATTTGAGGCCAGCCTGAGTAACACTGCAAGATTCTGACTCTAAGAAAAAAATTATCTATCTATCTATCTATCTATCTATCTATCTATCTATCTATCTATCTATCTATCTATGTTAAATAATTAGCTGAGCCTACTGGCCTTTTCTTCTAGATGTAGCTACTAACTGGGAGGCTGAGGAAGCAGGATGACATAAGTCCAGGAGTTAGAAGCTGCAGTTAGTGACGATGGCACCACTGTATTCATTCCAGCTGGAGCATAGAAAATTGTCTCTTAAGAAAAGTAAAATGGCTTTAGTCTTAAGTTAGTACAAATTATACAAGTATAGAGTGCATTATAATAACGACTTCACAACTCTTTCTGCCTTGTTTTTATTAAAAGATGTTAATAAAATGTTGCTGAACTAAAAAGTGTTTGATATACATTTTCAGAGACCTACGTATACTTGCATTTTATTTACTTCTTGACTTGACTGTGAAACTAAAGTTTCAGAGCTTTATTAGTCAATATGACATTTGTACTATATTAGTACATTTTCATGCACTTATAAAGACATACGCTAGACTGGGCAATTTATAAAAGGAAGAGTAGTTTATGGACTTAGAGATTTATGTATCTGGCAAGGCAAAGAGGAGCAAGTCACATCTTATATGATGGCAGCAAGCAAAGAGAGAGCTGGTTCAGGGATACACTGATGTTTAAAGCCATCAGATCTGATGAGACTTATTCACTATCACAAGATCAGCACAAAAAAACACCTGCCCCCACAATATGGTTACTCCCTATCTCATCCCCCTCCACCACATGTAAAAATGCAAGATAAAATTTCGATGGGGACATAGTCAAATCATATCATTCCAACCCTGGCCCCTCCAAAATCTCAAATCCTCACATTTCAGAACCAGTCATGCTTTTCCAATAGTACTGCAATGTCTTAACTCATTCAAGCATTAACTCAATAGTCCAAAGTCTGAGATTTTATCTGAGACAAGGCAAGTTTTTTCTGCCTATGAGCCTGCAAAAATTAAAGCGAGTTAGTTACATCCTAGATATAATGGGGGTACTGGCATTGGGAAAATGCAGATATTCCAAATATGAGAAACTGACCAGAATAAAGGGATTACAGGCCCTAAGTACATCTGAAATCTGATGAGGCACTAAAAATTTAAGGCTCCAGGATGATCTTCTTTAACTTAATGTCTCATATCCAGGTCATGCTGATGCAAGAGGTGGGTTTCCATGGTCTTGAGCAGATCCCCCCATGAGGCTTTATGGGGTACAGCCTTCCTCCCAACTGCTTTCACTATCTGGCATTGAGTGTCTACGGGCTTTTCTGGGCACACCATCAAGCTGTCAATGGACCAACCATTCTGAAGTCTGAAGGATGAAAACCCTCATTTCCCAGCCCCACGATCATCATCTATGTCACTACCTGTGTTTTCAATGGTAGAAATGCTGTGGCCGATGACAGGGATCAGGTATAGCTGCTGGATCACAGCATGTATTTGATAAGTAGCACCAGCGTCTTTGAGTCCCACAAATACTTTTGTTGGGTGGGGTCCAACGGGGGCAGATAGTCCCACTCAGTAAATATTTCACAAGCTGAGATAAGAAAAAAAAAAAAAAAAAAAAAAAAGCTTTCTTTGAGTTATAGAAGACGGCGTAGTATTAAATTTTCATGTGTTAAACGCAGACTTAACTGATCATTATGAGTTTACTCATTAAAAACTTTTGCACTTAAAATGATTGTATTCAATTCATTGCCATTAGAACTTTACATTAAAAAAAAATGAGAGTTTTCCCAGTTTTAAGTGAGCACTTCCTTTAAGTTATTGTTCTGACTCATAAAGCTATAACTTTCATGCAAATATCTGCTTCTTTCCTCAGCAAATAATGATAATCACTTTGCCTGCACTCAGAATTTTGTTGTGAGATGAAGTCAATGCGATGGTGTGTTTAAAATTATGGTGGAAGTGTAAATTCTTCTTTATTTAGTGTAAAACTGAATACCACTTACACGTCAATCCATCTCAGCGGTGGACTGCATAAATTAGAGCACATTGAATTGCAAGTTATGCATCTACAAACAAAATTAAATGGATCTTCATATACTGACAGATGTGTGACGAAGTACAAAGTTAACAATATAGTCTATTGTATATATTCATTTGTGTAAGAAAATAAATAAATAGCTATATATATGGATTACTGCAGGCACAGAGATAATCTCTGGAACAGGAATATAAAATTGGTGATCAGTTAATAATTGTTAGTATATATCATCCTGTATAGTGAAAATATATATATATATTAACTATGTAAAACAGTTAGCTAAAGCATTTAACAACAGCAGTGTTTGTTTAAAAACACTCATTTGCAAATATATATTTACCACGTCAATACAATCATTAAATAAATTAACAAAAAAAGTGTTTTTTAAAAGCAAATCTTTCCCTCTACATGGATCTCACAATGCAAATGAAGATTTGATCTTTTAATCAGTGAGTTAGCTGGAAACTCCTACAATGTGTTAAAAAAAAACTTACATGGAAATATATATATATATATATATATATATATATAATTTCATATTTACTTATTACAGGCCTATACTGAATATGTTTGTTAATTACGTACTTAACACTTAGTTTAATCTTGAAATACACTAAGTTTTATGTTACTGTATGTTAATTTGCTTACATTACCTCCCACTTTGAGTTTCAGTTCTGTGTAAGTTTAAACATTGCTACCTTTTTGTGGATCTTATTTGGACATTTAGAAGTAATAAAGTGCACTCAAATGTTTCCTTCTAATATCATGATTTTCAAAACCATTCCTCTTTTAGAATTTAATTAAAATAACATTAAGCAACTTCAGTGCATACATTTTAAATATAACATTTTATAGCATTAAGTTTGGCCCCTCGTTAATGTAACATTTCCGTATTTTTTCACATATGATAAAAACAACTCATGTGTTAAGTTACCAAAACCAGCTATAGGAAACCATTAAAGAAAGGCATCGTCTTCAAAAAAATTGTATTCTCTCATTAAAGTTCTTCTACTTACATACCTGATGACTACAAAATGTTGGGCTAGTTGACCAAAAACAAACAAACAAAAAAAAAGTGAGTTACTTCTTTTTCTAAATGAAAAAGTAGTATTTCAAACCAAAGTAAATGAATATTGATGAATAAAATCAGATTTATAATTTAAACTACTCACTAGTTATTGCTTTGTCTGTGTCATATATTGCAGTCAAAGAGCCTACTCTCATTTTTAGATTTTTTTACACAGTCAATAGCTGGCGCAACAAGTAGCTCAAGCTAGGATTCATGGTAGTGGGTGACCTACATCTTGGAAATGCCTGTTCTGCTGGCAGTTCTTACTTCTTATACATTGCAGGTGAACTCTTGATACAGGGAAGATGAAAACATAAATTAATTTTAGGAAGAGAAAGTAATCATAATATTATTTGTAGAAAACCTAAATTAAGAAAAACCTGTTTTCTCAAAGAAAATACCTTTATGTTTATTTGATATAATTAAACAACTCATTGTATCTTCAAACAATTTTGAATTTTCTTACCAAAAAAGATCCTTAAAAAACAACCATTTATGTCAAGAAATGTAATTAGTTTCCAAAGTTATATTTTTAAAGAAATTTCTAAAACCCCAGAGTTTTACACAAAAGAAAAATGACATTCTAAATAGACTTTCTCTTTTAATTACATATAAATGGATATACATTCATTTCCAATGAAAAGAGAATGCATTAACATTATATTATTTTTCTTGACTTATGAGACATATGAAGAAACTCATAAAAGTATGATATAGAAAATAAAGTTTTGCAAGATGGATAAGTTTCTCAATTAGAAATTCATTCAACGGCCAGACATCCTGACTCACACCTATAATCCCAGGACTTTCAGATGATGAGGCAGGCAGATTACTTGACGTCAGGAGTTTGGAACTAGCCTGGCCAACATGGTGAAACCCCATCAGCTGTGTTGGTGCACACGTGTAATCTCAGCTAATCAAATAGCTGAGGCAGCTTAATCCCTTGAAGCTGGGAAGCAGGGGTTGCAGCATGTCAAGATTGCACCACTGCACTCCAGCTGAAGACACTGTGTAAGATTCCATCCTCAAAATGAAAGAAAAGAAATTCAATCAACTGAGAATTGAAATATACTACTTATTTACTTTTTGGTGCAGTTTGTCAAAACTCTGATTTATAGTTATTTTATAAAATCTCTTAAATAAGGTGTGGCACACATTCCAAAGTTACTATAACTGCTACAAAAATGAAAGCCTTTTAATTTAAATTTAATTTAATTTAAATTTATATTAAGTTTCATGATATGTATGCAGGACATGCAGATTTATTTCACAGGTAAACGTGTGCCATGGTTGTTCACTGAACCCATTACCCCATCACCTAGGTATTTATCTCTGCATAAATTAGCTATTTGTCCTGAAGGTGTTGTTTTCCCACTTTCTTTATCCAGTCTGTCACTCATAGGCATTTGGGTTAATTCCATGACTTTGAATTTGTGAATAGTGCTGTAATACACATACACAAGCATGCGTCCTTGTAATAGAATGACTAATTTTGCAGGTACTATACACCCAGTAATGAAATTGCTGAATCCAGTGGGATTGGCATTCTGAAAGACTAAAAGTGTGAATCACCACACACTTTTCCACATTGTCTGTACTGATAGACATTCCAAAGAACAATGTAAAAACATTCCTATGACTGCACTAGCTCACTACCATCAGTTTTTTCATGGGTATTAACTTATACGATAAAGATAGCCATCAATTTTGCTTCCACAAGACACAAACATATTTGGGCATTTCTTCCATGGGGAAAAAAAAAAAAAAAAAAAAGGCGTTTACAATTGCACTTAATGGAAGGGGCCCGAAATGCTGCTCATCATCCTGCAATGCACAGCAAAAGCTCCGCACATAAAGAAATTTTATGAGTACAAAATGTCAAAATCAGAAATTCTGTTTCATTAGAAAGCTTTATAACACAGTGGAAGAGTGCTAACCTGAAGCCCAATGCCATGAATTACAGAAGTATATTCTCAGAGACTAGATGTCTGTGCAAGTAAGAGGGATAGGGTGTTTCAGTGGAAATACCAGTCTTTCAACTTTAATTTCCAAAAGATTTTGAAATATAATGATTTTCAAATAAGGTTTAAACATTCCAAATTGTAGGAGACTGAATTTTAAGTATTTCAAGATCCAATAGAAGAAAGGCATTTAAACGCAACTAGCTATGCTCCTTTTGTCATGGGATTTTGGGAGAGTCACCTTACCAATTGAAAACCTCTGTGGCCAGTGGTGCCTTTGCCTGTGTTTTCTCAGGCCTGCTAAGCTAGCTCTACCCACTCTGCCTGACAGGCTGCACTCAGCTTGCATTATGGGCCAGGATTTAACAGCTGCCAAGGGCAAACGTGAGGTAGAGTGGCAATGGTGTTTGAGCAAGTGTGGGGTCCAGCCGCTATAGACGGCCAGGCCTGCCAGCTGTTGCAAAGCAGGAAATTTTAGGTACCAACAGAAGTGCCATCTCACTGAGATGCAGCAGCTGGACCAGGCATACTGCAAGCAGCTTCCACAGCTGATACTGGGGAATGTAGTGGTGCCCAGAAGTTTCAGGATGCCAGAAACAGCAAAGCCCTAAAGAGGGTGTCACAGCCCTGGTTTTGAGATAGCCTAGCTGTCCTCTTATTTTTGTCTTTCACAATGTGATGAGCAAGAGACATGTTTTTCCCTGTTTGTGTTACAGTTCTTTCAGCACCACCATTCAGTGATTCTCAAATAATAGTTCTTTATCCAGGAAGAATGAGGTAGATGGACACGTGGAGAGTGAGACCTTTATAGACAAGATTTACTGAGGGACAGAACTCAAAAGAGATCCTGATTGGGTAGCTCTTCTCCACAGGCTGGATGTTCTGATGAGGGTCCAGCTCTCAGCGGAGAGACGGCTTTAGAGCGGGCGGCTTATCTCTACAGGCAAGTTGTCAAGGCTTAGTGTCCAGCTCTCAGCAGGAAAGAAACCCTGGACTTGGTAGCTTCTCCATCCAGCTGGTCATATTATGAGATGTTAAGCTCTCCACAGAGTGAAGACCCTGGAGTGGGTAGGTCTACTTCACACCTGGTGGTTCCAAGATTGGCTAAGACTTCAGCAAAGAGAAGACCCTCGAGTGGGTAGCTCCTCACTCTAGCTGGTCATCCCATTATCTCCCCAGCTTTCAGCAGAGACTGTGGTGGGTAGCTCCAGCCCACTGCTGATAGTCCTGACATCTCCTAAGCTTGCAGGAGAGAGATGGCCCTTGGGTAGGTAGCTCCTCTCCACGGCTGGTAGTTTGAATAGTCCTCAAATGTGGCTGAGTCCAGGAATATTATTTGCTTCAAAGGAAAGAAAGTGCTTGCTGATTGGATTATTTGGCAACAATGCATGCGTTTCAGAAAAAAGCAACAGTGGTTCCCATTCTTGTCCATCAGCCTGGAACCTGGACCTCAGGCTGTAACCGGCTTGAAGGTGGAGCCTTAGTGGGGACCAGCAAATTTATCGCCAAGAGCCTGTGATGGCTAACACTGAGTATCAATTTAACTGGATTGAGAGATACAGAGTATTAGTTTGGTATGTGTCTGTGTGAGTGTTGCCTAAAAGAGATTAACACTAGGGACAGTGGGCTGGAGAAGGTAGTTCCACCCTTAATCTGGTGGGCACAATTGCCCTGTAATTGCTCTTCTATGGAAACCACAGTCATGCAACGACAAAATTTAAATATGATGAGAATAGTTGGATCCCAGTGTGATAGGGGTCAAGTGGCACCACTCAACCATCAAAGGTAATGTGGGCACAGCGAAGGGATAGTGGCAGTCAAATAATGTGACTCCTGTAGAGCCTTGCCATTGGTTAATTAGTCACGGTGTTCGTGCAAGTGAAATTGATGGAAAGCTTACTGCATTCATACTTATGTTATACATACAGAAATCGTTGCGTCAAAAGGACAAATCACTATTCGGAATGATGAAAACAGAGAAGTACGGCCCCTCCATCAATTACCAGGCTAGAGACAGTTTAAAGACCGAGAATCCATCGAATGAAGAGGAGGCTGGGTTCCCTTGACCAAGAAACCCACAACACAACTGACTATTTATGCAGTGAATCTTTACACAATCTTTCCCCAAGAAGACCTCCAGGCTTTACCAAAGTAATTGTGTACTAGGGAAAGGGAAATAGTCAGACTTTGGAGAAACTACTGGCCACTAGCTCTGTGCTGATGTGGGTTCCAGGGGACCCAAAATGTTACTGTGGTCCTGCAGTTAAAGTAGGAGCTCAGGGAGGTCAGGTAATTAATAGTGCTTTAGCTTATTAGGTCAGATTTACAGAGTGCCCAGTGAGTCCCTGGAGTCATCCTGTGGTCATTTTCCCAGTGCTAAATTGCATAACTGGCATAGATATACTTAGCAGCTGGCAGAATCCCACATTTCCATGACCTCCAAGGTGAGGGCTACAACAATAGAAAAGGTTAAATGGAAGCCACAAGAGCTGCCCCTACCTAGAAAAATAGTAAATAAGAAATGATATCAAAACCCTGAGAAGATTGTGAAGATGGGTGCCACCATCAAAAATTTCAAAGATGCTGGATTGGTAATTACCAGCACATTCTAATTCAACTCTCCCATTTGGCCTGTGCAAAAGACAGGTGGACCTTGGATAATCACATTGGAGTATTGCAACTTAATACAGTTGTGAATCAACATGCAGCTGATATTCTAGATATGGTTTATTTTTTGAGCAAATTAATACATCTCCTGTCACATGGTATACAGCCATTCACTTGGCCAGTGCCCTTTTCTTTATTCCTGTCTATAAGGACCACCAGAGGCAATTTGCCTTCAGCTGGCAAGGCCAGCAATACACATTTATTAACCTTGCTCAGGGGTATATTAACTCTCTGGCTTCCTGTCATAATCTTACTCAGAGAGACCTTGATTGCTCTTCACTTCTGTAAAGTATCACGATGATTTCATCCATCTCATTGATGAAATTAGGCTGATTTGATGAGTGAGCAGGAAGTAGCAAGCACATTTGAATTATTGGTGAGACATTTATGTACCAGAGGATGTGAAATAAATGTGACTAAAATTCAGAGACCTTCTACCTCCGTAATGTTCCTAGAGGTCCAGTCTTGGGAAGCCTGTCAAAATATCCTTTCCAGGGTGAAGAACAAGATGTTGCGTGAGGCCCCTCTTATAACCAAGAAAGAGGCACAATACCTACTAGGCCTAGTTGGATTTTTGAAGCAGCACATTTTTTATTTGAATATGTCCCACTGGCCCACTTATTAGTGACCCAAAGGGCTGCCAGCTTTCAGGGGCATCCAAAACAGGAAAAGACTCTGCAACTACTTCAGGCTGCGTTGCAAACCCCTCTACTCTTTGGGCCATGTGAACCAGGAGATTCAATGGTGCTTGAAATTTCAGTGGCAGATAGGGATGTTGTTTGGAGCTAAATAACTGTGGCAGCAGTGTCCTGCTCATTAAATCTACTTGTCTTACCCTGTTTCCCATTATCCTGAAGGAGCTGGATAAATAGAACGGTTAGGTGGCTTTTTGAAGTTACAATTACAATGCCAACGATGTGACAATACTTTGCAGTGCTCCCACAGGTGAATCAGACCATACACCTCTAGGATTTTGAAGCAAGGCCCTGCCATTTTCTGCAGATAACTAGTATTCTTTGGAGAGACAGCTCCTGGCCCATTGCTGGGCTTTGGTGGAACATTTCAATGTTGGTCATCAAGTCACCATGTGAAGTACACTGTCTATCATGAACTTGGTGCTTTCTGACCCATCGAGTCTTAAAGTGGGTTGTGCGCAGCAGCATTTCATCATGAAATGGATGTGGTATACACGTGGCCAGGCTTAAGCAGGTCCTAAGGCACAACTAAGTTACATGAGAAAGTGGTTCAAATGCTCACGATCTCCACTGCAGCCACCCCATCTTCTCTCCTTCAGCCTATGTCAATACCCAAATGGCCAGATTTCTGACTATATAATGATTCATGGTCCATAGCCAATGGTTTGTCTGGGTGTCAGGCACTTGGTAGATGCATGATCAGAATATTGGTGAGAAAGATATTTGAGGAAGAGGTATGTGGACGGACCTTTGTGAGTGGTCAAAAGCTGTCAAAATATTTGTATTCCATGTGAGTTCTAACCAACGAGCAGCCTTAGTAGATAAAGAGTTTAATAATCAAGTGGATAAAAACACTGGTTCCAGGGACACCACTCTGCCTCTTTCCCCAGCCACCCCTGTCATTGCCCGATGGGTCCATGAACAAAGTGGCCATGGTGGCAGAAACTGAGGTTACACATGTGCTCAGCAACATGGACTTCCACTCACAAAGCCTGACCTGGCTATGGCCACTGCTGAGTGCCCAATTTGCCAGCAGCAGAGACCAAAACTGAGCCCTCAGTATGGCCCAGTTTCTTGGGGTGATCAGCCAGCTACCTGGTGACAGATTAATTATATTGGAACTCTTTCATCAAGGAAATGGCAGAGGTTTGTCCTCACTGGAATAGCCACTTACTGTGGATATGGGTTTCCCCATTCTTCATGCAATGCTTCTGATAAGACTACCATTCATGAACTCACAAAATGCCATATTCACCATTACAGTATTCCACACAACATTTCCTCTGACCAGTGCACTAACTTTACAGCTAAAGAAATGTGGCAGTGGGCTCCTGCTCATTAAATCTGCTGGTCTTACCATGTTTCTCATTATCTTGAAGCAACTAAATTAATAAGATTGTGAAGTGGCCTTTTGAAGTTACAATTGCAATGCCAACTATGTGACAATACTTTGCAGGGCTGTGGCAAAGTTCTCCAGAAGACCATATGTTCTCTGAATCAGCATCCAATATATGGCATTGTTACTTCTGTAGCCAAAATTCGCTGGTCCAGGAATCAAGCAATAGAAGTAGAAATTTCACCACTCACTATCGCTCCTGGTGTTTCACCAGCAACATTTCTGTTTCCTGTTTCTTATGATATTATGTTCTGCTGGCCTAGAGGTCTTAGCTCCCCGAGGAAAAGCGCTGCCACCAGATGAAACAATAATGATTCCATTAAACTGGAAGTCAAGATTGTCACCTGGACACTTGGGCCTCCTCCTACCTTTACGTCAGCATTGTAAAAAGGCAGTTACAGTGTTGACTGGGTTGATTGACCTGAACTATCAAGATGAAATCAGCCTACTCCTCCACAATGGAGGGAAGAAAGAGTGTGGCATAAAATACAGAAGATGCATTAAGATGTGTTCCAGAATTACCATGACGTGCGATTAAGGTCAGTGGAAAACTACAACAGCCCAATTCTGACCGGGCTACAGTTGGATCAGACCCTTCAGGTATTAAGGTTTGGGTCACTCACCAGGGTAACAACAACAAAAGGAACAACAACAACAAAACAATAAAAACCGCAACCTGCTGAGGTGCTTGAGGAAGACAAAAGGAAGGCAGAATGGGTGTTAGAAGAAGTTAGTCATCCATATCCGCTATAAACAAGTGACCAGCTGCAGAAATGAGGACGTTAATTGTCTTAAGTATTTCCTCCTTCTTTTGTTAAAAAAAAAGTTTGTGCATGTATACACATGTACTAAGAAAATATTTTTTTTATTTTCCTTTATCATGCTACGTAAGATTTATTGAGTTCTTATCAACATTTGTGTATTGTAAACTTTATGAAATAGTGTTTGGATTGGGGATTGCTGCATTCCTGGCTGTAAGAGGATAATTGTATTATGTTAGGTGTAATTATTACCTCATTTCTGTCTGCATTTGAAGATTATGTATTATAGCAGGAGATGTGATTTGATTCGAGTTAACAAGGGGTGGACTTGTGATGGTTAACACTGAGTGTCTCATTCATTGGATTGAGGGATACAGAGTATTAATCGTGGATGAGTTTCTTGGGTGGTTCCCCCCCCCCAAAAATTAACATTTGAGTCAATGGGAAGATCTACATTAATCTGATGGGCACAATCTCATGAGCTTCTAGCGAACATCAAGCAGACAGAAACATGTCAAAAAGCGAGATGGGACTAGCTTCCAAAGCATACATCTTTCTTCTATACTGGATACTTTTTCTCTCAGACAGTGGACTCCAAGTTCTTCCAGGTTTGGGACTCAGACTTGCTCTCCTTGTTCCTCAGCTTGCAGGCAGCCTATTGTGATCATGTACGTAAGTACTTATAACCTCCCCTAAATATTTATATATACATATACACAGGCACACACACACACTCACACATATACATGCATATATAAAAATATATAAAGGGATGGAAAATAAAAGAGTTTGTAAGTATTTTCAAAAAGCTTTCTTTTTTTATTATACTTTAAGTTTTAGGGTACATGTGCACAATGTGCAGGCTAGTTACATATGTATACATGGGCCATGTTGGTGTGTTGCACCCATTAACTCGTCATTTAACATTAGGTATATCTCCAAATGCTATCCCTCCCCACGCCCCCCACCCCAAAACAGGCTCTGGTGTGCGATGTTCCCCATCCTGTGTCCATGTGTTCTCATTGTTCAACTCCCAGCTATGAGTGAGAACATGCGGTGTTCGGTTTTTTGTCCTTGCGATAGTTTGCTGAGAATGATGGTTTACAGCTTCATCCGTGTCCCTACAAAAGATATGAACTCATAATTTTTTATAGCTCCATAGTATTCCATGGCACATACGTGCCACATTTTCTTAATCCAGTCTATCATTGTTGGGCATTTGGCTTGGTTCCAAGTCTTTGTTATTGTGAATAGTGCCGCAATAAACATACGTGTGCATGTGTCTTCATAGCAGCATGATTTATAATCCTTTGGGAATATGCCCAGCAATGGGATGGCTGGGTCAAATGGTATTTCTAGCTCTAGATCCCTGAGGAATCACCGCACTGACTTCCACAATGGCTGAACTAGTTTACAGTCCCACCAACAGTGTAAAAGTGTTACTATTTCTCCACATCCTCTCCAGCACCTGCTGTTTCCTGACTTTTTCATGATCGCCATTCTAACTGGTGTGAGATGGTATCTCATGGTGGTTTTGATTTGCATTTGTCTGATGGCCAGTGATGATGAGCATTTTTTCATGCATTTTTTGGCTGCATAAATGTCTTCTTTTGAGAAGTGTCTGTTCATGTCCTTTGCCCACTTTTTGATGGGGTTGTTTATTTTTTTCTTGTAAATTTGTTGGTGTTCATTGTAGATTCTGGATAGTAGCCCTTTGTCAGATGAGTAGGTTGTGAAAATTTTCTCCCATTCTGTAGGTTGCCTCTTCACTCTGATGGTAGTTTCTTTTGCTGTGCAGAAGCTCTTTAGTTTAAAGAGATCCCATTTGTCAATTTTGGCTTTTGTTGGCATTGCTTTTGGTGTTTTAGACATGAAGTCCTTGCCCATGCCTATGTCCTGAATGGTATTGCCTAGGTTTTCTTCTAGGGTCTTTATGGTTTTAGGTCTAACATTTAAGTCTTTAATCCATCTTGAATTAATTTTTGTATAAGGTGTAAGGAAGGGAGCCAGTTTCAGCTTTCTACATATGGCTAGCCTGTTTTCCCAGCACCATTTATTAATTAGGGAATCCTTTCCCCATTGCTTGTTTTTCTCAGGTTTGTCAGATAGTTGTAGATATGTAAGATTATTTCTGAGGGCTTGGTTCTGTTCCATTGATCTATATCTCTGTTTTGGTACCAGTAACATGCTGTTTTGGTTGCTGTAGCCCTGTAATAGAGTTTGAAGTCAGGTAGCATGATGCCTCTGGCTTTGCTCTTTTGGCTTAGGATTGACTTGGTGATGCAGGCTCCTTTTTGATTCCATATGAACTTTAAAGTTTTTTCCAATTCTGTGAAGAAAGTCATTGGTAGCTTGATGGGGATGGCATTGAATCTATAAATTACCTCGGGCATTATGGCCTTTTTCACGATATTGATTCTTCCTACCCATGAGCATGGAATGTTCTTCCATTTCTTTGTATCCTCTTTTATTTCATTGCGCAGTGGTTTGCAGTTCTCCTTGAAAAGGTCCTTCACATCCCTTGTAAGTTGGATTCCTGGGTATTTTATTCTCTTTGAAGCAATTGTAAATGGGAGTTCACTCATGATTTGGCTCTCTGTTTGTCTGTTATTGGTGTATAAGAATGCTAGTGATTTTTGTGCATTGATTTTGTATCCTGAGACTTTGCTGAAGTTGCTTATCAGCTTAAGGAGACTTTGGGCTGAGACAATGAGGTGTTCTAGATATACAATCATGTCATCTACAAACAGGCACAATTTGACTTCCTCTTTTCCTAATTGAATACCCTTTATTTCCTTCTCCTGCCTAATTGCCCTGGCCAGAACTTCCAATACTATGTTGAATAGGAGTGGTGAGAGAGGGCATCCCTGTCTTGTGCCACTTTTCAAAGGGAATGTTTCCAGTTTTTGCCCATTCAGTATGATATTGGCTGTGGGTTTGTCCTAGATAGCTCTTATTAATTTGAGATACGTCTCATCAATACCTAATTTATTGAGAGTTTTTTGTATGAAGGATTGTTGAATTTTGTCAAAGGCCTTTTCTGCATCTATTGAGAGAATCATGTGGTTTTTGTCTTTGGTTCTGTTTATATGCTGGATTACATTTATCGATTTGCATATGTTGAACCAGGCTTGCATCCCAGGGATGAAGCCCACTTGATCATGGCGGCTATGCTTTTTGATGTGCTGCTAGATTCGCTTTGCCAGTAATTTATTGAGGATTTTTGCAACAACGTTCATCAAGGATATTGGTCTAAAATTCTCTTTTTTGGTTGTGTCTCTGCCAGGCTTTGGTATCAGGATGATGCTGGCCTCATAAAATGAGTTAGGGAAGATTCCCTCTTTTTCTATTGATTGGAATGGTTTCAGAAAGAATGGTACCAGCTCCTCCTTGTAGGTCTGGTAGAATTCGGCTGTGAATCCATCTGGTCCTGGACTTTTTTTGGTTGGTAAGCTCTTGATTATTGCCACAATATCAGAGCCTGTTATTGGTCTATTCAGAGATTCAACTTCTTCCCTGTTTAGTCTTGGGAGGGTGTATGTGTCGAGGAATTTATCCATTTCTTCTAGATTTTCAAGTTTATTTGTGTAGAGGTGTTTATGGTATTCGCTGATGGGAGTTTGTATTTCTGTGGGATCAGTGGTGATATCCCCTTTATCATTTTTTATTGCATCTGTTTGGTTCTTCTCTCTTTTCTTCTTTATTAATCTTCCTAGCAGTCTACCAATTTTGGTGATCTTTTCAAAAAAACAGCTCCTGGATTCGTTAATTTTTTGAAGTGTTTTTTGTGTCTCTATTTCCTTCAGTTCTGCTCTGATCTTAGTTATTTCTTGCCTTCTGCTAGCTTCTGAGTGTGTTTGCTCTTGCTTCTCTAGTTCTTTTAATTGTGATGTTAGGGTGTCAATTTTGGATCTTTCCTGCTTTCTCTTGTGGGCATTTAGTGCTATAAGTTTCCCTGTACCCACTGCTTTGAATGTGTCCCTCAGATTCTGGTATGTTGTGTCTTTGTTCTCGTTGGTTTCAAAGAACATCTTTATTTCTGCCTTCATTTCGTTATGTACACAGTAGTCATTCAGGAGCAGGTTGTTCAGTTTCCATGTAGTCGAGCGGCTTTGGGTGAATTTTCTAATCCTGAGTTCTAGTTTGATTGCACTGTGGTCTGAGAGACAGTTTGTTGAGATTTCTGTTCTTTTACATTTGCGGAGGAGTGCTTTACTTCCAACTATGTGGTCAGTTTTGGAATAGGTGTGCTGTGGTGCTGAAAAAAATGTATATTCTGTTGATTTGGGGTGGAGAGTTTTGTAGCTGTCTACTAGGTCCGCTTGGTGGAGAGCTGAGTTCAATTCCTGCGTAGCCTTGTTAAATTCCTGTCTCGTTGATCTGTCTAATGTTGACAGTGGGGTGTTAAAATCTCCCATTATCATTGTGTGGGAGTCTATGTCTCTTTGTAGGTCACTAAGGACTTGCTTTATGAATCTGGGTTCTCCTGTATTGGGTGCATATATATTTAGGATAGTTAGCTCATCTTTTTGAATTGATCCCTTTACCATTATATAATGGCCTTCTTTGTCTCTTTTGATCTTTGTTGGTTGAAAGTCTGTTTTAGCAGAGACTAGGATTGCAACCCCTGCCTCTTTTTTGTTTTCCATGTGCTTGGTAGATCTTCCTCCATCCCTTTATTTTGAGCCTATGTGTGCCTCTGTATGTGAGACGGGTTTCCAGAATACAGAGCACTGATGGTCTTGACTCTTTTTCCAATTTGCCAGTCTGTATCTTTTAATTGGGGCATTTAGCCCACTTACATTTAAAGTTAATATTGTTATGTGTGAATTCGGTCCTGTCATTATGATGTTAGCTGGTTATTTTGCTCATTAGTCAATGCAGTTTCTTCCTAGCCTTGATGGTCTTTACATTTTGGCACGTTTTTGCAGTGCCTGGTACCGGTTGTTCCTTTCCATGTTTAATGCTTCCTTCAGGAGCTCTTGTAGGGCAGGCCTGGTGGTGACAAAATCTCCCAGCATTTGCTTGTCTGTAAAGGATTTTATTTCTCCTTCACTTATGAAGCTTAGTTTGGCTGGATATGAAATTCTGGGTAGAAAATTCTCTTCTTTAAGAATGTTGAATATTGGCCCCCACTCTCTTCTGGCTTGTAGGCTTTCTGCCAAGTGATCAGCTCTTAGTCTGATGGGCTTCCCTTTGTGGGTAACCCGTCCTTTCTCTCTGGCTGCTCTTAACATTTTTTCCTTCATTTCAACTTTGGTGAATCTGACAATTATGTGTCTTGGAGTTGCTCCTCACGAGGGGTATCTTTGTGGCATTCTATGTGTTTCCTGAATCTGAATGTTGGCCTGCCTTGCTAGATTGGGGAAATTCTCCTGGATGATATCCTGCAGAGTATTCCAACACTCAGTTGGAAACCAAGTTTCCAACTTGGTTCCATTCTCCCCGTCACTTTCAGGTACACCAATCAGAAGTAGATTTGGTCTTTTCACATACTCCCATATTTCTTGGAGGTTTTGTTCATTTCTTGTTATTCTTTTTTCTCTAAACTTCCCTTCTCTCTTCATTTCATTCATTTCATCTTCCATCACTGATACTCTTTCTTCCAGTTGATCGCATTGGTTCCTGAGGCTTGTGCATTCATCACGTAGTCCTTGTGCCTTGGCTTTCAGCTCCATCAGCTCCTTTAAGGACTTCTCTGCACTGGTTATTCTAGATATCCATTCGTCTAATTTTTTTCAAAGTTTTTAACTTCTTTGCCATTGGTTTGAATTTCCTCCTGTAGCTCAGAGTAGTTCGATCATCTGAAGCCTTCTTCTCTCAACTGGTCAAAGTCATTCTCCATCCAGCTTCGTTGCATTGCTGGTGAGGAGCTGTGTTCCCTTGGAGGAGGAGAGGCACTCTGCTTTTTAGAGTTTCCAGTTTTTCTGCTCTGTTTTTTTTCCCCATCTTTGTGGGTTTTTTTTCTACTTTTGGTCTTTGATAATGGTGACGTACAGATGGGGTTTTGGTGTGGATGTCCTTTCTGTTTGTTAGTTTTCCTTCTAACAGACACAACCCTCAGCTACTGCTCTGTTGGAATTTGCTAGAGGCCCACTCCAGACCCTGTTTTCCTGGGTATCAGCAGTGGTGGCTGCAGAACAGCGGTGGCTATAGAACGGCAGATATTGGTGTCTGTAGAACAGCAGATATTGGTGATCCACAAATGCTGCTGCCTGATCGTTCCTCTGGAAGTTTTGTCTCAGAGGGGTACCTGGCCTTGTGACGTGTCAGTCTGCCCCTACTGGGGGATGCCTTCCACTTAGGCTGCTCGAGGGTCAGGGACCTACTTGAGGAGGCAGTCTGCCCGTTCTCAGATCTCCAGCTGTGTGCTGGGAGAACCACTACTCTCCTCAAAGCTGTCAGACTGGGACATTTAAGTCTGCAGAGGTTACTGCTGTCTTTTTGTTTGTCTGTGTCCTGCCCCCGGAGGTGGAGCCTGCAGAGGCAGGCAGGCCTCCTTGAGCTACGCTGGTCTCTGCCCAGTTCGAGCATCCCAGCTGCTTTGTTCGCTTAATCAAGCCTGGGCAATGGCAGGCGCCCCTCCTCCAGCCTCACTGCCACCTTGCAGTTTGATCTCAGACTGCTGTGCTAGCAATCAGCGAGACTCCATGGGCATAGGACCCTCCGTGCCATGGGCGTAGGACCCTCCATGCCATGTGCGGGATATAATCTCCTGGTGTGCCGTTTTTTAAGCCCATTGGAAAAGTGCAGTATTAGGGTGGGAGTGACAGGATTTTCCAGGTGCCATCTGTCACCCCTTTCTTTGACTAGGAAAGGAAACTCCCGGACCACTTGCACTTCCCGAGTGAGGCAATGCCTCGCTCTGCTTCAGCTCACACCCGGTGCATGGCACCCACTGTCCTGCACCCACTGCCTGGCACTCTCTAGTGAGATGAACCCAGTACCTCAGGTGGAAATGCAGGAATCACCCGTCTTCTGCGTCACTCACACGGGGAGCTGTAGACCAGAGCTGTTCCTATTCGGCCATCTTGGCTCCACCCTTTAATCCATCTTGAATTAATTTTTGTATAAGGTGTAAGGAAGGGATCCAGTTTCAGCTTTCTACATACGGCTAGCCAGTTTTCCCAGCACCATTTATTAAATAAGGAATAATTTCCCCATTTCTTGTTTTTGTCAGGTTTATCAAAGATCAGATGGTTGTAGATATGTGGCATTATTTCTGAGGGCTCTGTTCTGTTCCATTGGTCTATATCTCTGTTTTGGTACCAGTTCCATGCTGTTTTGCTTACTGTAGCCTTGTAGTATAATTTGAAGTCTGGTAGCGTAATGCCTCCAGCTTTGTTCTTTTGACTTAGGATTGTCTTGGCAATGTGGGCTCCTTTTGCTTCCGTATGAACTTCAAAGTAGATTTTCCCAATTCTGTGAAGAAAGTCATTGGTAGCTTGATGGGGATGGCATTGAATCTATAAATTACCTTAGGCAGTGTGGCCATTTTCACGATATTGATTTTTCCTACCCATGGGCATGGAATGTTCTTCCATTTGCTTGTATCCTCTTTTATTTCATTGAGCAGTGGTTTGCAGTTCTCCTAGAAGATGTCTTTCACATCCCTTGTAAGTTGGATTCCTAGGTATTTTATTCTCTTTGAAGCAATTGTGAATGGGAGTTCACTCATGATTTGGTCCTCTGTTTGTCTGTTATTGGTGTTTAAGAATGCTTGTGACTTTTGCACATTGATTTTGCATCCTGAGACTTTGCTGAAGTTGCCTATCAGCTTAAAGAGATTTTGGGCTGAGACGATGGGGTTTTCTAGATATACAATCCTATCATCTGCAAACAGGGGCAATTGGACTTCCTCTTTTTCTAATTGAATACACTTTGTTTACTTCTCCTGCTTGATCGCCCTGGTCAGAACTTCCAACTCTATGTTGAATAGGAGTGGTGAGAGAGGGCATCCCTGTCTTGCTCCAGTTTTCAAAGGGAATGCTTCCAGTTTCTGCCCATTCAGTATAACAGTGGCTGTGGGTTTATCATAGATAGCTCTTATTATTTTGAGATACATCCCATCAAGACCTAATTTATTGAGACTATTTAGCATGAAAGAATGTTGAATTTTGTCAAAGGACTTTTCTTCATCTGTTAAGATAATCATGTGGTTTTTGTCGTTGCTTCTGTTTATATGCTGGATTACATTTATCAATTTGCGTATGTTGAACCAGCCTTGCATCCCAGGCATAAAGCCCACTTGATCATGGTGGATAAGCTGTTCGATGTGCTGCTGGATTCGGTTTCCCAGTATTTTAGTGAGGATTTTTTCATCAATCTTCATCAGAGATATTGGTCTAAAGTTACCTTTTTTTGTTGTTGTGTCTCTGCCAGCCTTCAGTATCAGGATGATCCTGGCCTCATAAAATGAGTTAGGGAGGATTCCTTCTTTTTCTCTTGATTGGAATAGTTTCAGAAGGAATGGTACCAGCTCCTCCTTGGAGGTCTGGTAGAATTCGTCTGTGAATCCATCTGGTTCTGGACTTTTTTTGATTGGAAAGCTATTAATTATTTTCTCAATCTCAGAGCCTGTTATTGGTCTATTAAGAGATTCAAGTTTTTCCTGGTTTAGACTTG
Source organism: Homo sapiens (assembly GCF_000001405.40). NCBI lineage: Eukaryota > Metazoa > Chordata > Mammalia > Primates > Hominidae > Homo > Homo sapiens. The sequence goes on from NC_000024.10 coordinate 18,013,034, forward strand.
GGAGGTTGTATGTGTTGAGGAATTTATCCATTTCTTCTAGATTTTCAAGTTTATTTGTGTAGAGGTGTTTACGGTATTCACTGATGGTAGTCTGTATTTCTGTGGGATCTGTGGTGATATCCCCTTTATCATTTTTTATTGTGTCTATTTGATTCTTCTCTCTTTTCTTCTGTATTTGTCTTGCTAATGGTCTATGAATTTTGGTGAAGTTTTCAAAAAACCAGCTCCCGGATTCATTGATTTTTGGATGGGTTTTTTGTGTCTCTATCGCCTTCAGTTCTGCTCTGATCTTAGTTATTTCTTGCCTTCTGCTAGCTTTTGAATGTGTTTGCTCTTGCTTCTCTAGTTCTTTTAATTGTGACGTTAGGGTGTCAATTTTAGATCTTTCCTGCTTTCTCTTGTGGGCATTTAGTGCTATAAATTTCCCTCTACACACTGCTTTGAATGCATCCCAGAGATTCTGGTGTGTTGCGTCTTTGTTCTCAAAGACACATCCTTGAGATGCTGTTTGTTGGTTTCAAAGAACATCTTTATTTCTGGCTTCCTTTCGTTATGTACACAGTAGTCATTCAGGAAGAGATGGTTCAGTTTCCATGTAGTTGAGCGGTTTTGAGTGAATTTTCTAATCCTGAGTTTTAGTTTGATTGCACTGTGGTCTGAGAGAGTTTTTTGTAATTTCTGTTCCTTTACATTTGCTGAGGAGTCCTTTACTTCCAACTGTGTGGTCAGTTTTGGAATAGGTGTGGTGTGGTGCTGTAAAGAATGTATATTCTGTTGATTTGGGGTGGAGAGTTCTGTATATGTCTATTACGTCAGCTTGGTGCAGAGCTGAGTTCAATCTTGGATATCCCTGTTAACTTTGTCTGTCTAATTTTGATGGTAGGGTGTTAAATTCTCCCACTATTATTGTGTGGGAGTCTAAGTCTCTTTGTATGTCTCTAAGGACTTGCTTTATAAATCTGGGTGCTCGTGTACTGGGTGCATATATATTTAGGATAGTTAGCTCTTCTTGTTGAATTGATCCCTTTACCATTATGTAATGGCCTTCTTTGTCTCTTTTGATCTTTGTTGGTTAAAAGTCTGTTTTACCAGAGTCTAGGCTTGCAACCCGTGTCTATTTTTGTTTTCCATTTGCTTGGTAGATCTTCCTCCATCCCTTTATTTTGAGCCTATGTGTGTCTCTGTACGTGAGATGGGTTTCCTGAATAGAGCACACTGATGGGTCTTGACTCTCTATCCAATTTGCCAGTCTGTGTCTTTTCATTGGAGCATTTAGCCCATTTACATTTAAGGCTAATATTGTTATGTGTGAATTTGGTTTTGTCATTAAGATATTAGCTGGTTATTTTACTCACTAGTTGATGCAGTTTCTCCCTAGCCTCGGTGGTCTTCACAATTTGGCATGTTATTGCAGTGGTTGCTACTGGTTGTTCCTTTCCATGTTTAGCACTTCCTTCAGGAGCTCTTGTAGGGCAGGCCTGGTGATGACAAAATCTCCCAGCATTTGCTTTTCTGTAAAGGATTTTATTTCTCCTTCACTTATGAAGCTTAGTTTGGCTGGATATGAAATTCTGGGTAGAGAATTCTTTTCTATAAGAATGTTGACTATTGGCCCCCACTCTCTTCTGGCTTGTAGAATTTCTGCCAAGAGATCAGCTGTTAGTCTGATGGGCTTCCCTTCGTGGATAAGCCGACATTTTTCTCTGGCTGCCCTTAACATTTTTTCCTTCATTTCAACTTTGGTGAATCTGACAATTATGTGTCTTGGAGCTGCTCTTCTCGACGAGTGTCTTTGTGGTGTTCTCTGCATTTCCTGAATCTGAATGTTGGCCTGCCTTGCTAGATTGGGGAACTTCTCGTGGATAATATCCTGCAGTGCTTTCCAACTTGGTTCCATTCTCCCCATCACTTTCAGGTACACCAATCAGACGTAGATTTGGTCTTTTCACATAGTCCCATATTTCTTGGAACCTTTGTTCATTTCTTTTTATTCTTTTTTCTGTGAACTTCTCTTCTCACTTCACTTCATTCATTCGATCTTCCATCACTGATACCCTTTCTTCCAGTTGATCAAATCAGCTACTGAGGCTTGTGCATTCATCACGTTTTTCTTGTACCTTGGTTTTCAGCTCCATCACATCCTTTAAGGACTTCTCTGCATTGGTTATTCTAGTTAGCCATTCGTCTATTTTTTTTCAAGGTTTTCAACTTCTTTGCCATGGGTTCGATCTTCCTCCTTTAGCTCAGAGTAGTTTGATCATCTGAAGCCTTTTTCTCTCAAATAGTCAAAGTCATTCTCCGTCCATCTTTGTTCCATTGCTGGTGAGGAGCTGTGTTCCTTTGGAGGGGGAGAGGTGCTCTGATTTTTAGAGCATCCAGTTTTTCTGCTCTATTATTTCCCCATCTTTCTGGTTTTATCTATCTTTGGTCTTTGGTGATGGTGACGTACAGATGGGGTTTTGGTGTCCATGTCCTTTCTGTTTGTTAGTTTTCCTTCTAACAGTCAAGACCCTCAGCTGCAGGTCTGTTGAGTTTGCTGAGGTCCACTGCAGACCCTGTTTTCATGGGTATCAGCAGCGGAGGCTGCAGAACAGCGGATATTGGTGAACAGCAACTGGTGCTGCCTGATCATTCCTCTGGAATTTTTGTCTCAGGGGAGTACCTGGCCATGTGAGGTGTCAGTCTGCCCCTACTGATGGGTGCCTCCCAGTTAGGCTACCAGGGGGCCAGGGACCCACTTGAGGAGGCAGTCTGTCTGTTCTCAGATATCCATCTGCGTGCTGGGAGAACCACTACACTCTTCAAAGCTGTCAGACAGGGACATTTAAGTCTGCAGAGGTTTCTGCTGCCTTTTGTTTGGCTGTGCCCTGCCCCCACAGGTGGAGTCTACAGAAGCTGGCAGGCCTCCTTGAGCTGTGGTGGGCTCCACTGGGTTCGAACTTCCCAGCTGCTTCATTTACCTACTCAAGCCTTGGCAATGGTGGACGCCCTCCCCCAGCCATGCTGCCACCTTGCAGTTTGATCTCAGATTGCTGTGCTAGCAATGAGCGAGGTTCCAACAGTGTAGGGCCCTCTGATGCAGGCATGGGATATCTTCTTCTGGTGTGCCATTTGCTAAGACCATTAGAAAAGCACAGTACTAGGGTGAGAGTGACCTGATTTTCCAGGTGCCCCTTTCTTTGACTAGGAAAAGGAATTCCCTGACCCCTTTTGCTTCCCGGGTGAGGTGATGCCTCACCTTGCTTCAGGTCACAATTGATGCACTGCACCCACTGTCCTGCCCCACTTCCCAGCACTCCCAGTGAGATGAACCTGGTACCTCAGTTGGAAATGGAGAAGTCACCCATCTTCTTCCTTCAGGTTTTGAGCTGATCACTATCCCTAGGATACAATCAAAAAACATTATTTGAATAAATATTAAAACTATAAACCTTCTTTTAATAAGTCAGCTTGTTTGATGGTGATGCCATAAACTAATTCCATAAAAAAAATCCTGACATATATACACAATACACATGTGCGTATGTGCTTCAGTGGTCCATATGCATCTATGTTAAAAAAAAAAAAAAAAAAAACCTTTAAAGTACTTATTTTCCTATTTACTTACTTACAAGGCTCTTGAACATATATCAGAGTAATTATTTAACAAACGGTTACCAATTAGTAAATACTCTTCATTTCTTTAAAAACAAAGGTGTATTATGTCTTCTTAGAGAATGACAATTTAGACTTTCAGAAATATTTAGTAAATAGTGGTTCTGCAATCATTGTAAAATGTACCCATCAAATTCAGGTTTAAATTTAAGTGATCTATAAAGCTTAACTTCCTTAGTGAAAAAGCTGTTACAGGTAATAATAGTGATAGTAACACTAATAATAATAAAACAGTGCCAGCACTTTGAAAAATCAGGTCAGTCACAGATTTCAATAAATATTCCTCTTTCACTACAAATTTTAGCTGAACAACTTTGTTTCTACAAATAATGCCAGCTTCTGTGCACAACTTAATGTCTGTTAATGCCTCAATTTCACAATCTCTGCATTGTTCCAAGAATGTGTCTAAACAGCAGAGCTCTCCCTTAGTATATTAAGCAAAAAAAAAAATAAACTTGCCGTTTCCTTTTAGGTGTTCAATGGCATTTTATTAACCTTGGAGAAAAAGCAAGCCCTATATGGGTAGGAGTTCTGCCTCATGGAGAAGGCCCTAGCATCAGCAACAGAGCCTACATCTCAGGCGCTAAGTAGGAACTAAGGAAACGGTGTAAATCTGGATAATTACCATGTTGCTGCTACTTGCTAATGTTCTGAAACAAATTTTTGATTGAAATGAGAAAGATTTTCCACTGTAGAAATTCACCTCCTTTTGGATTTATCTTAACATTTTCAGAAATTGTTCCTATTACATCAGTTTCCTCATTCATTGATTTTTATTTTCTCTTATTGTCTAATATGCATTTTTTGTGAATGCATACTTTTATTACGTTGGCAAAGAACTAATGATTCTGATCAAAGCTGTCCACTATGCAAACTTCTATCAAATAATTTTTTTAAAAGTAGGAGATACTTGAATATTGGTTCTACTAAACAACTTTAGCAAAATTGAAAATCCTATAACCCCAGCTATAATCCTTGCAAACTTTGTTTCCATTTGACTTGCTTATTGTAATATCCCAGGATCATTCATGACTATATTATGACTAGGATCATTCATGACTGTATTATGGATACACATTGTGCTTTCTGAACGCACAATGTGTATCCATAATATAGTGTGCCAATGCACCTGTATGCACGTGTATTATTTATGCCTTTCAACTGTATGAAAGATTAGCTCCATCCCAAATACCATTCATTGAGATTTCTCCCTTGGTACCTCCAAAACAGAGGCTGACTAGGGTTTTATTTTTTCACACTCATGTTTTACAAAAATATTGAAAAAGCAATTGGAAGGAAAAGCAGAGAAATAAGAAATATATCATTTAGTTTCTAATCATTGATTAACTGAACTGACCTTACTTTACTAATGTTTACCCTAAGTTGAATCAATGGAACTTATGTACACTTTTTCAAATCCTTCTGCTATACGGAAACCAAACTTGGAGTTAAGAAATCTTCAAAATATAACATCAAAGAGTTCTAAATGTGAGCTTTTAAAAATAATTTTCTCGAGAGATATTTCAACACTGTTAACTTCTCAAAGGTGCCTGAGACTCAAGATTTTAGGATATTTAGCAGCATTTCTAACCTCTCAGCAATAGATGCTAGTAACAACCTTACCAATTCTACTTTGAGTCACAAACCAGGGTTAGGGTGAAGTCTAAAGTAAAATCTGAAGACCTATAAAAACCCTAGAAAATCACATGGACTGTCTGTTACCTCTATGAGCTCATCCTCTATAATTTTCCCCCTTCTACAGCCTGCTGCAGCCACAGGGAGCTGGCTTTTTAAAAACAATTTATACAGCCTTCCACCAGGAATCATTGTACTTATTGATCTTGCTGCATGCTTACATTATTTTCTTATTATTTTCTTTAGACAATTATTTGAAAGTCACTTTGTAAGCCACTTATTGTATGTTTGTTTTACAAAAACCAAAATGTACTTTATAACAGAGAATCTTACCTCATACATTTTATACAAAATTGATAATTTCACTTAATAAAAAAACAAAAACTTTATAAAATGACCACTAAAACAAAAACCTAACACCGGGGATTGCAAATTGGAAATGTAACATTCACTTTAAGTGTTTTAAACAAGAGACAAAACATAAACCTCATAAATAACAATAAACTCTGAAATTAGAAAACACTCAGTGCTTCGCAGATAAAAATAAAAGTAAAACGGCAGGGATGGCAGTTTCAAACCATTCCAAAAAAAAAAAAAAAAGTTTCAAACCATCAAAAACAGTCTGGACCCTGAAAATCAATAGTTTATATAAACCAAGTAAACATTTAATCCAGAAAGACAATTATAAAATGGTGAAGTTTTTTTTTCTTTAAGGATTTTCATATCACCTCCTAGGCACAGATGAAGCCTACAGAATTGAAATCCCCATTGTCAAAATGAGGACCTGATTCCTGCTTCTCATAAAAGCAAAGAAACCCTTATGTGCTAAATTATTGTGTTTTTTTTTCCCAGTCTTTCTAGAGGATATATGAAAATTTGATAAAATAAACATTTATTTCTCCTTTGCCTAACTCAGAAGTCACTCTCGGTCGGAAATGCCAGGAATTGGTCACAAACATTTAAGTTGCTGAGTACAAAAAATACTGTGTGCACAGATAAAATCAGAGAAAGTAATATAAATTGAGAAGGATGGAAAACTACAAGAGCAGCATATTTTTATACTGCTGACCTTAAACATTAAATTATTCACACAAGTTAGTATTCTTCATAGTAGGCTATTTTAAGTTTTCAATAATAATTGAAATCCCAAGTACATCAAATTGTAATATGAAAAATACAACAGCAGTTTTTAAAAATTATCCAGATTTTTTAAATGAGCAAAAAAGAAATTGAGGATCAAGCAAGAGAAAGCGCATATGGAAAACATGTAAGTCCATGTCAGAGTATGTAATATTTTACTTGTAAGAACTGTAAATGTGAGCTCTTGCTTAAAAAGGCACACATTGTTGCAAGTGTACCCTTAAACGAAGGAGTCACTTTTGTGACTTCTATGCAAGGCATACTTCAGGTGCAAAGACAAATAGGTCGAAGTAAAATAATACTAGATTCTGGGAAAGTTCTGCAATGTACAAGGGATCACTGTATATCTGTCCCTTCAACTATACAATGGGTGCAGTGGCAGGATTACTATGATGCAATTACTATAGAATTCCGAGTCTACCTGAAGGTTTACAGCTTCCAAAAAAAGATTTGTAAAGTAAATAAAAATTAAATTTTATCAATTTTGTAGCACAGATCAACAGCAGCTACTTATTCTTTAATAACCACCACTGTGGGATGCTGCCTTGCAAATATTTCTGGAGCAGCTTACAAGAGCCATGGCAAACAAAAAGGACCCTGTCCTCCAAATCTCAGGAGGACTCATTTGCCGATTGCTGCTTCTGCTTATGGAGGTCCCAACAGAGGTGAATAGTCATTATTATATTCCCCAAATATTATGCAGGCTCTTTGTCCCTCTGTGCAACCAACTTTCAATAGATTTAAAAAGTGAAAATATTTTTTCCTGATTGTTCTTCTTTTTCTCTTAAGACATTTGTAGACTAAAACATTCAAAATTAATCATACACACACACACACACACACACACACACACACACACACATATATATGTAATGAATTGTGGTTTTAACGATATGTGCCTCAAAACAATGTGCCTCAAAAGAGACCCAAGACGAAGCTCAGTACAGCTGATTTACAGGAGAGAAAGAGCCTATATAATGAGTAAACAAAACTCTACCAAACCATAGAAGTAGAAAATCTTATTTTCAAAGTCACAGCACTTTAAAATTTAAATGCTCTTTTTCAGCACCAGCAAAATCACAAACCACAGAGTGAAATAGACAAGTATGGCTCATTTTAATAACAACTACAAAATAATTATGAAAAAATAAGCTTTTTTTGACAGCCCAAATGGCAGCCTTACTAAAATATAATATTTAAAATTAGCTACATAATAAGCTAATAGAATGAACAAAAGAAGCACAAACACTTACGGACAAAAATTATTAATCAAAAGAGTAAAATTATTTTAAAACCTAAAAAAGTCTAGAGATAAACCACACAGCGAAGCAGAGAAGTATGGCTCATTTTAAGAAGTAAAAAAAAATTATGGTCTGAAACTTTTTTTAGACAGCCCAAATGGTGGTCTTACAGAAACATAATATTTAAAATTAAGTTTCAGAATAAGCTAATAGAAGAAACAAAAGAACTACAAAAAAAATATGAACAAAAATTAATAAAAAAGTAAAATTATTTTGAAACCTAAAAAAATCTAGGGATAAAAAGAAAAAAATATTCACTACAGATATTTAAAAGCAGACTTGAGCTGGGGGAAGAACAAACTATCAGCAAACCAAAGAAAGGGTGTTGACATAATTAAGTTAGGACATGATAGAAAAAGTATAAAGCAATGGGAATAAAGCCTAAAATGCCATGGAACACTATCAAGCAGCCATATTACGCATACTGGAAGTTCAAAGGATGAGAAAAAGAATCAGGAAGACTATTTAGAAACAATAATGTTAAAGAATGTCAAAGGCAACAAACTCCAAGTAAGAGAAACTCAAATAAACAAACTCAAATTATATGATAATTAAACTCTTCAAAAGAAAGACAGAGAAAATCCTGAAAGCAACAAAAGAAGTGGCTAGTTATGTTACTGGCTAGTAACCCTCAAAAATAATCAGCAGATATCTTATCTGAAAACTCAGAGGACAGAAAGCAATAGATTAACATATTCCAAATGATGTGAGAAAAAACTTTTGAACAGATATCTTATGTTCAAAACATTGTCCCTTATAAGTGAGGGAGAAATTATGACATTTCCAGATAAAAGCTGGGACATTTTACCAGTAGACTATCTTTTTAAAAAATGCCTTATGGGATACTTCACGGTAAAATGAACAGATAATAAGGAGCAGTATGAATGGATATATATTAAGGTAAAGATAAATATATAAGCTATTATAAAACATAAAGAATATCAGTGTACACCTCCACAATGTGTTTCCCATGCAATTTAAAACACAAATATATTTAATAAAAATACTATCACTAACTTGCGTTTTTGACATACAGTGCATAAAGGTATGATTTTGAGAACTCAATAAGGAAATCATGGGGGTGCAGTTATACAGGGTTAAGGGATTTGTGTGTTATTGAAAGTCAGCTAGTATAACTTTAAAAGTGGAATACCTTTAGAATATTCAATGTAATCACAGTATCAATGACAATTAAAAAAGAAAAAGAGTAACAGACAGGTAGAAAGCTTTCTGTACTACACCAGAGAGTAAGAGATGTGGATTTAGCTACTCTCACTTGAGGCTACTAAGCCAGCTATCATGCACCATGAGACAAAGCCCAAGCTGTCCCACCAGGGCATAATTGTGGAGAGCCTAAAGCCCATAGCATAGCTGCTATTTCAAACAATTTTCACTACGTCAGTGGTGATGAAATAGAATAGGCTCATCCATACGCAGAACCTGGTAAAGAACTGGAGGCAGAAAGAAGTGGCTATGTGGAGACGCAAATGGAAAAAATTTGGCACAGCAATGGCTCCAATCCTGTGTCTTTCTTCCTGGCTTTCCAGGAGTTTGAGGTTGAAACTATTGTTGACAAAAGATGAGACAAAAATGGAAAGACAGAGGCCAGGCACAGTGGCTCATGCCTGTAATCCCAGCACTTTGCAAGGCTGAGGCGGGCAGATTACGAGTTCAGGAGATGGAGACCATTCTGGCTAATACAGTGAAAACCTCTTTCTACTAAAAATCATAAAGTTAGCCAGGCGTGGTGGCAGGCCCCTGTAATCTCAGCTACCCGGGAGGCTGAGGCAGGAGAATCGCATGAACCCAGGAGGTGGAGGTTGCAGTGAGCCGAGATTGTGCAATTGTGCCACTGTACTCCTGCCTGGGTGATAGCTCAAGACTTTGTCTAAAAAAAAAAACAAAACAAAACAACAACAACAACAACAAAAATTTTTGGTGTTGCAAAGGTTAAGAAGAAACGGTATGACACTTGGGAACCAGAGCAGCACCGGTCAAAAATATATATATTACTTTAACAGATGACAGACTGAAAAACAGAAAAAGTAAAAAAGTGGCATGGACCAGAACAACTAGAACTTTTTCAAACAATACCAGAAGATGAACTTCTACATCTACCAAGCCCAACTTTTCTAAGAATACTCCTAAAACGCTAGTGTCTGGCCAACACCACAAATTCAAAAGCAGCCAGTTATGTTCTGCCAGCCAGAATGTTAGCAGTAATCCAGGGTCACCTCTGTCCGACCCAAAGAATATGGAGCTACTGTGTTCAACTATCAAGAAAGACACTTGCCCCTTACAACCCTTTTAACAACAAGAACACAGTGAGTGGCATTCAGGAACTCTAGAATCTGGACCCTATTGCAGCAGATCAGCAGGATACAGTGGTCTTCAAGGAGGAGGAAGGGAAGATCATCAGGGCTTTATCAGATCCCAGGGCAGGACATTGTGGAATAGAGAGCAAGACCCAGATTCAACCACTATTTTCTCAGAGGTCTGGCTCAGTTACGGCTTCCATGGCTGCAGACTCAGCTACCAAAAAAGGTATAGTGGTATTAATGGGCCAATCGGCAGCCAATGGAAAAACAGATGTGCATACATTAGTTGCAAGAGTGAAAGTTGGGCAAAGAAATGTTACTGACGGTGGCAGAGACCAGCTTTTTATCCAGAAGATGTACCTCATCATAGGCCTAGCAGAAAGTGCCAGCACATACAGAGATATTGCAGTGAAGAAAGAGGACAGATTCACCCAGATGTGCCTATAAACTAGATCAACATAAAAAATGTACTGAATATAGAAGTAATTAAAGCAATGGTTAATGCTCTGAATAGGGCTGCTGTGGGTGGCAGCAAGCTTGTGCTGTTCAGTGCAGCTGGAAGTGTCTTTTGCTGTGGTCTCGATTTGGGGTACTTTCTGAAGTATTTAAGGAAGGACAGAAACAGAACAAGCCTTGAGATGGTGAACACCATCAAGAACTTTGTGAATACTTTCAATCAATTTTAAAAGCCTGTTTTTGTATCAGTCAGTGGCCCATCCTTTGGAATAGGTGCATCCACACTGCCTCTTTGTGATTTCTTCTGAGCTAATGAAAAGCCTTGGTTTCAAACCCCTTATATGACATCTGGACAGAGTCCAGATGGCTGTTGTGTTACTTTAGTTCCTACTTGAACTTTGCATCATCCAGCCTCCTTAATTATTGTGGCCATGAGACATTACTTCATCCCTTGATTGATCCCAGGCCAAGGTCTCAGGCCAAGCTGTCACTTCAGCTCCTTCTTGGTCCAGGGCCAAGTTCCAAGGCTGAGCCTTGTAGCTTCTACAAATCATCACTTCAGCTCCAGATGAATCCAAGGCCAAGTTTCAGGGCCAAGCCAAATAACGCCTACTCCAAGAACACTAAGCACATTTCTTTACTTCTCTGCCCTTAGAAACCGTAAAGCACAGCCTCATAGTAGGTAAACCACTCACATTTCACCCCTCACTGTGAAGAGTTTTTTACTTTCACTTATAAAAGTTTTGATTCAACCTTTTTGCATCCATCCTCCTGAATTTTCTTGGCCATGAGACAAAGAACTCTGTGTGATACCTCACAATTAGAGATTTCTAGATCGTAGTGCACTAATGAGACTGCAATGATTGAAGTCTGGGAATTGAGCTCTGGGACGCATCAGCCTTGCGAGACCAACTGACACACTGTCCCCACACTGTGATACACACCCTTGGGGTCAGTCAACCATATAGTGGTCACCAATGGAGTCTGAAAAGGGGCAAGGCAGATTTATACAGCCTAGAAACCTGAGGGACACCATCAAGCAGCCATACATACGCATTTTGGAAGTTCCAAGGAAGAGACAAAAAATCATGGATACTATTTAACAACATAGTCATAAAGAATGCAACAATTTAAGACAATAAGTAAGCACCCAAGGAGCTCAACAGACTCCAAGTAACAAAAACTCAAAGAAACAAACTCAAACTTACCTGATAATTAAACTGTCTAAAATAAATACAAAGAGAATCTTGAGGATTTTCAAGGGAAGCAGGGGAAGTAGCTAGTCATGTAAAAGGGACCCTAAAAATAACCAGTGGATCGCTTATCTGAATAACCACTGAAAAGCAGTAGATTTCTTATCTGAAAACTAAAACGATGGAAAGCAGTAGCCTAATATATTGCAAGTGATGTCAGAAAAAACTGTCAAGCCTAAACATTATGATCCACCAAACTGTCCATCAAAGGTGAGGGACAAATTATGACATTCCCATATACAAACTGGCACCTTTTACAAGTAGACTACCCTTTAAGAAATGTCTTATGGAGTACTTCAGGGTAGAATGGACAGACACTCAAAAGCAGTATGAACAAGCAAAGATTAAGGTAAAGATAAATACATGAACAAATATGTAAGATAAAAAATTTGGCCGGGCGCAGTGGCTCACGCCTGTAATCCCAGCATTTTGGGAGGCTGAGGTGCGTGGATCACGAGGTCAGGAGATCGAGACACTCCTGGCTAACACGGTGAAACCCCGTCTCTACTAAAAATACAAAAAAAAATTCGCCGGGCCAGGTGGCAGGTGCCTGTAGTCTCAGCTACTCGGGAGGCTGAGACAGGAGAATGGCGTGAATCCGGGAGGCGGAGCTTGTAGTGAGCCAAGATCGCACCACTGCACTCCAGCCTCGTTGACAGGGCGAGACTCCATCTCAAAACAAAACAAAACAGAACAAAACAAAACAAAACAAAACGAACAATTAACAATGTGCACCTCCACAATTTGTTCTCCACACAACTTAAAACACAAATATATTTAATAAAAAAACTACCACTAATTTGTGTTTTTGACATAAAATCAATAAAGGTATAATTTTGAGAACTCAGTAAGTGAAATAATGGAGGTACATTATACAGGAGTAAAGGCTTTGTATGTTACTGAAGGTAAGCTAGTGTAACTTTAAAAATGTTATAACATTAGAATGTTCCATATAATCGTCATAGCAACCACAATTAAACAAAGAAACACAAAAGAGTAACAGGCAGGAAGAAAGCTTTCTGTACTACACCAGAGGGTTGGGGCTGTGGATTTAGCTACTCTCACCTGAGGCTACTGAGCAAGCTGTCATGCACCATGAGACAAAGCCCAAGCTGTCCCACCAGGCAGTAAGTGTGGAGAGGTTCAGGCACATGGCATAGCTGCTATTTCGCACAATTTTCACTACACCAGTGGTGACCAAATAGAAGAGGTTCATCCATACACAGAACCTGGTGAAGAGCTGGAGGCAGAAAGAAGTGTCTATGTGGAGACGCAACTGAAACAAAGGTGGCACAGCAACTGTTCCAATCCCGTGTCTTTCCTCATGGCTTCCCAGGAGTTTGAGGTTGAAGCTATTGTTGACAAAAGACAGGATAAAAATGGGAATACACAGTATTTGGTTCGGTGGAAAGGTTATGACAAACAGGATGACACTTGGGAACCAGAGCAGCACCTCATGAACTGTGAAAAATGTGTACATGATTTTAATAGACGACAGACTGAAAAACAGAAAAAACTGACATGGACTACAACCAGTAGAATTTTTTCAAACAATGCCAGAAGAAGAACTTCCAGATCTACAAAAGCAAACTATTCTAAGAACTCTCCTAAAACTCCAGTGACTGATAAACACCACAGGTCCAAAAACTGCAAGTTATTTGCTGCCAGCAAGAACGTTAGGAGAAAGGCAGCTTCAACTCTCTCCGACACAAAGAATATGGAGATAATAAATTCAACTATTGAGACCCTTGCACCTGACAGCCCCTTTGACCACAAGAAAACTGTGAGTGGCTTTCAGAAACTTGAGAAACTGGACCCTATTGCAGCAGATCAGCAGGACACGGTGGTCTTCAAGGTGACAGAAGGGAAACTCCTCCGGGACCCTTTGTCACATCCTGGTGCAGAACAGACTGGAATACAGAACAAGACTCAGATGCACCCACTAATGTCGCAGATGTCTGGCTCAGTTACTGCTTCTATGGCCACAGGTTCAGCTACCCGAAAGGGTATAGTGGTATTAATAGACCCATTAGCAGCCAATGGGACAACAGACATGCATACCTCAGTTCCAAGAGTGAAAGGTGGGCAAAGAAATATTACTGATGACAGCAGAGGCCAGCCTTTTATCAAGAAGATGCACTTCACCATAAGGCTAACAGAAAGTGCCATCACATACAGAGACATTGTAGTGAAGAAAGAGGATGGATTCACCCAGATAGTGCTATCAACTAGATCGACAGAAAAAAATGCACTGAATACAGAAGTAATTAAAGAAATGGTTAATGCTCTGAATAGCGCTGCTGCAGATGACAGCAAGCTCGTGCTGTTCAGTGCAGCTGGAAGTGTCTTTTGCTGCGGTCTTGATTTTGGGTACTTTGTGAGGCACTTAAGGAATGACAGAAACACAGCAAGCCTTGAAATGGTGGACACCATCAAGAACTTTGTGAATACTTTTATTCAATTTAAAAAGCCTATTGTTGTATCAGTCAATGGCCCTGCCATTGGACTAGGTGCATCCATCCTGCCTCTTTGTGATCTCGTGTGGGCTAATGAAAAGGCTTGGTTCCAAACCCCTTATACGACCTTTGGACAGAGTCCAGATGGCTGTTCTTCTATTACATTCCCCAAAATGATGGGTAAAGCATCTGCCAATGAAATGTTAATTGCTGGGCGAAAGCTGACAGCACGGGAGGCATGCGCCAAAGGCCTGGTCTCTCAGGTATTTTTGACTGGAACTTTCACCCAAGAGGTTATGATTCAAATTAAGGAGCTTGCCTCATACAATGCAATTGTACTGGAAGAATGTAAGGCCCTCGTTCGCTGTAATATTAAGTTGGAGTTGGAACAGGCCAATGAGAGAGAGTGTGAGGTGCTGAGGAAGATCTGGAGCTCAGCCCAAGGGATAGAATCCATGTTAAAGTATGTTGAAAATAAAATTGATGAGTTTTAATTGTCAGTCTGTCTGCTCAGGACACAAGAACTAAGGGGCAACAAATGCATCATGAGTTGCAAGATGCCCTAATCCATCTTCATAGCCCAAAACAATTTCACCCATAGCTAAGGCTTGGAAACAGAACTGCAAATGTCCAAGCTATGTATTTAAATTATCACATCATTTTTAAGCACTGTAGCTTTACAAGGAGTAACAAAACAGCCTCTTTGCCCAAATGTGATTATTTTAGGCACACCTAAGCCCAAATATAAAAACAGACTGTTGGGTACTAGACTCTTCTTGCAAGCTCTAATATGTATCTATGGCTACTACTATATATAAGACCAGAGTTGTGTTTTATTAGATGTTTATGACAGAGAATCCTGTAATAATGTTGATTTTTTCTTACTTTTATATCCTAGAATACCTCTATTGGGATATAAAGCAGCCTTAGCTTCCCTCCCAGAAAGACACAGAACGATCAGAGATGGTGCCCTTGACTTTATAGTGGCACAAACACTTCAGAGACACACAATTATAAGAGACTTATCTTTTAGCATAAATACTTATGGCACAAAATCCACTGACGATCATTCTCCTAAACTGAACACATGACTAGAATTGGTGGTGAGATATCGCTTGATTTTCTTTTCCTTTATAAATGTCTAGTTCTTACCCAGTTAACAAAAGAAAACTTTATCGCTCTAAAGTAAAACTTGTTACACCACATTAGTGAATTATGGAATCATTTTGGTGGAAATATCCAGGTTCTAATGTGTGGAATGTGCAGATTTAGGTTACTTTAGTGTATGTTCTAGTTAATAAGTTAAAATTCTGGACACATTATTAAAGGCAGAAACTTCTTTCAAAACAAACACCCCTACACTCTGTATGACCTTTACAATTATCAGTGTCTCTTTTTATGAGCACACAATTTTCTAGAACACTGTATGTGCTCAGTTATGCAAAAGCTCTATGAATCCTGTCTTGTTGGTTTTTATCGAGGCTCCATTACATAGGCATAATTGAATAATCCACTGGCCACTGGTGATGAATGTCATCTTTGTCACAAGATCTCTAGTGTGTCACTTCACCAGCCAAGAACCTCTCTGGATGATGGCACCTTTGTGCAAGGTTCCCTTGAGCCTGCTTTTCTAATTTTACAAACCCATCTTACAGGCTGCACTCAGCTCAAACTATGGGCTTAGGTTTCATTTTGCTATGGATGCACCAGGCACAGACTGGAGGCAGATACATGAGTGAGTGTTGGTTCAGTCCAGCCACTGCACACAGCTTTGCCTGTTATCTGTGATGAGGTAAGCAGGTCAGGTGCTGGTACAGGTGACAGCTCCCTGAAAACCTTTAGGTGAATCAGGCATACCACAAGCTTTCTCTTCTGCAGGCACTGAAGAATGCAGTGGCATCCACAAAAGAAGAAATGCCAGAGAATGCAAAGACCCAAGGACGTCATCCTAGCCCTGGCATGGGAAAGGTTTAGAGCTGGGGTATCTAAAGGGCCAATGTCCTGCTTTCTTTTTCCTTTTTTCTTTTTTTTTTTTCTTATCTATGGGATCACTATGACTTAAATTAGGGTTTTCAAAGGGCTCTGTCTCTCTTTCTACTGGAAATTAGCATCTTGTCTTTTCTTCACTCTTTCTCTCTTTGACTGCTTTTTATTTACTATGACATGCTATAGAAGAAATGCATCTTGGCCCAGCATCTTTCTGTTGACTGTAGGGCTATTTGTCAGAAGCAGTAAGATTTTGGCTCAGCAATAAGGTAACATCTTCCCATTTAAGACCAAAAAAAGGGCTAGATATTAGAAAGGCTCTATATATTTATTGATGTATCAGAAAACTTCCCCAGGTCTTACTTTATTTGTTTAAGGTACTGTAATGAAAAAGAAACTTGCACTTTACTGGCACCTCATTCATTGGGCATTTCCTATAGGGGTAGTAAGGAACGTGGAGGGTTGGATGTAAAAACTGGAAAAGCTGATGATGATGTGACTAAAAGATTCTCTGCATCAAGAAGATGAGAAAACCTGTGGTAACAAATGTGGTTTTGAGTGTTTCCAGGGAGAATGTTTCTCTGACGTTTGGGAGTTGTTTCTTGTGGGCTTTTCTGATATGACTGCTAAGAAAGCAGGAACAATTTTACAGTATTTACAAAGATGTGGGTGGTTTCACAGGGCAAAAAGCCTTGCACATAGGAAACTTCAAACAATGTGCCTTTGACTCTCAGAAACTATCTAGGTCTTCAATAGTATTGACAAAGAAAAGCTACATAGTTGTGGTGGATTATTGGTAAAATTTCTGCAAGCAGAGAAACAGCCTGAAATATCAGGCTGCAGACACAAATTTAAGAATCCTGCACAATCCTGTGGCCCAAGCAAATAATTTTTTTTTAAAAAAAGCCCAACTTTTTGTGTGTGTGTGCTTAAGACATGCCCACAGCTACTCAGATTAAAAAAAAAAAAAAACAAACAAGACCCCGCATTAAAATGTTGTGTCTTTTGTGTAACCAGAGTGCTTCCAGGAAATAGTCTCTCTCTTTTTTAGAACTTGTACATATTGGACTCCAATGTGTTACAAAGGGTACCTTATATTACTAAACATACTTCAGACTCCGAGCCAAATTTCTGTAAATTATCATTTAAGACTCTGGTCCCAGGCCAAGGTCCTGGGCCATGCTTTCCCTTTAGCTCTTGTGTGGCTCAGGGCCAAGTTCCTGAGCCAAGCTGAGTCATTACATCCGCCATTAATAGTTCCAGGCACAAGGACCCAGAAAAGATGAGAAGTGCTTTCTTCAAAACTAGTTAGTACCTTTTCTTCCTTCTGAGTCCATAAAAATATCAGACTCTTTCTCAAAGTGGGCAACTGACTCTACTCCACCAGAAGTTAACATGTTAAACATTTACTATCATCTCACCTTTTGCATTCCTAATTTTTAATTTTCTTGAGATTAAAAAGATCTGTGTGTCACCTAAAAATGAGAGACTGATACATTGTGGTTCACTGGGGGACAGCAAAGTTTGTTTTTGGTTCATGGACTTGGAAAGGCCTTAATTAAAAAGGTCAGTAGGGGCTGGGCATGGTGGCTCATGACTGTTATCACAGCACTTTGGGTGGCCAATGTGGGAAGATCAGGAGGAGATCAAGATGGAGATCATCCTGGCTAACATGGTGAAGCCCTCATGAAGTCTACCAAAAATACAAAATATTAGCAGGGTGTGGTGGTGGGCAGCTTTAGTGACAGCTGCTTGGTAGGCTAAGGCAGGAGAATGGCATAAACCCGGGAAATGGAGCTTGCAGTTAGCCAAGATCATGCAACTGGACTCCAGTTTAAGTGACAGAGAATCCATTAGAAAAAAAAAGGGAGTAGGGGTGCCATTCCAAACTATTTACATTCATATCTTCAGCTTGTCCTCTATTTGCTTTCATATCTGCAGCTTGTTCTCAGTTTTTGTTTGTTTGTTTTTGTTATTTGTTTTTTTCTTTTTTTTTAATTTCTGAAGAGCAAACAAAGCTCTGGGCCAGTGCCAGGTAAAATCCGATGGATTGCCTGCCATTCTTACAAAGCTTAGGAGAAAGGGATGCTGGGAGACACATTGGCAGTCTCCTTTCACCCTCCGCTGTTGAAAATGTTGCCTCTGTTCCAACTGTTTTCTTTCAGAGAGGATCCAGCTGTCACATAGGACTGAAAGGATATCTAAGTTAATTGAAGATTTCTGGTTAAGGCTATACCACGGTGTTACGTGAAGGCCTCAAAACTAACTCCAGTTTCTGACAGCCCATCAGAGTGTTGCCACCAAAAATTCCAGGCTTTTCTGTGGCATTTTATTTATTTGTTTTTTGTCATTGTGTGGCTAATGTCCCTCCTATTTCTTCTTTGTATGCAATGTTGAGACCTGGAGATACAAGCTTACTGGTAAAAGTCAGTCAGTAGAAATATAACTCAAAGAGTTGCTATTTTGTGTTTTTTTTTTTTCTTTCAAAAGAGGAAGAATTCAAAATT
Organism: Homo sapiens; assembly: GCF_000001405.40. Lineage (NCBI taxonomy): Eukaryota > Metazoa > Chordata > Mammalia > Primates > Hominidae > Homo > Homo sapiens. The sequence continues at coordinate 18,031,740 of NC_000024.10, forward strand.
GTGGTCTAAAAATTTTTATTGGATAAGGGTCTTTTTGTCCGCCGATGATAGACATTCATGACACTGTTGGGAATGACATACATTCCAATAAATTTTCCCTGTTTGGCGGGTGACTTCTCTTTAAAAAGCTCAGCACAGCCATATATATCTAAACAGTTTCTTTGTGAGACACATCTTCTTTTTTCTGCAGAGACACATACTGTGGGGACAGGCGATAGAGCGTTAACCTTCCTTTTCTAAGTTTTGACTATATAAACCTGGAATTCAGCATTTTCATGGAATATCTGAGATCTTAAAATGCAACCTAGTAAAATGAGGTTTTTCTCTTGGGGAAGGCTTGTCAGTACTTTGCACAAAACCCTTGGATTTTAATTCCTCTCTCTGTTATATCTCTCTAACTCTGTGCCCTATCAGTAAACAGAAAATTTCCACTTTCAATAATCAGAAAGAAGGTGTCTTTGAGAGACATATTTTAGCTAAGTGCTGTCTTATGAAAGCCAGCCATACAAGCTTTACTTGCTTTGAGGCACACCTTCTTCCTCCAGCAGCACTGACATTTAAACTAACGGAGAATTTTATGTTTCAACTCAATCTATCTTATTTCCTGCAATTTCAGTATTTTTTCTAGGCCATAGCAAGGGAAGCCACAAATAGTATTAAAATTCTTACTCTATACAAGTGTCTTGCTAGAATCCAATGACTATATAATCTTTTTTTTAGGCTCCCAAGTTACTCTGGGTATCTTCTGGGTTGAGTAGGCTTAAGAAATCAACAAAGAGTCACCAGTAGAGAGCTAAAGCCTCTGCAGGAAAATGTTACTTGTCCTGCTGTCTAGATCCTCTAGAACTGTGGGTGAAGGTTTAGCTTCCATCCATGGGGGACACCTATGTCAGTCACCAGACTCAGAAAAGACAAGAGGAATGCAAAAACAAGGAATATCCTATCTTTTTATTCAGTCAGGGCTATTTCAAAAGGGGGAAAAAGAGAATAGGAATTTTTTTTATATATTTCTTTAGAAACTTCACAAACTGTCTGCAGTACGCACCTCTCTAGATTACATTCTGAAACACAGAAATTTCACTGACTGTGAGACTCTGAAAAATGAAAGTGGCTTATTTATGTATTTATTGCTCAAGGGCATGACAGCCCTACCAGCTCCAGGACAGACATGCCTAGCTTTCTGAGGGAAGTGTTCGCTTTAGTACTATTCAACAGGTATATCTTTTCTTCAGATGGCAAAGAAAAGAGTATGATTTTTTTTTTCTTTTTTGGACAACCTTACTTTGACGTGGGAGACAACCCAGATCTTTCTAAGTATTGTAAAACTGACTCTGCCCTCTTGTCAGTCATAACAGGCAAGTTCCAAAGAGATAATTCATTAAAGTCAGAGACAAGCCCCTGAGGAACCCTCAAATGTATCTTCTAAATGTCATACCTGCCACCCTCATTTAGAAGCTCCAATAGCCATTTCATCATCTTGTCTTGTTGTGCCACTAAAGAAAACCCAACCTCACTGTTGCCCCTGTGGAAAATACTCCATAGATGTGATACTAGTATAGCAGAAGTTTTCTTCTCATTGCAAAGACTTAGACAAAGAAATGAAAAAGATAAGCAAATGTCCTCTGACGACCCTGGTGGATATACAGAGATATTTCAAAATCTAACTCAAGTGTTCAATCATGCCTGAATAGATGATACATTACTGCTAAACCAAACCCTAACTGTTGCCCTAAAGCAGGCAGCTTTACAGAGAGCAGAGTTATCCATGGATGAACCACATGTCTTTTATAAAATCTTGAAAAAGGGAGGGTGAAAAGGAATAAAAAAAGTTGAACTGATAACAGAATTCTTATTCGTAATAGGAAAGGACGGAGTGCTGAAAACTCGATTGGAATCTTATTGGTCCTATAGAGGAGTGAAAAAAAAAATTAGTGAGCCTACTGGAAGGCTTATAAGTGAACAGGACAAAACTTCATAATTACTCTAAACTATTCATAATAGGTTAAAACCACAGAAAAATTATAGAGCCTTTTTTAAAATCCTGAGAGAGGCTTTAGTGAAACACATGTTCCTATCTCCCTATTGGGTTAAGATAAAGTTAATCTTAAGAGAAAAGTTTATTACTCAAGCAGACCCTGACATCAAAAGAAAACTGCAAAAATGTGTCATAGGTTCAGATAATATTGTTCTTTTAACAATGCACCAAGACATAACAGCCTTTCTTTCATTTGAGATTACACTAAGAGTCTTTTATTTTACATTTAAGAAGATTAAGGACTGTAGACAAAGGAAACTGTTTGGAGCAAAAGTTTAAATAAGTGGCAAAAGCAGCTCTCTGCCAGCAGAGATAGAAGCTTGAATAAGTTGTCCACTGGGGTTTAAGGTTTTTATGGCCTAAAAAATAAAGATATATACTTAGTTTGCAAGCTGTCTTGGAGAATGGGTGACTTAGCTTTGCCCTGGCCCAGGACCTATTAGACAGCTTAGCCCAGGCACTTTGCCTGGGAGCAGTCTGAAGTGGTAATTTGCAAAGACTGCTTAGCTTGGTACAGGACCTAAAGTAAAAGCTTGTTCTGGGATGCTGGCTCAGGACCAGTCAGGGACTGAAGTGATGATTCATATGGGTTGAGCAACCAGTGAAATACAAAAATAAATATTTCATCCAATACCCGCTAGATCCCACTGCGTTTATGCCCACAAAAAAAAAACAAAACAAAACAAAAAACAACTTTATTTTCTGAAAGCCCTCTGTGTATACAGAAAACAACAAGCCTATGCCAGGCATTGGTTCCCCATCTGAATCAGTGGGAGGTTTGTACAAGATTTTATCTGAATGGACTGAAGGTTCTGTTATCTGTGTTGCTGCAGCCATGCTGTCAGGCACAACCTTCTGTGTTAAATCTCTTACTGGTACACACACGTTTTTTTTGGCCTGGTTATTATGTTATGTTGGAATCAGGCCCTTACTTGTTTACTGGAGGTCTTCCAGGAACCCATTCCTTGCTGTTTACATGGGAAAAGCTGGTTAAGTTGTCTTTGTCCTCCCTCAGAAATGAAAACTCTAACTTCTGTTAGGAGATTGGGCATTGGTCTTTCTGGATACTTTCTGCTGGAGAAGAGTGTTGTGTAGAAAACAGTATGTAGGATCTACTGAGGGTTGGTTTAACTGTTTGTAGAAGAAAGGCCTGTTAATGCATGGTTTTATTTGCATTACGTTTTAAAGTGTGATAGACTTTAGGCACAAAAAGAAAACCAGTTTGGATTATTAGAAAAAGCATATCACAACTAGACAAGGAGAGTAAGAACAGCTGAAATACTTCAAGGCTGCTGACGTGCCCGTGTAACTGTGGCTATATTTACACCTGTTAAGATTTTGTTACATGAGACTTGGATTTATTTAGCTTTCTTGATTTGATCCTTTGAAACAAAAATTCTGTTACAGAAACCCTATTTTCTTTTATGACCTGCAAATATTTGTGGAATGAGTTCCCAGAATTAGAATATTGTTCTAGATTTATCTATTACTCATATCTTTCTGTTTTCCAAGAACGGTAGCTGGACCTCACCAGTTGGTTCACAGAAAAAAAAAAAAAAGGTTAATTAATATTGTACAAACATCTTAAAAACAACGTATGAGATGAGAAGTTAGTGATAGAGGTGTGATAGGCTGTGAGACCTCTATCTTGTTTTAGTCCTAATTTTTGTTAAGAACGAATTATGACAAAAGTTAGTTGTTGGCAAAACAGACTTGTCCTACACTTAGCCAGAATATTTTTGTACAGTGCTGTGAGAAATACCTTTACATGTGCTTTCCTCATGGGCTTTTATGAATCTCTATTCTACAAGGAATCTTAAATAGGACATTATAAAGCTGAGTCCAACTATAGGTTTGACCCTTGGATACATATTATTTGGATAAACTCCTCTATTGTTTTGAGATTCCAAGTGCATGTGGTTCCTAGGCCTGATAGAAAGTGGCTTTTTTTTTTTCTCTTACTGCAGATTAGAAAACCTGTATTGGGACTGTGTAAACAAAGTATAAGGCTGCGTTTCTTAGAGGGCTTTTATTGGTTCTAGAAGTCAGATGTAAGTCATTAAAGAAGGCACACTCTTCCAGTCAAAGCCTTAGAAAATCAACCCGCTTATTCTATTGGGTTATGCTGCAAATGAAAGTACATTTTTGTTGCACTGAGTAAAACGATTATATTGTTGTAAGTTAAGAATAATCACACATACTTTCCGAATTTTAGAGGAACTAGGCACAGAGAAAAAAAGCATGTTTTGAGTTTTGCTAACAGGAGTATACCAATTGACAGTTTTAAAAGCTGTAGCTAGTTTAAAAAAAAGTGCACTTGACTTTAAAAAACAAAACAAGAATTAGAAATATTCTAAAGGTAAAGAGATTGTTTCATTCTTCTGTTAGTTTAGTCTATTTTAACATTTGTCCTGCTTGACATTTATAAGCATTTTAGCTATTCCTAAGTTCTGTACATTTTCCTGTTATAAAAAAACCTACAGTTGAGAACAGCTGGTACAGTTCTACAGCTAATTATAAGTCGTTATTCTTGATGAAGATTAAATGTCTGTAAATGACAAAATGTCTAGTGTGGTTAGAAACAGCATAGGCAAAGACATTTGGTTACTTCCGTGGTTTACAATAGCTTAACATAATAACTTTAAATAAAAATGGTAGCACGTATTCAGATATTAAGAACATTAAAAACCTCATGTGGTTTTGAGCCCTGTGTTAATGTTACCCACTAAAATATATTCTGAAAAAAATAAAATATTACCATCAAAATCACATGTATTTAAATGTGTTTTATAATCCTGTTTAACTTTTTCTTTTATGCCCCAGGGGCTCTCTGAGGCATCCAAAATATAGGGTTCAGAAAATACATCCTTGAAGTTAAAATTTTATTCTGGGAAGCCTGCCAAATATTTTAGAGGATTAAGACACTTAATGTTATGAAATCCAATTCCAGATTTCCATAAATCATTTGTTTTGCCAAAATACAGTTGGTAGAAATGTTTGAAAGGGCAGAAACACTTTTATCAGCCTTCAATATTACATGATAATCTCTTTCAGAAGGACAAATTTTCCCCTTGTAGTTGTCTCCTAATGTTAACCCTAAGCTTAATGAAACCTTATGTAAAATTATTTTAACCTTAGAAAGTTTGACAAAGAAGTGAATTTTCACAAACTTATTACAACATTTTAACAAACTTTTACAAATTTGCTAAAGAGAAGATTAATGTTTCAAGAAATTTTTGTTGTGTTTTCACTTCAATGCTTAATGGCAGAAATAAACATAATACCCTTTTCAATCTAGTTAGTAGGTTCACAGGGTTTTCTTTTGCAAGATTAATTTTTTTGCAGTATTTCTCACAATTTGTGTAAACAGCTTTATTTTAGTTAATTAAAGAAAATTCTTTAACTCTAGGCAAAATGTACATTTCCATGCCTTTCTATAATTTATTCTCACTACAAACACATTTTACTCTTCTACCACACCTGGCAATTAAATTTATATACAGTATTCTCAATTACACATTATAGTAATATCTTTTAACAATTAATAACTTGACTATAAAACCTGGTGAGTTTATAAAATTACGGGCTGGGTGCAGGTAAAGTATGATTTATTACAGCATAGTTAAAGGAGTGGTTATTTTTATACATCTTCAGGCCTTCGGTGGCTTTCGTTTTTCATAAGTTAAAGTCACATGAACTGAGAAGTACAACAGCCTTCATTTCTTTGGAAGCAAAATATTTAGTTCAACTACCTATTCTTCACTAAGTTAATTAATTAGATTTTTAAAATATATACATAACACATATGTAAACACAGAGAAAACAGAAGTTCCAGGAGTCATAAAATTTTATTTTACTAATTTTCCAATTGGATTATTGACCTCTTGCTGTGGCCCTTTAAGAAACGGGCTATGAATAGTTTCCAGGGCCTAATAAAAAAAGCCTCACTGATGCTGGGCATGGTGACTCACACCTGTAATCCCAGCACTTTGGGGGGCCCATGTTTGGGGATCAAGAAGTCAAGAGATCATGGCCAAAATGGTGAAACCCCATCTCTACTAAAAATATAGAAATTAGCTGGGCATGTTTGTGTGCACTTTTAGTCTCATCTAATTGGGGGCTAAGGAAAGGAGAGCCGTTTGAACCCAGGAGGCAGAGGTTGCAATGATTCAAGGGTGTACTGCTGCACTCCCGCCTGGTGACAGAGTGAGACCACGCCTCAAAAAAAAAAAAAAAAAAAAAAAAAAAAGCAGAGCTGGAAGAGACAGCCTTTCATTTTCAGAGGTATTATTCACTTCTAATTCCAAGAGCTACATAAGAAATGCAGATTTCTCATAAAAGACGATTGATGGTGTCTCTTCTGTTAGCCTCAAGATGTCCCTGACCATCAGCTTTTATCCAAGAACCTTTTATGCATTCACCAAAAGTGTCAAGATTGAGTGGAGAAAGGTAACTTAGTCGACTGAAAGAAAAAACATTTTCAAGGAAACAAGGTTTATGAGGAGAAAATCATGAACGTCTTGAATACATGTATAGCATAAATCTCCATTTTTAATTAATCCAATTGCTTTCTAAGAGTGTTTTCATTAATTTAACTTTACAGAGAATATCAAGAGAAGTGTCTATTATTTATTTCACCGGTTTACACCACTATGTGTTCACAATCAGGTTCAACAACTCAACTTTCCCCTGACAGAAAGCTGCTGGATTCAGGCAAGTACAGGCTTTCAAATGGGCTGCAGATCCCTTCAATAGCAAAGCTTGATATTTAAGGAGGTGACTGTCAGTTCGCAAGAGACTTTTTTAAGGAAACACAGTACTGCTATGCTATGTGGTGTAGAAACAGATATGTCATTTTCATGGTTAACCTGATGGTTTCTGGCACCAACAATATCACTGATGCAGCTGCTCAGTGGTAAGTTGCCCATTTTTTTTTTTTTAGAAACCAAGCTAAATTTCTTCCTTAGGTAAACCACTGGATGTTGATCTGGACCTCGAGCCTCATCCGTAATTTCAACGTCTGCTTTCTCTATTTCTGATACATGGAGATTAAGTGCCTTTACTATGAAAAAACTGAGGGCTTCTGCTTTAAGTAAGGTTTGTTTAACTGGTTAAATTTTTTTGAGTACCAGGTTATTAAGTTAAACATGAGTTTTATCTGCTTTAGTTTCTTCTATGAGGTGGTATAAAAGACGAGCTAATTCTCTGTACGGAGGTACCTGCCATCTGAAAAATCAAGTACTGCCCAAGAATATTCTTAACTGTTAAGAAAAATGGGCTGAATTGTTTCATGACCTTGTACATTGGTCTCTTCTGATAAGACCAGATCCAGCTACTGTACTGAAGTCTGAGAGAGCTGAGCTTTAGATGTTGAGACCCAATAGTCTTTTTATTTTTAATTTTTGTCAGATAGTTTAGCAGAGCATTAGCGCATTCCCAGGAAGCCCATCACAATCTTGCTATTATTGTTATCTCACCAGTACACAAACACATAACAGTCTCTACTTATCTAAGGTAATACTGGGGGTTTCTTTTCTATGTCTTAGGAGAATAAAGATCGCAGACACATTTTAAGAAGGCTAAAGAGCAGTAAGGTTGAAGAGAAAGTTTAGTAAGTGAAATAAAAAAGCTCGATGCCAGCAGTGATGTGGTCAAAATGGGTTAACCAATGTGAAACTTGGATTTAGGGTTTTTTGTTTTGTTTTGGTTTTTTTTTTTATTTATTTTTATTTTTTTTATTATACTCTAAGTTTTAGGGTACATGTGCACATTGTGCAGGTTAGTTACATATGTATACATGTGCCATGCTGGTGCGCTGCACCCACTAATGTGTCATCTAGCATTAGGTATATCTCCCAATGCTATCCCTCCCCCTTCCCCCGACCCCACCACAGTCCCCAGAGTGTGATATTCCCCTTCCTGTGTCCATGTGATCTCATTGTTCAATTCCCACCTATGAGTGAGAATATGCGGTGTTTGGTTTTTTGTTCTTGCGATAGTTTACTGAGAATGATGGTTTCCAATTTCATCCATGTCCCTACAAAGGATATGAACTCATCATTTTTTATGGCTGCATAGTATTCCATGGTGTATATGTGCCACATTTTCTTAATCCAGTCTATCATTGTTGGACATTTGGGTTGGTTCCAAGTCTTTGCTATTGTGAATAGTGCCGCAATAAACATACGTGTGCATGTGTCTTTATAGCAGCATGATTTATAGTCCTTTGGGTATATACCCAGTAATGGGATGGCTGGGTCAAATGGTATTTCTAGTTCTAGATCCCTGAGGAATCGCCACACTGACTTCCACAATGGTTGAACTAGTTTACAGTCCCACCAACAGTGTAAAAGTGTTCCTATTTCTCCACATCCTCTCCAGCACCTGTTGTTTCCTGACTTTTTAATGATTGCCATTCTAACTGGTGTGAGATGATATCTCATAGTGGTTTTGATTTGCATTTCTCTGATGGCCAGTGATGATGAGCATTTCTTCATGTGTTTTTTGGCTGCATAAATGTCTTCTTTTGAGAAGTGTCTGTTCATGTCCTTCGCCCACTTTTTGATGGGGTTGTTTGTTTTTTTCTTGTAAATTTGTTTGAGTTCATTGTAGATTCTGGATATTAGCCCTTTGTCAGATGAGTAGGTTGCGAAAATTTTTTCCCGTGTTGTTGGTTGCCTGTTCACTCTGATGGTAGTTTCTTTTGCTGTGCAGAAGCTCTTTAGTTTAATTAGATCCCATTTGTCAATTTTGGCTTTTGTTGCCATTGCTTTTGGTGTTTTGGACATGAAGTCCTTGCCCACGCCTATGTCCTGAATGGTAATACCTGACTTCAAACTATACTACAAGGCTACAGTAACCAAAACAGCATGGTACTGGTACCAAAACAGAGATATAGATCAATGGAACAGAACAGAGCCCTCAGAAATAATGCCGCATATCTACAACTATCTGATCTTTGACAAACCTGAGAAAAACAAGCAATGGGGAAAGGATTCCCTATTTAATAAATGGTGCTGGGAAAACTGGCTAGCCATATGTAGAAAGCTGAAACTGGATCCCTTCCTTACACCTTATACAAAAATCAATTCAAGATGGATTAAGGATTTAGGGTTTTTGTGTGTTGTGAATGGTAAGAAATGCACTTCGTCTGTGGGCTGTCTTAAAAAATGTGTGACGTAGTTCGACCTGGGGCCTTAGATCCCAGCCCAGTCAGAAAGCTTAGCCTGAGACCTTGGCCCAGTACTTAGTGGCTAAAGTGAATATTCATAGGGGATACTCAGTTTAGACAACCTTTCAGAAGCTGAAGTGAACCTGTGGCCTAGGATTTTATCCAGAACTAATCTGAGGCTGAAGTAATGATTCATAGAGGTGGGGGTCACAGTCCAAGAAGAAAAGAAAATTGTTCCCTGGAAGGCACTTGCTCCCACTCTCCCACTCTCTTTGTGTTCACCAAAGGAAAAGAAATATTTCTGGATGTCCACTGATTATAAAATGGACCAATGCATTTCTATTTCAGGCCTTGTTTTCACATTTGAGTAATCTTGAAGTTTCTGCAAGTTTCTGAGTGAGCTGGAGGTTCTTTTATTTGTGCAACTGCAGTCGTGTCTTCAGACACAACTTTCTGTTCTAGTTCATTTATTGGTGCCTGCTGCTTGAATGTTTCTTTCCAGACTGATTTGTATCTTATGTGGAAATGAAGCACTGATCAGTGGGCTGAGAAATTTCTGGAGACACTTCTCTTTCTGTCTATAGAAGGCAAGCTAGCTAACTCTCTTCACTATTGGAGGAGGAGAACCCTGGATTGGAGAGAAGAAGAGAGAAACAGGCTCTAGAATTTAGAAAAATGTTGTTGTTGTTGTTGTTGTTGTTGTTGTTTAATTTCCATTTTACCTCCAGAATTACTTGAATCCTGTAGATCACAATGGCTTGTAGAGCTGGGGAGCCATTATTCCTGCTGAACAATCTGGGAAATACACACTGGACCTGGTGACCTATGGCTCTGGGAACACTTCTACTTTCACTGGTCTCCCCCACAGGCTGGACAAAGTTGAGATATATTCTTTTTCTGCCTGAGCAATTCATTTGAAAGTGTCCTAGCTTGTCACACTAGTAGAAATCAGCAGGTGCCTCTTGGAGATTCCGGCTCTTGTAGGCCTGTGAAGAGGCCAGTAATGCCTCTTTCATTCTCTTGCGACTCCCCTCTTCTTTCTAGGTCTCCTCTCCCCAGTTCTTGTTTTAAAAGATAAAAGCCACCCCAGAAAGTCTTTCAAAGTGCTATCTGATCCCACAGCCTGCTTCTGTAGTTTTGTTCTGATATTAGAGGATGGCTGAGAAATAAAGTAATATTTTAAAATTGTGTATCCCTTAATTAAATTAGGAGATGGAGACACATGTATTGCTAAAGCTTCTCTCAGCCATTCCAAAGAATCTGTGAGTTTTTTTCTAGTTTGTGATTTCAACAAGAACAGTTCAGAGTAATTAAGAAGTCTTGTTCTGGTTCTTTCGAAGCCTGATAATATGCACAGTAGAAAGTGTTTTTCATTTCTATTCATCTGTAGGTTTACCAAGGCTTCATTTGGGGTTTTCAAACAGCACTGTTTTTCTTTCTATTGGAAATAGTAATTCTGTCTTCTTTACTCATCCATTTTCATCTTTCGCTTCTGTTTATTTTCTGACTGACTATAGGATGTCAGTTGTTCATCTTCAAATTCCTTTGCTGTCTGTACTGCTGCCTGTTTTTCCGCAGTAGTTGAAATGTGGCTTAAAAGTTGCACTGCATTTCTGCACATAAGAGGAAACAGCTGATTTAAATGTTGGAAAGCCTGTGCATGTCTATCAGGTTCATCAGGGAACTGTCTTAAGTCCAGCTTTATGTATATAAGTTTACTGTAATGAGAAGGAAATTTAAACCTTAGTAGCACCATATTCATTGTGCATTTGTTATAGGGGCACCAGTAAAGTTGGAATTTTCCTGGGCTTGCACAACCAGAGGTGTTTTTATACAACTATTCTGAGTCCCAGTTAAAGGAGTCAGATAGGGCACTCAGAAATTGCATTTGACAGTTCTCTAGAGATTTCTCTCTTTGACTTTGGAAAATTATGTATTGTAGACTTACCTTGTATGGTTCCCAAAGGCACAGGGGTAATTTTACAATGTTTACAAAATCTAGGGTTTTTTTGAAGAGCAAAAGGACCTAGCTGTTAGATATTATTGAAATTATGCTTCTTTGAGAAGACCTGTCCTCCTATCAGGAACATGGCCACATGGCCACCTTGTTGCCAGTTGAATATCATTATTATTGTTTATAAATTTAGAGACTCAAGGTCAATGGAGTCCCAGTGCTCCCAAGTGCACTCAAGGGGAGTGCAGTCTACAGATGTTTTGTTGCCATCTAGAGACAGAGGGTAAACAAGGTGTCATTCAGATGACTTCCTCCTTTTGGTGTTACACAGGATAAATAGAAAGTGTTACAGTATCCTTTTTCATCTTTTTCCTTTGTCTCATCTGTGCCCCCAAAACTGTAATAGGTGCTGCTCAGAAATGCAAGCATAGCTTTTACACATATATCTGGAGGAGCTAGTCAGAAGCACTAGCCACACTCACCTGTGCAAAGCTGTAGCTTTCTGCCCTCCTTTTGTCCTAGACCCACTGGACCCCAAAGGCTTGAAAGTTACCCCAGAGGCCTTGCAAATGTTATGTAGTAGTAAAATTTGTTCTAGACATTTTAATAGAGGAAATGTCTTCATACTAACTTTGGCTTTGGTAACTATGTTCCCAGTGAAACATCAGAATCTCAGAGAATGAGACAGATTGACTTTCAAACATTTTAAATCCAAAATTATTGCAATGCAGAACAGGTGGCTTAAAACTGTAGAAACTGAATGGCTGAATGGCCCTTCATTAGATGGTGAAAGCAAAGAGGCTAAAATCTGCTCTTTAACATTGTTTTTCTCCCAATAATTAATAGTGGGGGCTGCCTGTTTAAAGATAGGATATGTGGGCTAATCACTGATGACAGAATGTAAATGGGAAAAGAATTTCAAAACTGTAAGTTTTGGACAATGGATTCACAAGGCTCCAGGTAGAAAAGAAATCTCATTTCACGAGGGAGTGATGTAAGGTTAGAAATGCTATGTTAAAATTTCTGACACAAAATTCTCTTTATTCAAAAGTTAGAAAGAGAGATTTTGGGTTAGATAGGTTGTCTCCACTAAATGCCCCCCAACAGGCAAAAATTAACTTGTCTCTTGTAACTTTTATGTGAAGGAAAATAATATCTTTGTAAAAAATTCCACATAAAGGAAAGAGTATTTACTTGCAGTCAAATCCCTCCCATACAGTGCCACGATTATCTGTTATTGAGGGACAAAAAGGCCCTTTTATAGGTAACAATTTATAGTGAAATCTTGAATTCCCCTTGTTTCACAGAAATCACAAAAACAAACCTTTTTAAATTACACTACTAATTACTGAGACAAGGAGTAACTGTGTTAAGCAAACCTGTATACCTAGTATACCGAGGCTGTAAAAATGCCCACAACGCTGCATAGAAAAAAAATATGAAAGATATTATAGCTGTGAAAAGAAAAATTTTAAATTCAATAGATAAAAATGGGAAGTCCTTGTGTTAATGGCCTGACGAGTTGTCACAGACCAGAATTAGTCTAACGATAATCAGATAACACTGAGATGTAGCCTCAAGCTGAAACTTTTAGTGTCCCTGGGATCTCCTCTACATCTCATGTGACTGCCAGGCTCTTTATGAAAAAAAAGTCTTGAAATAAACAAAACATTTTTGAAATGAATTTGGAAGTTTAAAGTCTATTTTTACCATTCTGATGAATTGTTTCCTTCACAGCCCATGCAGAAACATATGTATAGTCTCACCAATGCACCAATATATGTTGCAGTCTCACCAATGCACCCAGATGTAAGAGTATCCCTTTGTCTGTAATTATACCCAAAGATCTTTCCTTTAATAAAAAAAAAAAGAAGCTGAGAAACAAAGTTGAGATTAAAGAAAAAAAAAGCACAAGAAGAAAGCTCTCTGCCAATCAAAAGAAGGACTCAAATGTGTTTCCCACTATGAGGTTGGGGTTCAGGGTTATTACAAACTAGCAAGAGAAAGAAATGTTTTTAGTCAATGGGCTGCTTTGAAGACCATGCAATTTAACTTGGCTCAGGGTCTTGGCCTGAGAATAATTCGAAAGCTTAACCCAAGAAATCTGCCTAGAAATAATCAGGAGGTGTAGTCATAATTTATAGCTGCTGCTCAGCTCATCCCATGACCTATCAGGAGCTGACGTAAAAGCTTGGGTCAAAAATTTGGCCCAGGCTTAATCAGGAACTAAAACAGTAATTTATAAAGGCTGGGCTCACAGTCCAAAAGGAAACAAATGTGCCAACCAGAAGCCACCAGGACCCACTGTGTTTATGCCAAAAAAAAAATGGACAAGAAACTACTTCCTGGGAGCCAACCGATTACACAAATACAAGGGTATTTTTGAGCCATGGCTGGTTCTCTTATCACAATGAGCCAGAGTTTGCACAAGACTTTTCTCTGAATGGACTGAAGATTCTTCTGTCTGTGACAATACGGATCTTGAGATACAACCCTCTGTGTTAGTTATCTTGTTGGTGTCTGCAGACTGATTTTTTTAAGGCTGCTTATGTGTTACGTGTAAATGAGAAATGAACCTGCAGAACGGTGGTTTTCCAGGGACACTTTCCTTGCTGCCTCCCTAACCCAAGCTAGCTTTCTTATCTCAGTAACACTGTAAAGAGCCTCCTGAATGTGGGTACTTCAGATTTTACAATAGGAAACATGAGGAGGCACAAAAGAAGAAGAGTAAAGACAAAAGAAGAACAGAGACTCTAGCTAATGCAATACAGTTTTGTAAAAATCCAAGTCCCTGAGTGGCACCTGCTAACTGCTATCAGTGTGGCAAGACAGGACACTTTCCCAAGAAATGCTGAGAAAACAATAGAAAGCCACCTCAACACTCTCCAACCAGTGGTGGTGACCACTGAAGGGTGTGCTGATTAATGAGGCATGCACCACTAAGTCCAGGACCAGTCTCACAAATGGTCCAGCAAGACTGAGAGTTCCTGGAGATCAATTCCCCAGCTCTAACAGCTGCCATAGTCTTTGGGTTCCAAACTCTTCAAAATCCTTGGGTGATTCTGAAGGTGGAAGGGAGGAAAGTAGACTTCCTTCTCAAAACTGGAGTGGGTGTCTTTGTTCTGCTTTTCAATCTAGGCTTTCTCTCCTCCCATAATGTGACAATGATGGATGTGTCAGCAAAAGTCCTTTATGGAATATTTTCTCAGCCCATTAGTTATAGTTGAAACAACCTTCTATTTAGCCATACCAATTTAATAATTCCTGAAAGTCCCACTTTATTACTAGGTAGAGATATTTTGGCCTATATAGAAGCCTCCATATGAATGGCTGCAGGATAAACTCTTTGTCTCCACTAAGTGGAAACTAATATTAACTAAGAAGTATGGGATGTCCAGAGAAATGTTGCTGGGCTACAACCACTGTATGCATCTGTATTTACATTAAGGATTGCACTATTTTTTTTCTGACCAGAGGCATTATTTCCCAAACCAGAAGGTAGAAAAGGGCTAGAAGTCATTATAAATAAGCTATAAAACAAAGGCCATTTTAGACCCTGCAACAGTCTTTACAAAACCCCAAATATCAAAGAAGGTCATTTTTTAACATGCCCAGAAATCCCATTTGCTTGGACCTGAAGAAGGAAAAAGTTTAACCAACGCATAGGTATTAGGGAACCAGCCCCCGATATTTCAACCTCAGTTCTTTTCTATTTTCCATAAGTGTCAGCCAGTCTGAGAAATAAAAGGATAGGTTAGAAAAAAAAGAAAGAATTTTAAAGCGGTGTGTCTGGCAGAGACATCACATGTCAGCAGGTTCCGTGATGCCCCCTAAGCCAAAAACCAGCAAGTTTTATTAGCAATTTTCAAAGGGGAGGGAGTGTACAAATAGGGTGTGGGAGACAGAGAGCACATGCTTCAGAGGGCAATGAAAGATCACAAGGCAGAAGGTCACGGCAAAATCACAACAACAGGGTGAACCTAGAATTGCTAATGAAGTTCCATGTCCTGCTGTGCATGCATTGTCATGATAAACATCTTAACAGGGTTCCAGAGCAGAGAACTGATCTTCCTAGAATTCAGCAGGCTGGAATTTCCTAATCCTAGCAATCCTGGGCTTGCTGCAGGAGGCCAGGGTGTGTTTCATCCCTTACCTGCAACTGCATAAGGCAGACACCCCTAGAGCGGCCATTTTAGAGGCCGCCTCCTGGGAATGTGTTCTTTTACCAGGGCTGTTAATTACTAATATTCCTTACTGGGGAAAGAATTCAGTGATATTTATCTTACCTGTTTTTGGCAATAAGACAAATATGGTTCTGTCCTGCCCAGCTCCCAATCAGTCAGACCTAATGGTTATCTCCAATGTTCCCTGAACATCACTGTTATCCTGTTCCTTTTTCAAAGTGCCCAGATTTCATATTGTTCAAACACACATGCTTTACAAACAATTTGTGCAGTTAACACAATCATCACAGGGTCCTGAGGTGACATACATCCTCAGCTTACGAAGACGATGGGATTAAGAGATCAAAGTAAAGACAGGCATAGGAAATTATGAGAGTATTAATCTGGGGAACTAGTGAATGTCCATGAAATCCTCACAATTTATGTTCTTCTACCACAGCTTCAGCAGGTCCCTCTGCTTGGGGTCCCTAATTTCCTGCAACACATCAGTATTTGGAAGTAAAACCCATGGTTGTGCTTGGTTTTAAGAGGTTTTATCAGAGGTTCCTCATGAAGAAAATTTCATCAAAACCAGTGTACAAAGCCTATTTAAGAGCAATTATTTGGCCCACAGTTTATGCCAATAGTTATTTTAACTATCAAATTATAGACCATTTTGCTGTCAACCCAGGCCTATTATATTTGTTTTTTACAGAAATGAACAAGGAAAATAGAAAAATTTGTTTCAAATCTTACATTGGCCATTGTCTTCTAGTCTCATTAGTTGTCTTTAGAATTTGCCTGTAGTTTAAACTAGCCCTGTTAATTTCTGTGAGCCAGTCAGAAATCTCCAGCTACAGCTGAGTAGAAAACATAAAAAAGGTTAACATTTTAAAGTATGTAACAATATTTTCTTCTGGGCAATTATTCTACAAATCGTGCCGGGTAATGAAAGTAAAGTGTGGACTCATAGTTAAGGGGTGTTTGTCTTTGTGGGGATAAGACTAAGGACGCTAAGCAAAGCCAAGCCCTATACATCTACAATTCTCTGGCATAATTATAGCCCTCAGTTTTCGGGGCATGTCAGCAGCCTCAGAATTTTTAAGCTGTTTATTGCCTCAGCTCATCTCATTTTAAAACACATATTTTTATAACCCAATTTTTTTCTTCTTACATAGAGGAAATCAAATTCCAAATGGTACTGGAAATGAAACCACTTATGAAAACACCGTGTTTCTGTGAAACCTTATCCTGACCTCAGGCAGAGCTCCAGCTGTTGCGTTTCATTGCACAACCCCTCTCCCTAGCAGGAGGTAGCTAGAAAGATCAATTCTGTCTAACAGCAGTTAGTTAGGTAGTAGGGTTGGTCTCTCCCTAACAGCAGAGAAAAGTTAGGTAGTTGGGGGGGCCCTTGGTATAACTTCTAGGAACAAAGATCCAGCTTACTGAAAAATAGGCTACAGACACATATTAGTAAACTCACACAAACCTTCAGCCCACTCACATGAAGAAACGCAGTCCGACATAGACAGAACTTTGTTCTTTGTGCACAAATATATGCTCACAAAGAGACTGATTGAAAAACAAGAACAACAAGAAAACACCCTTGTCTTTTGTATAAGCAATGGACTTCCAAAATTAGTGGCTTTTTTTTCGGTGAGGAAAGTACACGGTGGGCGACAATAAATTTTAGTGGGCACTTTTCTGGACATGCTTTGGAATATAACCTGAAGTGGTATGAATCATCACATCAGCCTCTGATTAGTCATGGGTAGAGGTCGTGAGCCAAGCTTTCACATCAGCACTTGTTTTGTCCCAAGCAAAAGTCCAAAGCCAAGCTGAGTAATGCTTTTTCCGAGATCAATCATCACATTCTTCCATCTCCCAGTACATGAGGACCCCAAACACCAGGGTGACACTGGACAACCAAATTGGGTTTCCACCGTGGAGAGCCATTTTAATTTCCTTCTTAAACTTCAGTGCTAACTTCACTTTGTGTGCACGTTCCTCAAGTTTTTGGACCCCAGATAAATAACTCTTTGTGATGTCACACAGTGAGAATTTGCTACATGTGGTGAATTGGTGAGACTACAATTGAAGCCTGAATTGAGCCCTGGGATGCATAAGTCTTACTTGATTATCTAAAATCGGGCCCTGTAATGCAAAATATGTCTCTGCAGGCATTCCACCTTCCAGTGGTCGCCACCACTGGCTGGACAGAGTTGAGGAGGCATTGTTTTCTTTTCTCTGCTGTTCTTCCTGAAGAGTCCTGGAGCTTGCCAAACTTTCAGCAGTCCAGCTCAAAACTCCTGGATTTTGTAGACCTGTAATTGCGTCACTAATGCCTCTGTCTGCCTCTTGCTTTTTCTGCCTTTCCTGTGCCTCTTTGTGGGCCCTGCTGTAAAAGACCAAGAATGCCACCCACAATTTTTCTACTGTGGTATCTGGGACCATAGTCTGCTTTTGTAGTTATCTTCTGATTTAAAGTTTGAGTAATAAACTTGCCTAATAAGATTACCTGTATTTTATTTAAACCAGGAGATAGAGAAGATTGTCTCAAAAAATCCACAGAATCCTCTCTCAGCCTTTCATTAAGGCCGAAATATTTTGATTTGGTTTTTATTTCAATATGGCCAGTTTTGATTAATTAAGAGCTTTGATTCCAGTTTCTTGGAAGCTTTTTAACACACACATTAGAAACTCTTTTTGTTTCCACTCATCCATAAAATCAGTAGGCCTTTAGTTATGTTTTTTAAGGGGCAATGTCTCCCTTCTTATTGGAAATGGGGCTTCTGTCTCTTTCCCCCTCATTTTTTTTTTTTTTGGTCCGGTTTTCTTCTTTGCCTGGCTATATTAAACATGCTATTTGTCTCTGAAACTCTCTGTTGCCTGTGCGGCTTCCTGTTGCTCAGCAGTACTTAACATTTGGCTTAGGAATGACATAACATGTTGCCATGTAAAACCAAACACTTGGGTAACATTTTGGAAAGCCTGTCTGTATTCATCTGAGTTATCAGAATACTTTTCTAGGTCCCAATCTATCTGTTTGAAGTCTTATAATAAAAAGAGGCCGGGCGCGGTGGCTCACGCCTGTAATCCCAGCACTTTGGGAGGCCGAGGCGGGCGGATCACGAGGTCAGGAGATCGAGACCATCCTGGCTAACACAGTGAAACCCCGTCTCTACTAAAAATACAAAAAATTAGCCGGGCGTGGTAGCGGGCGCCTGTAGTCCCAGCTACTCGGGAGGCTGAGGCAGGAGAATGGCGTGAACCCGGGAGGCGGAGCTTGCAGTGAGCCGAGATCGCGCCACTGCACTCCAGCCTGGGCGACAGAGCGAGACTCCGTCTCAAAAAAAAAAAAAAAATAAATAAATAAATAAAAAGAGAACCAGTAATTTAGATGCACCGTGTTTATTGGACATTTTCTTTAGGGGTAACAATTTAATGCAGGGTTGCTTGGGAGAAATGAAGAAGAAAAGGATGATAAAGTGACTAGAGGAGTCTGTGGATGGGGGACACAGGAGAAGCTGGAACATCTGGAAGTTTCTTCTGAGGGTTTCCTGGAGGTTTGTTTCTCTGACTTTTGAGAATTGTTCACTATAGACAAGCCTGATATGCTAAGAAGGCATGGTCAACATTACAATGCTTACAGATATCTGGGTTGTTTGCAGGACAAAGAAAATATGTCAGATAATTTACCTTCCCACTTACAGAAAATATCTAGATGTTGGATAGAATTGAGAGAGAAAATTTAGGTACATAGGATGGATTCTTGCTAAAACTACTTCGAACAAAGAAACAGGCTAAAATACCAGGCTTCAGGCAGATTTTTAAAAAAACCTGAACAAATCTGCAGCCCACTCATATAAAGGAACAAAGCCTAACAAACAAATATTTTTTGCACTTTTTTGTTACCTAAAACATGCCAACAGGTAATCTGATAAAATAAGAATATTCTGCATAAAAATACTTTTCTTCTTAAATAACGCACGTACTTCCAGAAAATCGTTTCTATTCCTTTTACACAGGGAGCTTCAGTGTGCTTCAGTGGGCACTTTTCTTCTTCTTCTTCTTCTTCTTCTTCTTCTTCTTCTTCTTCTTCTTCTTCTTCTTCTTCTTCTTCTTCTTCTTCTTCTTTCTTCATCTTCTTCTTCTTCCTTCTTCTCTCCTTCTTCTTCTTCTTCTTCCTCCTTCTTCTTCTTCTTCTTCTCCTCCTCCTCCTTCTTCTTCTCCTTCTCCTTCTCCTTCTCCTTCTCCTTCTCCTTCTTCTTCTTCTTCTTTCTGGATATGCTTTCTACTGTGAGCTGAGCCACTACAAATTTTTACTTCAGCTACTTTTCAGTCCTGGGTCAAGTTTCTGAGTCAAGCCAACTAGTACTTTTTCAAGACTAGTGAGCACACTCTTTTCTTAATTCATAAAAACATCAGAACCTGCCTTATAGTGAGAAACACATCTGTCTCCTATATGTGCTGTGAACAGTCATTTTTTTCCCTGTTAAGTAATCAATCTGACTTCATTACAGTGAAGAAAAAGAAAGTCTGATGATACTTCAAAGTAGCAGACTGATATGTACAGTGGCATGCCCACATGACTGCAAAAGTGTGCATCGGAACACACTGAAGACCACTGGGTAAAAGAAATAGAGACTATTTTCTGGAAGAGAAGCGTTTTTATGCATACTATTCTTCTTCTTTTATCAGATTATCTGTAGGCATGTTTTAGGCCAAAAAAATAATTACAAAAGAGTTTATTTATAAGGCTATGTTCCTTTATATGAGTGGACTGCAGGTTTGTGCAGGATTTTTTTTTTTTTTAATCTGCATGAAGCCTGGTATTTCAGTCTGTCTCTTTGCTTAAAGTAGTTGTAGCAAGAATCCATCCTATCTACTTAACTTTTTTCTCTCAATACTATCCAACATCTAGATATTTTCTGCAACTGAGAAGGCAAATTGTCTGAGGTGCCATATATGTCAGATTTCTTTGTCCCGCAAACAACCCAGATATTTGTAAACATTGTAATGTTGACCATGCCTTCTTAGCACATCAGACTTGTCTATAGTGAACAATTCTAAAACATCAGAGAAACAAATCCCCAGGCAACCCTCAGAAGAAACTTCGAGATGTTCCACCTTTTCTTGTGTCCCCCGACAAGGGACTCCTGTAGTCACTTTATCATCCTCAGATTCTTCAGTTCTCCCAACCGACCTTCCATTAAACCACTAACCCTAAAGAAAATGACCAAAAAACATGTTGCCTCTAAATTCCTGATTCTCTTTTTATTACAAGACTTAAAACAGATAGACTGGGACCTAGAAAAGTATTATGATAACCCGGATGAATAGAGAGAGGCTTTCCAAAATCGTTCCCGAATTTTTATTTTGCATGCTCACATGTTATGTCACTCCTAAGGCAAATCTTAAGTACTGCTGAGCAACAGGAAGCCACACAGGGAACAGAGAGATTCAGAGACAAATAGCATGTTTAACATAGCCAGGCAAAGAAGAAAACCAGTCCAAAAAAAAAAGTGGAAGACAAACCAAAGCCCCATTTTCAATTTATATATATTTGCTACATGTTCTGAGAAAGCAATATATTACAATACTCAGTAGGAGTATAGGAGCACTTCTTCAAATTCTTTGCTTTACTTTTATTTCTGAGGATTTTGTCCTAAGTTTATTTTTCCTGTTTGTACTCACAAGCAAACAACACTGAGCCAGTGTCAGCCAGTTCAAATCAAAAAGATGACTTCCAGCCTTATAAGACTCAGGTGACAGGCCAGATAGAGAGAACTTTGACAATCCCCCAACATCCTCAGTTGATGAAAACTTTGGCTCTGTTCCAACTCACTTTCCTTCACAAAGCAGCTTATGCATGCAGAGACTTACAATCGGTCTTGAGACAATTGAAAGTTTCTGGCCAAGGCTACAGCTCAGTGTTATCTAAAGCCTTCTGAACTAAGGCCAGTCAATGACAGTCCATCAGGGTGATGGCACCAGGAATTCCAGAATTTTCTATTTTATTTTCTTGCCTTTCCGTTTATGGCAATCATGTCTCTTATTTTCTTCTTTTTATGCAATGTTGCAACCAGGAAATATATTCTTATTGGGTGAATTCAGTTGGTGATTTAGTAATCAGGAATATTATTCAAATGTTGCTGTTTTGGTGGTGTCTTGGAAACAAACGAAATTCGAGTTTTTAGTCTAACTTTTAACTTGGTAAAAACCTTTTTGGGAACCAGCGATAGACATTTAGAACACTGTAAAAGAAGTTTTCTTACCCCGAGGGAATACTTTCTTCTGCATTTTTTTCTTCTCCTTTTTCACTGTCCTATTAATCTAAGAGGCATAGTGTAGGGAACGTTTATCAAGCCCTAACCCTTCTTTTCTAACTTTTGACAGAAAAGTGTTTGTAATCAGAGTTTTCATCTAATATTTCAGATCCTACAGTGCCACTTGTTAAGATAGGATTTTTCTCTATATAGAGTCTTGTCAGCCCTTTGCCTAAAATGTCTGGTTTCCAACTTTCTCCCCCTGCAATGTCTCAATGACAATTATAAGACTCTATGTCCCATCTCTAAGCAGAAAATCTCCACTTTCAACAGTCAAAAAGAAGCTGCCCTTGACAAATTACAACCTCATTGCTGATGTTTTTATAAAAGAAGGAAAGGAATGGAATCTTTTTTTTTTTATTTTTGAGGCAACCGTTCTGCATCCAGCTACATTAATATCTAAATAAGAAGAGAATGTTAAGTTTCAAAGTCAATCCGTCTTATTTATGAGGATGTCAATGTTTTGCTAGGACCATAGTATGGGAAAACAGGGATAATATAAAGACTCAAACTCTATTAAAGACTGTTGCTTCACTGTAACTACCGCATAATCTTTCTTAGGCTTCCCCCATGTACCTGGAAGTTTTTGGGTTGAATGGACTCAGGAGACAAAGATGGAATTTTACATATATATATATATATATATATATATATATATATATATATATGCATACATACATATATATACACACACACACACACGTAATTAGGAATTACACATATACACACATATACACACATATACACACATATATACACACACATATGTGTATATATGTATGTGTATGTAATATATACACATATGTGTGTATGCGTATATATACATACACATATAAACAGAGAATACATATATACTTACATATACACACATATCTGTGTGTGTATGTTTGTATATATATGCACATGTGTAATATATACGCATACATATGTGTGTGTATGTGTATATGTATATACATACGTATACAAGTACCATGTATATACACATACCAGAGTGTATAGATATACATACATAAACTCTGGGTATTACATATATGTTATTACATACAGATATACACACACATACGTGTGTGCATATGTGTATATGTGTATATACACACAACTATACATATATACACACATATACATATATGTATATGTATACACACAAACATGTATATGTAGATATATACACACATATACATATGAATGTGTGTATATATATATATGAATGTAATACAAACACATATAATACCCAGAGTTTATGTATGTATACCTATACACGCTGGTATGTGTATATAGATGTACGTATATATACACATATCATATATGTGTATGTGTATATAGATGTATGTATATATACACATATCATATATGTGTATGTGTATATATATGTGTATGTACATACACACACAGACAATTTAAAATATTAAGTAGCATGAACACAAGTGTAAAGTTTCAGCAAATTTTAGTATATAAAAACAGACCATTTTGCCCACAAATTTCTACGTGATCTGAGAGCTATTAATGCACAGATTAAACCAATAGGTGCATTACAGCAAGGTCTGCCATTACTGGCAGCCATTCCAAGTGACTCACCTCTCATAGTAGTAGATCTTAAAGATTATTTCCTTACCACACCCTTACATGAGAAGGATAAGCGAAGTTTTGCCCCAAAGCATGCTCATCGGTCCTACACTATTTCAGCGTTTTGTAGGACAGTCCTTA
This sequence comes from Homo sapiens, assembly GCF_000001405.40. NCBI lineage: Eukaryota > Metazoa > Chordata > Mammalia > Primates > Hominidae > Homo > Homo sapiens. Next base: position 18,055,096 of record NC_000024.10, read on the forward strand.
AAGGAGCCTCGTAATATATTTCCTACTGCCTACATCATTCATTATATGGATGAAATCCTTTTGGCTGCTCCAATGGAAGAGTGATTACACCAAATATTGAGAGAAGCAAAACAGGGGGACATCTCAAAATAGTTCAACAAAAGGTAGAAACAACCTCCCCATACCAATACTTAGGCACTATTGTTACTGAAACAAATATTCGACCTCAGAAAGTAGTCCTCTGTAGGGACAGATCACAAACCTTCAGTGATTTCCAACAACTATTAGGAGACATAAATTGGCTGTGCCCAATCCTAGGTATTGCTACTCATCAACTCAAACACTCAGATCATCCATGGAGATTCTTCACTAGGAGTAATGGGCTTAGGAGACAAACCCGTTGCTCCAGCAACTTACTAAGGAGGCTGAAGCTGAGTTACACCTTGTAGTGCAGATTCTTCAGCAAACACATGCCTCCCAGCCACAGCCACAAAAGCCTTTGGTTCTCTTTGTTCTTTCTACCCCGCCATTCTCCAAAAGGACTTTTAGGACAGATCATAGAAAAATATGCAATTGTGATAGAATGGCTTTTTTTGAAATTCAATCAGAGAGTAAAATCTCTGCAAGTTTATCTTTCTTTAACTACTCAATTTATAACAAGGGGTAGGGGTAGATCAAAAATGCTTAAGAGATATGATCCAGACAAAATTACTGTTCTCCTTTTAGAGCCAGTCTAAAAGTATGAGGAAAAATATTGGATTCCCAACAACAGTTGCATCATGGGAATTGTTGACTGTGTGTCAAATTGCTCTTTCAGATTATGTAGGAATAATACATAAACTTTATCCATCAGACAAAATTTTGCAATTTTAAAAACTCAACCTTTCATCTTCCCTGTGATTCCTCATCACAAGCCCATTTCAGGCAGCCAGACCTATTTTACTGATGGCTCTTCCAAAGCTCGCAAAGCTACTTATAGTACTAAGCATGCTCCTACAATAAAAAAAAAAAAACCCAGAGTTTCAGCTCAATGCTCAGAACTAATGGAACTTAATCAGGTTTTAGAGCTCACTGGTTCATCTCTTATTAACACTCTCTATGATTCAGCCTATGTTGTAAATGTAGCCGGTCATATTGGGACTGCCACTATTAAAAGCACCCTAGAACCAGAGATGTTTAACTTGTTTCTAAGGCTTCAACAAGCTGTTTGCTCTCATGCTGCTTTTTATATCTCTCATATCTGCTCTCCCACACAACTCCCTACACCACTATTTCTAGGTAATAATGGAGCCAATAAATTGATTTGTTCTGCATTTCAACAAGCTCAACTTTCTCCTGTATTACTGCATCAAAACTCTGTCTTTACTCGTATGTTTCATTTGCCTAACAGCCAGGCTGCAGCCTGTACAAGCCTGTCCTACTTGCCAGCATGTCACTGGAGTCACACCCATAGAAGGCTGTAACCCATGAGACTTAGCTTCAAATGAAATCTGACAGATGGATGTTACTCACAAAGCTGTCATTGGCAAGCTCGCCTTTGTTCATGGGACTATAGACACTTATTCTCACATGCGGCATGCTACATGCAAACCAGGTCAAACAGCTGGTTATTTACAATGACATTGTCTGTCATCATGTGCTCATATGGGGGTTCCTAGGCAATTAAAAACTGACAATGGACACGCTTATGTTAGTCATGCTTTTTAAAATTTATTACAGCTATGGTCAATCACTCATAAAACAGGAATTCCTTACAACCCCCAAGGACAAGGAATTAAAGAGCAGTCAAATTGAACAGTACAACGCGTGCTGAAAAAAACAGAAAGGGGAAACAGGAGACCAGTTACCACCTCAAACAAAATACATTTATTTTTACTTTAATTTTTTTTTCACTTCGTTTAAATTTTTTGTCTCCTGGTACAGATAGTAAGACTATGGCAGAATGACACTGGTAAATGTTATAGGGAAAAAGGAAAGTATACCCAAAGATATTATGAAAATCCCCCCAAGGACGATGGAATGGCTCAGTAGATTTACTGATGTAAGGACAAGGGTATGCTTGTGTTTTTACAGGAGATGGATAAACTGTGTGGGTGCCCTCAATGTGTTTGTGACCATGTAACGGGAGAGTGGAAAGAGCCATGGATCCCAACTGTGGATCCGGCTCCTCTGTTACAAGCCATGAGTCAGTTGAAATTGCTGGAGCACCAGGGTCAGGCAAACAACCCTGACCTCACGTTTATGGCCATGCTACCTGTAACATCCTGGCCAGTAGGTTTTCCTTGTGCAGAGACAAAAACATATTGGACATATATTCCCAATCCCCCAGTATTATGGAGTGTAATATGGAGTGACACTCCCCCTGACATCTATCATGATCATGGAGGATGGGCACCAGGACCCCAAACACCCCCTGACAAACAGTAATTAGACTCTCAGAACAATGATTATCAATTATGCTGTGCCATTGGAGGGACTTCCTTTATGCATCACCCAGGGTACATCACTCAACTGCAGTGGCCTTGCAAATTAATCCCAAGTATGGTTAAGTTACCATGGAAAAATTATGTACCTATTAGGCCTTAGCTTTATTAACATTACTGGTGTAGATAATAACCACTCCCAGCCCCATCCCCAAAATTCTATTAATTATACAGAATGGGCTCCCTTTGATAATTCTTACCCCCCTCATTGGACCCAGTGTCTTGGCACCCTAGCTAGAGAACAGTTCATGCTAATGGGAGACATTATTTTCTGGGTCCCTGTGGTCACTTAGATGGGAGAGATGAGACTCCGACCTCATGGCATAAACTTCGCTGACACAGGTTAGCATCCCTTCACTACACTGCACTGGGATTCAATCCCAATCTGCAGCAAGTTTCTCTTGGCGTGGAACAGGCTTTAGCCCAACTTTGCCTCAATGACATTATCAAGGAAAGAAACGTACAATTCAAGAGTCGATAGGGAAGGCAGCACTCCACTATATGAATGGCAGCATTTGTCTTCGAACACTATCTAATTATAGTAATTGTGCTGAATGCAGTTGCAATGTTAACTCTGTAGAAAATATTACCACTCAATTTACATTTTGTGTTTTTAAACTTATGTTTTTCTAGCAGCAAAATGGACCAACTCCAGTTAAACGATGCCCAGTTGACTTGTGATTCTTGTCAACTGTATTATTCCCTAAACCATAGCACAGTACAAACATATAGCATATCCACCCTAGTAATTTTAGGTTGCAATCCCAGATTATGGATTCCTGTAAATCTGCCTGAGCCTTGGGTGGCCACCTCTGCTTTCCATTTTGTAAATCTTTTTCTTACTCAGCTTACTCATTGTGCTTGTAGAGCCTTAGGCATGAAAATAATTGTGAAAGTCTCCTTAGGAACACTAATAATTTCTGTTGTGTCATCCTTAGTAGCGATGTAGAGCTCCATTCAGACAGCTCAATATGTAGAAAATTGGATGTGTACAGCCGACCAGGCATGGATGCTTAAAAATAAACTTAACACTGAGATACACACAGAAGCAGCAATGTTAAAGACTACAGTTCTGTGGCTAGGAAAACAAGAACAAACTTGTAGTTGCAGCAGCAATTGCATTGTCATTTTAAGCATACTCATATTTGTGTAACTAATTTGGAATAAAACCAAAGTGAATATCCATAGAACCTTGTAAAGGTCCATTTACATGGGGCTTTCACATACAATGTTACTTTTGATATTAATGATTAACAAAGTAAAATTCTTTTTTTTTCTTTTTTTTATTATACGTTAAGTTTTAGGGTACATGTGCAATTCTTAACTTGAATAAGCATACTCAAGTATTTCAGTCATGTCTGAAAACTTGCACAGAATTCCAGCAAGGTGTAGAGAGCCTTAACCCTTGGACCTCCTCCAAACATCACCTCAATGTCTTTTTTGTGATTATCGGAGTAATGTTATTATGTCTCTGTTTTATGCTCATTGTCAGTAAAAGCAGCTGGACCACCAAACAGCAATTGAGAGCTGCACAGCCTGCAATCACCTGTACTCAGTTAATGCAAAAACAAAATGGAGATGTTGGAGGCCAAAAGAATAAGGGTTGTGACCAACTCAATAATGAGTGGAGGGTCTATGAGCAGAGAGCAAACTGTTCTCATGAAAGCAGCATTTTCATAACCTGACACACCACGTCTGGTGCCAGAAGGAATACTGAGGGCAGTCATGCCCCAAGCATAGTATTTCTTGTGGTTATATATAGGAACATCTGAAGTCTGTAGTACAAAGAAAGCAATTATGTGAGCCTGTGATAAATCAAGCAGCTGACCAACAATTACCTTTCCTCCCTGTTGATTCTGCCTAATAAATATGAAGGCCTGTAGAAGCTCAGGGCCTTTGCTGACTAGAAGAAATGAGCCCCCTGACCCCTCTTTTAAAACAAATATTTTTTGTCTTTGTCTTCATTTCTGCATTCAACCCCCTTTGTTTCATCCCATAGTAACTGACTGCCACACTGTCTCTATTAAAAATACAAAAGAAAAAAAAAAGTTGGGCTTGTTGGCAGGCACATGCAATCCAAGCTACTCAGGAAACTGAGGCAGAAGAATCCCTTCAACCTAGTAGACAAAGTTTGCAGTGGGCCAAAATCACGGCTTTGCACCCCAGACTGGGTGACAGCGTGTGACTCCATCTCAAAAAAGGCAAAAAAAAACAAAAAGAAGAAAAAAAATATGTTCAGGTTAAGAGAATCAAACAAACAAGGTGTAGGCTGAGAAAAATTTAGGGAACACATCTGAGAAGTGACTTTCAGTTAAAATGTACAAAGAAATAAGATGACCAAATTAATGATAGAGACCTCAGTAGGTACAGCAGCAAAAAAGATACGAAGATGGAAAATCTGGCACACAAAATACTGCTTGCTGAGCCCTTGTTACTTCTTCTGAAGGCTGAGGCTCCAAGCCATTTCCTGAGGAGCAACAGTGGCTGCCACAGTGACAGTGGCTCCAAAGATCATCCCCACCTACCCCAGCTCTACCCTTCCTCCAGGTTCCAAGGATTCCCCAGACATTGAGCATGCTCACTGGGAAGGAGCCAGAAGCTGGATATTTTATTTCTCAACTTTTCTTAAAACTCTGGATACCAACAAGTATCCTTTGGTTGGAAATTTTATTTTTATCCTAACAATCTTGAGGCACTGACAAGTATTAGGAAAGATGGCTTTCAACCTACAGTTGTCTCCATAAAGAAATAAAAGAATTGGCATGGCCAGACATGGTGGTTCATACCTGTAATCCCAGCACTTTGGGAGGTAGAGCCAGGTGGATGTCCTTAAGTCAGGTGTTTGAGATCATCCTGATCAACATGGTGAAACAAGCTCTCTACCAAAAATACAAAAGTTAGCCAGCAGTGGTGGCTGAGTCCTGTAATCCCAGATCCTCAGGAAGCTAAGAGAGGAGAATTGCACGAATCCAGGAAGCTGAGGTTACCGGAGCCGAGATCACGTCATTGCACTCCAGCTATGGGAACAGAGGAAGACTCCATCTCCAAAAAAAAAGAAAAGAAAAAAAATGATTCAATTACCCTTTTAGGCAGTTATTTTAGAATGCTTGGTACAATGCATTACTATTTTGGTATTCTCAAGACAGAAAACACAGTAACAGTAATAAGTAAAAACCAAATAGCAAGTCATTAAAAATTCATGGGATTAATTTCATCTGTCATTCTTTCTGGCTTTTATTATTTAAAATGTGTAATGTTGAAGTAATCAGACGTTTTACCTGTGATATCCAAACACAAAAAGAAACAACAATAAGTAAAACACTATTAAATGAATCTCAGTCTTCAAATTGAATTCTGATGCAGTGGAATGTTTTGTGAAAGATGAAAAACTAACAGACCAAACACATGTGATTTCAAATTTTGGCCTACTTTTGTAGGGGCAGGTTTAAGAACCAAAACCTTCATAGTTCTAATTTTTGTATTTTTGTCAATGATTCAGCATGGCAAGATATGTAGAGAAACTGAGATCAGAGCTTTTTGTCAATTCCAACAGAGACTAGTTTGTACTCTACACGTTCTTGTTGCTGCCTTGAAATCCATAAAGAAATCACTTGAGTGAAAGGGACTTTTACACAGTGAAAAATCACGACAATACACCACATTCTCTTATTAGCTACAGTTCACTCTTTTCTTGTAGTCACCATAAGATTAGAAAAAATGGCAAGATAAATGACTATGTGGACTAGAAAAATTTTATTAGTTTTTACCAGGTAAAGCATAGAGTACTTTTTTTAAAAATTGGTTTTCTGTGGCACAACGCATGTATGCTTTTTGGCAGCAATCACAGATTAATGAACAAATGATAACAACAAAACAGTGCTCAACAACACCTTCCATTCAGGGAAGGCAAAATAAAATAAAAGTGAGAGCACTAAACAGCTATACTATATCTAAATTTCTTTTTAAATGTAATCAAAACTGCAACAGGAAATCTCATTCATTGCCGATGGAAGGCAAAATGGTACAGCAACTTTAAAATATGGTTGTCTTCTTCTGCCACAGTTTGGCAGTTTTTTCCAAAGGCAATCATGGTCTCATCATATAGGCTAACAATTGCACACTTAGGTATTTAGACAACTGATTTGGAAAGTCACATCTAACTCAAAACCACATGCACTTATGTATAACTGCTCTCTTGACAATGGCAAAATACTTGAAGGAATCAGGATGCCTTTCAATATTAACCAAGCCAGGTAAATTCATAAAATGAAATACTATTCATCAAAAGAAAAGGAGTGATTTATGAAGTCACGCAAAGCCATGGATGAATCAGGCATACATGAAGCTAAGTGATAAAAGCCAGTCTGAGGAGATGACATATTGTATGATTTCATTTCTATTACATTACAGAGAAGAAATGTTTACAGAGATGGTAAACAGACAAGGTAATTTACAGTTGTTTTTAGTGGGCAGGTAGTGAGTTGAAAAGGAGAATGCAGTGATGGAAAGGAGCACAAATGGGCCAGATGAGAAGGGACTCACTCTGCTTGATGAGATCACGCTGGGGGTGTGGAAGAGTCAGGAGTGTGTATACCAGCATGAATAAATAAATACGCTTCTACTCATGATAGGAGAAGAGCGTCTTCTTTCATGACACATGCAACTATTTTAGGATGATTTCTGAGGAAGCTTTTGTCATCATTGGAAAAACATACGTAAACAAATGTACCATTTCAAACATTTTTGAGTGTATAATTTGGAAGCATTAACTATTTAACTATGCTCAATTTGTGCAACCATTGCCACCATTTCACCATCTCACCAGCAATGTACAAGGGTTCTAATTTCTCCACATACTCTCAAACTTTTCCTTAAAAAATAAAATAAAAAATTCCAATGGAGATAAAGTGGTAATCTTATTCTCATTTAGATATTCATGTATTAAGTGGCTAGTGATTTTGAACATCTTTTCATGTGCTTTTTGGCTGTGGATCTGTAAATGATTTCTTGGCTATATTACTGAATGAACACAAAACATAAGAAAATATAGATCAACTGAACTTCATCAAAACTAAACACTTTTGTGCATGAAAGGACACTGTCAGCATAGTGGAAAGAGAACCAACAGCATGGGACAAAATATTTGCAAGACATATATATGGTATATGTTCAAATCAACCAGTTGGATCTCTCCCAAGGGCACTCTCCATTTTCTTACTCTAAAACTTTTTAAATAAACTTCCATGTTTGCTGGGAAACTTTTCTCAGTCTCCTTTGCTACTTTATTCCCCTCAGTCAAATCCTTTCTTCTGAGGAGGGAAGAGTTTAAGTTACTGCAGACCATGATAGATTTGACACCAGTAACTCAGATAACTTCCACTGGTAACAGGTCGAGGAGCTGCTGGACAGGGTGGCGGGAGTTCATGTCTAGTATGTGGCTGGCCTGGCCCCAGGTAGTTCTGGGCTGTGGACGGACCAGAACCCCATGCTACAAGCACTCTGTGGAAAGAGAGCTCACATTGCTGAGAGAATGCTGAGGAAGAAATTTTGTCTTTTTAGTGACGACAATTTCCTTCACATAATATACAATTAACTGTTTGTTAATGAATTCCTTAGTGATCTTTAGTACATGCATATTTGTGGGCAACAACCGCATCTTAGTTCCAAATTATTTTCATCATTCCAAAAGGAAATACCCTACTTATTAAGAAGCTCCTACCCAATCTGTCCTCTTTCTGACACCAGCAACAAGTGATCTGCACTTTTTTCTCTATGGATTTACTTATTCTAAATATTTACATAAATAAAATCATACACTATGTGACTTTTGTCTTCACCTTCTTGAGCCAAAATTGCTTTGAAGTTTCCTCACATTGTAGCATTAGAGTTGTCATCCTCTTCACAGCTGAATATTATGCCATTCTATGGGCATACTACATTTTGCTTCTTACTTTTTGCTGGTGGACATTTATTTGGTGTGTTTCCAGATTTTAGTTATTGTGAATGCTGCTATGAACATATGTATACAAGTTTTTCTTTGAATAACTCTTTTACATTTTTTGTATATACAGCTTGGAGCGGATGTTGTGGGTCCTATGGTAATTTTATATTTAGCTTTTGCAGAACACCAAACTATTTTCCACAGCAGCTGCAGCATTTTACTTTCACATTTTCCCACTTCCCTTCCTTTGGGCCTTCCAGAGACTACCTCAAAACACCTGCCATTCTCAAACACAAGCTACTGTGGATTTGGTTAGCTCTGGGTTGACATTTAGAAAAGCTGTGGCCTCAGAAGCCAACTTCCTTTGGCTCCTAATCTATGAGGCTGCACAATGAGCATTAAGATGGCCCTGAGCTTAGACGCAGAAAAGTTCTGGGTGCAAGGCTCAGTCCTCCCTTCTGTAAAAAAGAGTGATGATGTAATACACTAGCCAGCTGCCCAGTGCCTTCTGTAACCCTAAACTTAATCATAACATTAACCTTAACTCAGCCTCTACCCGAATCCTAAGCAGGAATCCCTAACACTAACAGCAACTCTAAGCCACAAACTTGACCCCAACATCAACTCTATGCCTAGCCACTCACCAAAACCTAAACCCCAAAACAAATCCCAACTCTAAATCCTAAATCTAACAGCTAAACCTGAATTTGACCCTGACCCTGAAAATAACCCTAATCCAAGTGTAATGCAAACATTACAGAAACCTGAACTTAAGCTCTAAGCCTAAAACCTTAACCCTAAAACCCTAACCCTAAGACAAAAACACTAACACTAAACAAAAAAACCATCTCTAACCCTCAAAAGCTAACGTTAAGCCTAACACTAACAACAACCCCTAAATCTAACCCTAAATTCTAACTTCTAAACCTGCTTTTTGAGCATGATCATAACATTCACAATAAGTCTAATACTAACCCATGACCTGAATGCTAAAACTCTTATTACTACCCTAACCCTACACCTACATGACACCAAAACCTAGCTGTTACATGAAACCCAAACCCTAATCCTAACATTAATCTTTAGGTCAACCCTAACCCTATACCTAATCCTAACCCCTGACCCTAAGCCTGACTACTAACATTAACTCTAACCCTAATGTGTTACTGCAATCTGTACCCTAATGCTCACCCTAACACTAATTCTAACCAATAATTGTAACCTCAACTGTAATCATAATAATAAACATAACCTTAACCCCTTAATCTAAATTTAAACACTCACCATAACTATAACCCTAAAGCTTAATCTACTCTTACCCTAACCCTAAAAATAACATTAAACAATAATTCTAATCTTAATCCTAATTCTAACACTGTGCCCTATCTGTAACACCAACAGACCCACAACCACTAAACTCCAACGCTAATTCTAACCCCTAACACTAATTCTATATCCTAAAGCTAACTCTAACCCTGAATTTTAACCTGTAACGCTGTAACGTAAACGCTGTACGCTAAACACTAAACGCATAGCCTGTAACGCTAAACATAAAAGTTACTCTATCTGATAACCTAAATGTAATCCTCACCCTAAATACTAACCCTAACACTTAACCCAAAATCTAACCTTGAAAACATAACCCAAAGCAAACCCCTTATTTTCAAATGAAATCCTAATGTTAGCAATAAAACATTGAAAAACTACACCTAACCACAAACTCAACACATAACCCTAACAGTAACACTAATCCTAACTGTAAAAGCATGAAACCAGAACTTTAACATTAAAACCATCCTAACTCTAAACCCATTAATAAAAATAAGCCTAAACCATAACTCTAAACCTAAAGCTTAAAACCTAACTATAATCTTAATCCTAAACCATAAACTCTTAACTGTAACCTGTAACTGTATCCATAAACCAAAACCCTAACCCTAAATGCTAAACTAAACCTTAGTCTCTAACTGTAACCCTAACTAAAATGCTAATACCCAACACTAATCCTAAACCCTAACACTAACTGAAAACTCTATTCCTAATCCCTACCCCAAATCCTAACCCGAACTTCAACACTAACACCAACCCCAAATGTACGCCCTAACAGTAAGCCTAACACTAAGCCTAACCTTACCACAAATCCTAACCCTTTTACCCTCAACTTAACCCTACCCCTACATGAACACCAACCCCAAACATAAACATAAACCCTACTTTACACTAAACAGAGAATCCTAAGCCCAAATCCTAACCCTAATTATAACACTAACCCTAAACAATGCCCTAACCTTTAGCCAAACCCTAAACCCTAACTCTAACACTAACACCTCATCAAAAGCCCTACTCTAAGCCTAACACTAACCCTCAGCCTAATCTTTAGCCAAACGCTTTGACCATCATCCTAACCCTAACTCAACCACAACCAGGCACCCAATGTTAAACCACAAACTAACACTAAACCCTAATCCTAAATTTTAACACTAAACCAAACATTTTAATTATAACCCTAACACTAAGCATAACACTTGCCCTAATTTTAACCCTCATCCTGAATCCTAAACCTAACCCTCACCCAAACCCTAATCCGAACCCTTACACTACCACCTAAAGCTAACCCTAATTCCAACTATAAATCCCCAAATCCCAAAAACACTGAAGGTAGCTTTAACTGCAACCCATAACTCTAAAACTCACACTAACACTAACCCTAATACCCTTATCCTGAGAGTGAAACTAACATAATTCTAACATAATCTTAACCTTAGCACTAAACCTAAAAATAACTCTTATCCTAAACACTGAACCTAATCATAACCTGAACCCTAAATCAGAAAACCTAACCTTTAACACTAACCCTAGCCCTAAAGCAAAATCTGTAACCCTAATTAAACCTAAACCCTAAACCTAAACCTAATCTTAGCCCCTAACTCTACAAAAACCTTAATACTAACACTAACAATAAATGTTAACCCCTAACCTTAACACTAAACAAACCCTAACACTAAACCCTAACCCTAACCCTAATCCTAAACTCTAAACTGAACCCTAAGAGTTACCCTAATCGTGACCACTAACCTCAACCTCAACACAAACTCAGCCTTAACAGTCATGCTAAACTTAAATCAAAAACCCTAACCATATGCCCAACACTATCACTAACATCTAACCATAAATGCTGATCACTATCATTAACAATAACCCTAAACCCTAACCCAGAACCCTGAACTCTAACCCTACATGTAACCCTAAGCCCTATCCTAATGCTAAACACTAACCCAAATACTGAAATACTCTAACACTTACCCTCACCCTAAACCTTAATACTAACCCTAACCCTGGCCAGGACCCTAATTCCTAACCTCTAACTGGAAGCCTATCTTTTTACCCTAAACCTAAGCATAACCCAAGCCCAAACCTAACCTCTAATGCTGATTCTGACCCCTAGCCCTAAACTCAACCCTAACCCATAAACCTAATCTTAACTCTAACTCGAACCCTAATCCTACCACAACACTAAATCTTATTTCAAGCCCAGCCCTAACCCTCAATCTAATCCTGAACTTTTTCTGCAATTGTAAACCTTATCCCAATCCTCCGTTTCTATTCTATCCTTAAGGTTACACCATTATGCTTAAAAAACTTTGAATACAACCTGTATGACTCTAACCTCTAGCCCCTTATATGCAAAAGAGTACAAGGAGTCATATCTCTTTCTAAGCCCAAATTAGTATTGAATTAAACAAATGGTATCACTGGGACAAAAAACTAAACGTAACCATATCTGCTAACTATAGACATTATAATATTTAACCAAATAAGTGAAGACATTATAAACCACGATGTTTAAGATCTTTTCTCAGAAAATCAAGGTTTTTTTTTTTTTTTACCATTCTAATGCCATCCCTTTTCAACATATTATGTAAATCAAATGTTGAAATACACCACGTTTGTCTCAACTTTTATAAAAAGTACTTAAAGACAACACATTTAACAATTAAAAATCCAATAAACTGTATTTCAATTTTTTCCCATGATAAAACATCTTTATGCAAAACCCATAATAATCATCATCTAAATTGTTGGGAACGAAAGCTTTAAGATGAGGAACACAGCATTGATGCTCAACTGTATTAAACCCTGTACTAGAAGTTCCAGAAGAATAATTACATATATACACACACACACACACACACACACACACACACACACATATACGCAAACACACACAAAGCTATTCATATGTGGAAGAGAAAAGTAAAACTATTCACAGATCTCATACACAGAAAACCATAAGGAACCATCTAGAAATTATGAAATCTAGGAAACAAATTAAGAAAAATAACAAGACAGAATATCAACACAAAAAAAACTTTTTGTTTTTTCTTTTTGATGGCGTTTTGCTCTTGTTGCCCAGGCTGGAATGCAATGGCACGATCTCGGGTCACCACAACCTCCGTCTCCTGGGTTTGAGCGATTCTCCTGCCTCAGCCTCTTGCGTTCAAGTGATTCCCCTGCCTCAGCCCCCTGAGTAGCTGGGATTCAGACATGTCCCACCATGCCGGGCTAATTTTGTATTTCTAGTGGAGACTGGATTTCTCCATGTCAGTCAGGCTGGTCTTGAACTCCTGACCTCAGATGATATGTCCACTTTGGCTTCCTAAATTGCTGAGATTACAGGCGTGAGCCACTGCACCTGGCCACAAAATCTATTTCTATTCACTAGCAATCAACCCTACAAAAATGAAATTAAGATGACAACTTTATTTCTAAAAAAAAAAAAAAAACAAAACAAAAAAACAAAAAAACAAGAAGCTGGAATATTTCCCACTGCCCTGAAAGACACAGATATCAGGCAGCCGAGGTCTGGGACAGCCTTGGAGTTGAGGCTGTGCTACTATATTGGGACCTGGCTGGAATCACTGTGGGGCTAACCAGAAACTGTTCAAGTTCCTGAGAAATCAATGTCGAATTCCTTTAAAATATAATGGATGAAGAAAAGAAAACCTCTAGCGGTTTTGAAAACCCTAATGCCATGATGTCAAATAAATATCTTTTGAGTAATAAATTTTTATAAAAGATCCTTCACAAACATCAGCAATAATGAAACCCTTGTTGAGTGGCCCAGGTCATTTTGCTGAGAAGAGAACCATTGAGGTCAATTTGAGAGACATCCCTTCCTGAGCACTGTCAAGAGCATGGACATATTTTACCTACACATTTTACTACACCTACAGCTCCACAGGGACTTTTAAATTCTGATTTCACATAAACCTGCACTAGAATTTCTGACAGCTGTAAACTTTCTAGATTGTATGTAAATACAATTGATTGTATATCAATACAATAGATTGATATAATAAAATAAATTATAATCACCTGGTAACTCTTTTCAGTGTTTAAGACTTGTAGTTGAGTTTGTATTTTTTCACAGACAGCACATTCCCTGTATGCAATGTAACTATAAAATTAATTGCTAAGAAGGTTGTCTTAAGTTTTTCATAACAGAGTTGAAATTTGTTTGCAATGTCAACAAATTAAGGACATTTTCATAACTGAGAAATAAACAAATATGGCAATTCATAGGTGGTTTTGCTTTATCCTATGGAAAGGACTTTTAAAATGAACAATGATGACCTAGAAAACGCTGGAAACTAGAAATAATAAACATGTTTTTCAGTTAAACAATTGGGCTAAGTGTTTTTGTGTATTTAGTTGTTTGTTAATAAAATTCATCAGTTTGTAGCTGCCCATGGCATTGCTGGAGTTATTCAAATAATTGCATTATAGGTATGTTCATAACTTAGCCAAAACATTGATTTATTTTTACTGACCCTAACACAATAAATGTTTTATTGATGCCTGTAATCTCAGCACTTTGAGACGTCAAGGCAGGCACATCTCTTGAGCCCAGAGGTTTCAGAAGAGCCCAGGCAACATGGCAAACCATTGTCTCCAAGAAAATAAAAAAGAAGGAAAAAGAAAAATAATTACCAGGTATTGCAGCTGAAGCTAAGGCAGACAGATTCAAAGGAGCCCAGGAGTGAGAAGCTGCAGGCTGCAATGAGCCATGATGGCACCATTGCAGTCCACACTCGACAAAAAGTGAGACCCTGTCTGAAAGACCAAGAAAGAAAGAAAGAAAGAAAGAAAGAAAGAAAGAAAGAAAGAAAGAAAGAAAGAAAGAAAGAAAGAAAGAAAGAAAGAAAGAAAGGAGGGAGGGAGGGAGGGAGGGAGGGAGGGAGGGAGGGAGGGAGGGAGGGAGGGAGGAAGGAAGGAAGGAAAGAAAGAAAGAGAGAGAGACATATGAGTTGAAATTCCTTAAGTCCTTTGATAAACTTCAGTATTGTTTAAATGTGCCTTGTCGTCTCATTTTTTTTATTCCTACAATTCAAGGAGTTTATTTAAAGACAATTTGGGAAGGTTAACAGCTACAAATTTTTAAGAAGTAATTGAACTTTACCCAGGTGGTTGATAAGTCAACTATACAACTTAAAGTTCTTGTGCATTATGTCTTCTGGCCTATTCAAAGTACTATATTTTCATTGATTATAAAGCAAATTATCCTTTTCAACTTTCAAAACAGGAACCAAAAACAAACAATCAAAGAAACAACAACAACAACAACAACAACAAAACAGGCTGAATGTTGTGGCTTACGCCTGTAATTCCAGTACTTTGGGAGGCCAAGGGGGGAGGATTGCTCAAGCCCAAGTGTTTGAAGCTGCAGTGAGCTATGATTGCACAAGTACATTCCCACCTGGGCCAAAGAATAAGGCCCTGTCTCAAAGAGCAACAACAAAAAGCCAATGATCATAAAGTTTTCCAGACAAACTTTTATCAAGGTGCAAGAATTTGACATGAAAAATTACAAAATACTGCTGAAATAAATTCCAGAAACCCTACATAAACATAAAGACACTCAATGCTTTTGGATTAGAAGATGATTTTTTATGTGACAATACTGCACAAAGCAAACTGCAAATTCATTGTGATTTCTATGAAAATACCAAAGTCCTTTTGGCAGAAATGGACAAGCCAATTCTAACATTCATATACTTTTCAGGGGATCCTGAATAGCCAAAATATTCTTGAAAACAAAAACCAACTTAGAGACTCACATTTCTCAATTTCAAATATTACTGCTAAGCAGCAGTCATCAAAACAGCATAATACTGGTATAAGGACACACACAGAGGTCAATGGAACTGAAGGTTAAATCCAACGGTACCTCTACAATTGTCTACAATTGTCAATTGTAGACAATTGATTTTTGACATGTAACCAAGATCAGTAAATTCAACAAATGCTGTTATGCAACTGAATACCGCATTCAGACAAAGAAATTGTACTTTTCTCACAACAGAAAATAAAATTAACAGAAAATGTTTCAAAGCCTACATATTAGAGGTAAAAAAAGAAACTTTAGAAGAAAATATGGGGATAGATCTTCATAATGTTGGATTTAGCAGTGGTTTCTTAGATCTGATACCAAAAGCACAGTCAACTAAAGAAAGAATTTTCTCAAAATTAAACATTTTTGTGCATCAAAAGACACTATCAAGAAAGTGAAAAGACATGGTACAGAAAGGAAGGCTTGCATTTTATGTGTGTAACAACAGTCTGTTATCGACAATGTATGAAGACTTTGCATACCCCAGTAACAAAAAAAAAAGACAAACAATCCAGGTACAAAACAGAGAAGTAGTTGACTACACACTTCACCAAAAAGACATGCATATGGAATACAAGCACATAAAAAGATGACCAGTAAAATATATAAGTTTTACTCCATCAGGTGTTTCCTAAATAAGCTTTCCTCATAGTCATGTGATTCCGTGTGGGAAAATTAGTCCTGTCCAGCTTGACCTGAGGAGCAGCTAAGGTAACAATATTGCTGGGGAGCAAGTTTGCTTGGATGAGAAAATAAATATCTGGCAGGAAATAATATTCTGAAATGAAAACTTTCTTGCTGGACTAGAGTTTCCAATAGAGCTGACAGTTTGTCCCTCAGCCTCCATGGGCCCAAAATTTATCATCCAGAAGGAAGTAATAAGGGAAGTCATTAAGTTAATGAGGTACATGGATACACAAATGCCCCAAGTCTCATATCAAAGCTGTGACATAATTACATACCCTCACAGCATTTCAATATTCAAATATTAACAACTCATCTGCTTAAATAGCTAAGCTTACTTTATTTACTTTACACTGTACAGTTAAGGAGGTTTACAAATATTTATATGAATTGTCATGTCATGTTCTAGGACTTTTTTGTCACTTAAATGTATTGATGCACTACGTTACATGTAAGTACTTAAACCTAACATAACTTGGAATTAATAACACACAGTTACGGAAGATAGCAAGGTAACAGTCTGCCCAATAAATTCTTATGTAATTTCAATAATTAATAGGGTCATTTGTCTTCAGCACTGAGATGTTGTATTTACTAATTTCCCCAAACATGAACTTTCATTGCATTAACTATCATTTCCTTGATTTATAAGTTGAGAGTGATCTCATCAATTACCTAACAAATAATGAATTTCTTTTCATCTTTAGAAACAGCACATTATTATCTTTTCTACAGTTAAATAGCACAAGCTCTGACTTTATTAGCTGGACAAAGCCTTGGGAAATTAGATAAGTGTGGGCACTAGGTGAATAGATTGAGAGATAGCACATAAAATTCCTGAGACACTCCAGACACTGTGTTCCCACAATTAAAATCAGATGAGACTGCAGGCAGTTGAGCGGACTGAGTGGGCACGGGAAACAGGCAGGAGAACTTGGGGTCTGCAGCCATGGTGAGTTCTATGGTTCTTGTTCTAAGGTCAGTGGGAAACCACTGGCAAAATTAAATCAGGAGAGTGACAGGATGAAACTTGTGTTTGTAAGTGAATATTTTGCCATTACCATTACCAGTACCAATCCTGTATTTCCTGATGTTGTAGTTATGTGGTGGTACCCTTGGAGAATGTCTCCACTTTTTGTAAAACCCACTGGGATATTCTGCATAAAGCTTCAAATCTGGCACAGCAGAAACCACTGGAGATTCTGGAAGAGAGGATTAATCTATACTAATAGCTATTGGAAGTTTCCTAGAAGTATGAAATTATTGAGAAATAAACTACTTTTTAATAAAAACAACCATGTCAATACCTTTTCACTAAAGCAGAGACAACAACATCAAACATCATTATAGAGGCCAAATCCAACCCAAATCCAGCTCAGTGGAAGCTCTGAAAGAAAGTGCCCCAGTAAGAGTAGGAATGTTATGTCAGTATTGCAGGTGTTACATCTTTATGATGAGTGTTACGTCAGTAATTATGGGTGTTACATCAGTATTATGGTTGTTTCATTTGTATTACAGATGTTGTGTTAGTATTATGGGTGTTAGTATTACCGGTGTTACATCAGTATTACAGTTGTTACATCAGTATTACCGTTGCTATATTTGTATTGCAGGATGATATACTGGTATTATGAGTGGTATATTGGTATTATGAGTGTTACAGTTGTATTAGAGGTGTCAGGACAGCATTACACATGTTACATAAGTGTTATGGGTGTTTCATTTGTATTGTGGGTTGTATATTGGTATTATGAGAGTGATGCTTGTATTATGGGTCTTAGATCAGTATTATGGTTGTTATATTTGTGTTTCAGATGGTATACTGGTATTATGAGTGTTTTATTGCTGTTAATGAGTGTTACAGTGGTAATATGGGTGTTAGATCAGTATTTCAGGTGTTACATTAGTATTAGGAATGACACATCTGTATTATGGTTGATATATTTGTTTACAGATGTTATATGTCTATTACAGATGTTATATGACGAATGATACATTTGTGGCATGAGGCCACAGTGTGGACCTGGCATTGTGGCCACTACACCTTGTGTGTGGGGAAGGACGTTGGGGTGCACTAAAGCCATGGGATATTTTTATGTTTAATTTTCCACAAGAAGCACTTCTCCTGGGTCCCTGATCCTCAGCAGTCAGAGGGAAGTTTTTACTTACCACTCCCTGCAGCTGTCCCACAGCAAGGCGTTGTTGCTCTGGTCTGTGCTGAGAAGAACGCTGCTCTCCCCCTCAAGCAGCATGCGCTGAAAACACCTGCACTCCCAGGGTCAGAAGAGGCAGACTCTTGCGTCCCCTGCTAGCAGCCGGAAGAACTGCAGGACACTCATGGTCAAGGTGAAGCAGCCACGTGCGACGCCCCGCCTGGCTGGCCTGCGGCACCAAATAAAAGCAGAGGTCAGACTGTTCAAAGCCGTCATTTTAGAAATTCAAATGGAAATGTTGCCTATTATCTTGGTTTCTTTTTGTTTGTTTGTTTTAGTTTCAGGTGTACGTGTGAAGGTTTGTTATATAGGTAAACTCCTGTCACGGACGTTCGTTGTATAGATTATTTCATCATCCAGGTATTAAGTCTAGGACTCAATAGTTATTTTTCCTGCTGGTCTCTCTTTTCCCACCCTCCACCCTCAAGTAGGTCCCATGCCTATTGTTCCCTTCTTTGTGTTCATGAGTTGTCATCATTTAGCTCCCACTTCTAGTGAAAATATGTGATATTTGGTTTACTGTTCCTACATTACTTTGCTAAAGATAATATCCTCCAGCTCCATCCATGTTCCCTCAAAGGCATAACTGTATTCTTTTTTATGGCGGCATAGTATTTTGTGTGGGTATGTGCCACATTTTCTTTAATCCAAACCATCACTGATGGGCATTTAGATTAATTCCATGTCTTCTGTTGGGAAGAGTCCGCATGAACATTTGCATTCATGTGTCTTTATGGTATAATGATTTATATTCCTTTGAGTACATATCCAGTAAAGGGAATGCTGGGTTGAACAGTAGTTCTGCTTTCCAGTCTTTGAGGAATTGCCCTACTGCTTTCCCCAACAGTTGAACTAATTTACATTCCTACCAACAGTGCATAATTTTTCCTTGATTTCTGTAACCTCGCCTGCATCTGTTATAAATTTCTTTACGATAATAGCCATTCTGACAGGTATGAGATGGTATGTCATTGTTTTTTTTCTTTGATTTGCACTTCTTTAATAATCAATAATATTGAGCTTTTAAAAATAAGTTTATTGGCTGCCTGTATGTCCTTTGAAAAGTGTCTGTTCGCACTTCTCAAAGGAAGACATTTATGCAACCAACATACGAAAAATGCTCATCATCACTGGCCATTAGAGAAATGCAAACTACGATGCCATGGTGGTTTGCTGCACCCATCAACTCATCACCTACATTAGGTATTTCTCCTAATGTTTTCTCCGCACTATCCCACCACCCGCCACCATGTGATGTTTTTCTCCCTGTGTCCATGTGTACTCATTGTTCAACTCGCACTTGAAAATGAGAACATGTGGTGTTTGGTTTTCTTTTTTTCTGATAGATTGCTGAGAATGATGTTTGCCAGCTTCTTTCATGTCCCTGCAAAAGACATGAACTCATCCACTTTTACGGCTGCATACTATCCCATGGTGTATATGTGTCACCTTTTCTTTATTCAGTCTATTATTGATGTACATTTGGGTTGGTTCCAAGTATTTGCTACTGTGAATAGTGCTGCGATAAATATACGTGTGCATGTGTCTTTATAGTAGAATGATTTATAGTCCTTTGGTTATACGCGCAGTAAGGGGATTGCTGGGTCAAACGGTATTTCTTGTCTTCCACAAGATCCTAGTCTTCCACAAGGGTTAAATTATTAACAATCCCACCAACACTGTAAAAGCATTTCTATTTCTCCACATCCTCTGCAGCATCTGCAGTTTTCTGATATTTTAATGATCGCCATTCTAACTGGTTTGAGAGGGTATCTCACTGTGGTTTGGATTTGTATTTCTCTAATAACGAGTGATAAATTAATGAGCATTTTTTCATATGTTTCTTGGCGGCATCAAAGTCTTCTTTTGTGGAGTGTCTGTTCATATCCTTTGCCCACTGTTTGATGAGGTTGTTTGTTTATTTCTTGTAAACTTGTTTAAGTTCCCTGTAGATTCCTGATATTAGCCTTGTCTCAGATAGATAGATTGCAAGATTTTTCACCCATTCTGTAGGTTGTCTGTTCACGTTGTTGATAGTTTATTTTGCTGTGCAGAAGCTCTTTAGTTTAATTAGATCCCATCTGTCAATTTTGGCTTTTATTGCCATCGCTCTTGGTGTTTAAACATGAAGACTTTGCACATGCCTATGTCCTGAATGGTATTGCCTAGGTTTTCTTCTAGGTATTTTATGGTTTTAATCCTTACGTTTAATTCTTTAATCCATCTTGAGTTCATTTTTGCATAAGGTATAAGGAAGTGGTCCAGTTTCAGTTTTCTGAATAGCTAGCCAGTTTTTTCAACGTCATTCATTAAAGGGAAAATATTTCCCCCATTGCTTGCTTGTTTCAGGTTTGTCAAAGATCAGATGGTAGTAGATGTGTCGTATTATTTCTGAGGCCACTATGCTGTTCCATTAGTCTATATATCTATTTTGGTACAAGTACCGTGCTGTTTTGGTTACTGTAGCCTTGTAATATAGTTTGAAGTCAGGTAGTGTGATGCCTCCAGCTTTGTTCTTTTTGCTTAAGATTGTCTTGGCTGTGCAGGCTCTTTTTTGGTTCCATATGAATTTTAAGGTTTTTTCCAATTCTGTGAAGAAAGTGATTGGTAGCTTGATGGGGATAGCACTGAATCTATAAATTACTTTGGGTAGTATGGCCATTTTTACAATATTGATCTGCCTATCCATGAGCATGGAAGGTTTTTTCATTTCTTTATGCCCTCTATTATTTCCTTGAGCATTGGTTTGAAGTTCTCCTTGAATAGTTTCTTCACATCCCCTGTAAGTTGTATTCCTAGGCATTTTATTCACTTAGTAGCAACTGTGAATGGGAGTTTACCCATAATTTCACTGTCTGTTTCTCTGTTATTGTGTGTAGGAATGCTTGTGATTTTTGCACATTGATTTTGAATCCTGAGGCTTATCTGAAGTTGCTTACCAGCTCAAGGTGATTTTGTGCTGAGATGGCGGGTTTTCTAAGTATATAATAATGACCTCTGCAAACAGAGACGATTTGACTTCCTCTCTTCCGATTTGAATACCCTTTATTTATTTCTTCCTCTTGCCTGATTGCCCTGGCCAGAAGTTTCAATACAATTTTGAATAAGAGTGAAAACAGAGTGTATCCTTGCATCGTACAGGTTTCCAACGGGAATGCTTCCAATTTTTGCCCATTCGGTATGATATTGGCGGTGGCTTTGCCATAAGTAGGTCTTATTATTTTGAGATACCTTCCATCCTTACCTAGTTGACTGAGAGATTTTACATAAAGGGGTGTTGAATTTTGATGAAGTCCTTTTCTGCATCTATGAAGATAATCATGTGGTTTTTGTCATTTGTTCTGTTTATGTGATGTGTTACATTTACTGATATGCGTATGTTGAACTAGCCTTGTATCCCAGGGATAAAGCTGACATAATCGTGGTGGATAAGCTTTATGATGTGCTGCTGGATTCAGTTTGCCAGTATTTTATTGAGGATTTTCACAGCAATGTTCATGAGGGATATTGGCCTGAAATTTTCTTTTTTGGTGAGCCTCTGCCAGGTTTTTAGCATCAGAATAATGCTGGCCTCATAAAATTATTTAAGGAGGATTTCCTTTTTTTATTGTTTGTAATAATATCAGAAGGAATGGTACCAGTTCCTCTTTGTATCTCTGGTAGAATTCGGCTATGAATCTGTCTGGTACTGGATTTTCTTGGTTGGTAGGCTATCAGTTACTGCCTCAGTTTCAGAACTTGTTAATGGTCTATTCATGAATTTAACATCTTCCTGGTGTAGACATGGGAGGGTGTATACGTCAAGGCATTTATCCATTTCTTTTAGATTATCTAGTTTATTTGCCGAGAGCTGTTTATAGTATTATCTGATGGTAGTTTCTATTTCTGTGGGATCAGTGGTGATATTCCCTATATCAGTTTTTGTTGCATCTATTTTATTTTTCTCTCTTTTCTTCTTTATTATTTTGGCTAGTGGTCTATCTATTTTGTTGATATTCTCAAAAAACCAGCGCGTGGATTTATTGATTTTTGAAAGTTTTTTTTGAACTATCTCCTTTAGTTCTTCTCTGATGTTAGTTATTTCTTGTCTTCTGCTAGCTTTTGAATTGGTTTGCTGTTACTTCACTATTTCTTTTCATTTTAATGTTAGCGTGTCTATTTTAGATCTTTCCTGCTTTATCTTGTGGGCATTTAATGCTATCAATTTTTCTCTACACACTGCTTTAAATGTGCCCCAGAGATGGTGATACGTTGTGTCTTCATTATCATTGGTATCAAAGAACATCTTTATTTCTGCCTTATTTTGTTATTTACTCATCAGTGATTTAGGAACAGGTTGTTCAATTTCTATGTTGTTGTGTGGTTTTGAGTGAGTTTCTTAATCTGGGTTCTAATTTGATTGCACTATGGTCTGGAAGGCTCTTTGTTATAATTTGCATTCTTTGGCATTTGTTGAGGAGTGTTTTACTTCCAATTATGTGGTCAATTTTTGAATACATGTTATGTGACACCGAGAAGAATGTATATTCTGTTGATTGGGGGTGGATAGTTCTGCAGATGTCTATTAGGTTTACTTAGTCCACAGCTGATTTCAGGTCCTGCAAATCCTTGTTAATTTTCTGCCTCATTGATTGCTGCCTGTTCTTTTCTCTGGAAGCTTCATCCCCAAGGGGCACCTTCAGATTCCAGCCAGTGCTCTCCTGTATGAGGTGTCTCCCAGTCAGGATACACAGAGGCCATGGATCCACTTGAGAAGGCAGTCTGACCATTAGCAGAGCTCAAACGCTGTGATGGGAGGTCTGCTGCTCTCTTCACAGCCATCAGGCAGTTATGTTGAAGTCTGTGATGCTGCATCCATGGCTGCCCCTTCCCCCAGATGTTCTGTCCCAGGGAGACCGGGGTTTTATTTATAAGCCCCTGACTGGGGATTCTGTCATTTTTTCAGAAAAGTCTTGCATAGAGAGGAGAAATCTGGCAGCCTAGCCACATCAGCCTTGCTGAGCTGCAGTTGGCTCCAACCAATTCAAACTTCCCTGTGGTTTTATTTACACTACAAAGGTAAAATGGCCTACTCAAGGCTCAGCAATGGCGGATGACCCTCCCCCTAGACAAGCTCGAGTATTTCAGGTCGATCTCAGACTGCTGCTGTGCTGGCAGAGAGAATTTCAAGCCAGTGAACCTTAGTTTGTTTGCCTCTGTAGGGGGTGTCACTCCCCAAGCCAGACCACTTGGCTCCTTGGCCTCATCACCTCTCTCCAGGGGAGTGAACGGTTCTGTCTCCTTAACATGCCAGGCACAATTGAGGTATGAAAACAAACAAACAAAAAAAAAATTCTTTCAGCTAGTTCAGTGTTTGCTCTAACAGCTGCCCAGTTTTGTGCTTGAAACCCACGGCCTTCATGGGGTAGGCACCAAAGGGAATATCCTGGTCTGTAGGTTGTGAAGACCATGGGAGAAGCGCATATCTGGAATAGGGCCCTTGGTTTCTCAGGCTTCCCCGGTGAGGTGATGCCTCACCCTGCTTCATCTCACACTCCATGGACTGCACCCACTGCCCAACCATTCCCAGTGAGATGAACAGTGTACCTCAGGTGGAAATGCAGGAATCACTCACCTTCTGCATTGATCTCTCTGGGAGCTGCAATCTGGAGCTGTTTTTATTCAGCAATCTTGCCAGCAATTCCCCCTCATTTTTTTTTTTTTTTTTTAATGGTGAAGGAGCCATTAACTGGAAATGTAAAACTATGCAAATTCTAGAAGAAAGCACAGACATAAATGTATGTGATCTTGGATTTGGCCACAAGTTTTAACAAATGACAACAAAGCCGATCAGCAACGGTAAAAAAAAAATTAATAATTTAAGGTTTCTCATATTAAAAGCTTATACTCTGAGTAAAATCTTGTTCAGGAAATAGAAAGATAAGCAACAGACTGAAAATAAATATCTGCAAAATACAGATCGGGGTAAAAACTTGCACTGAAAATACGCAAATCTTGAAACTCAACAATAAAACAGACTACCCAATTGACAATGTGTAAAAAGCTGAGCTCACCAATGAAAATACAAAGATGGCAAGCAAACAAAAAGATGCTCAAACTCATATATCTTTAAGTGACTGAAAATTACAACGAGTTAGCATGGCCCATCTATATTTGTTGGAATGGCTAAACCATTTTTAAAACATGACAACTGATTTGCTGCAGGAAAAACAACAATTCATTCATTGCTTGTGGAATGCATGATGGCACAGAAAGAAAAAGAACTCTTTCAAACTCTCATGTTAACCTGAAAGCCTGTTTCTGTCCTCTACCATACACACAAGGTGCTATCTGGTCTACCTTTTGGTGACAGACTCGAGATCCAATATAATCTGTGCATCTGTAAGAAGCAGCTGGGATCCAGACAGAAGGCAGATGGTCCCCACAGTCAAAGTCATCTAAGAACTTTTTAATAAAGAGGGACTTATTCAGGGTATCTACAAAAGATAGTGGAGTTCCCTGGGATAGTAACAGGACCATAGTCTTTGTACTCCTTGGTAATGGAGAATTAGGGGAGAGATAAATTCTCAGCACTGGAGAGACAGAGATGGTTCAGAGCACTTGAAAGATGTCATCACAGGCACTATGACCTCTCTGGGACTTGATATGAAGCAGCCAGTCTAGGGCCACTGTATGTGGAGGCTGGTGTCCCCACTAGCCAAACCCAATCAGCAGGCAGAGAGTAAAAAAAATGCCTTGACACCACCTAGAGGCAGGTTAGCAGAGTTTAATCCAGAAATCATAATTTTATAAATCTTTCCAATTTAAGCCTCCTTTACAAGTATAAAACATAGTTTTATACTGACTTAGTATGAATCACTAATACATGCAAGCCATGCACAGTGGCTCATGTCTGTAATCCTGGCTATTTGTGAGGCCCAGACTAGTGGAACATTTTGGTCAAAAGATTGAGACCAGCCTGGCCAACACGGTGAAACCCTGTCTCTATTAAGCATATAAAAATTAGCTGTGTGTGTGTGGAGCGGGTGGGGGGGGGGGGCGGTAAATTCCTGTAGTCTTACCTACTTGAGAGGCAGAGGCAGGAGAATTTCTTGAACATAGGAGGTGGACATATGGTTTAAGAGATGCATGTTTTTATTTTTATTCTCTTCCAGTTTTTCTTCCTTTAGTAGTAAATAGTCACTTATCTCTTGAACACTTTCATTCACAATATATTTGTTTTGTTATTGCCAAAGACTGTGCTTTGACAGACATTAACTCAATCTGAAAGTTAACAAGGAAAATTTGCATTTGAATGATGACTTTACAGTGCTGCAAAAGTAAAAGCTGGCAGGCTCCTTTTAGCATAGCGTCACAATTTAACTGAGGTCACTGAACCGATGTCTGAATCTCTGCAATAAGATGCAAACTACAGTAACAAAAATTGTCTTCTGCCCTGCAGTTGGGGCAGAGGAAGTTTTATGGACAACATCCCATGAAGCAAGTCCTTCTAAGTAAGATTATAACCCCATTTTGCATAGGCATTGAAGAACTTAAAACAGTCACTCATCATACCAATATAGGTTTGTTTTAAATATGAAAAGATAAGGTAAAAATGGCCAGGCATGGTGGCTCCCGCCTGTAACTCCAGCACTTTGGGAGGCCAACATGAGAGGATAGCTTGAGCTCAGAATTTCCAGACTACCTTGGGCAACAAGGAAAATCCCGGTCTCTACTAAAAGTACAGCCAGACACTGGCTCAAGCCTGTAATCCCAGCACACTGGGAGACCATCATGGGCAGATCACTTGAGGTAAAAAATTTGCCAACTCCAGCCAACATGGTGAAACCCAATCTCTACTAAAACTATAAATATTAGCCAGGCATGGTAGCAGGTGTCTGTAATCCCCGCTACCCAGGAGGTTGAAACAGGAAAAATCACTTGAAAACAAAGGCAGTGGTAGCAGTGAGCCCAGTTTGCATCATTACACTCAAGCCTGGACAACAGAATGAGACTCCATCTTAAAAAATTAAAAAGTAAAAAAGTAAAAAACAAAAACAAAACAAAAACACATAATTTTCTTGGTGTGGTGGGGTATGGCTATAATCCGAGCTTCTCGGGAGGTGGAGACACAAGAATTGCTTTACCCTGGGAGGTGATGATTGTAGTGAGCCGATATAACACTAGTGCACTCCACACTGAATGACATAATGAGGCTCAGTCTCAAAAAAAAAAAAAGTAACATTTTGCGTAGAGCTTTTCTTTTCTTAGTATACTGTATGCCATATTTGAATAAGAAGGCATACAAAGTTCTCACAAAAGTTCAACTTGCAAAAATGTTTTAAGTGCCTAAAATTCCAGCTTCATCTTCAGACAGCAAGCATAAAAATAAACAGAAAATTAAACAAGCAATGGCAGGTGGTAAATGCACTGCATTTAGTTTTAATATGTGAGATAACACTATAATGTCAAAAATTCTAGCTGCTGCTGATGAAAGGAAAGAACAGGTTAATGTAGAAACAGAACAATAATAATATTGGCCACCTGCTATGAACTAGGCTCATACGTTAACTCACTGAATTCCCTCAACAACCCTATAATGTGGAAAACATCCTAGAGTTTACAGCTGAGGAATCTGCAATCAAAGGACCTGCCCAGAGGCACACAAGAAATTGGGCCACAGATAGGATTCAAGGAGGACTCTAAGACCCAAAGCACTGTCTACACTTTCATATATGATGTTGGTTGAAATTAAGAACTGTTGAGTTAACTTTAGTCATCCCCCTCTTTGCCGTAGAAATGGCAGTTTAAACATCTCGAGAGAAAGACTTTGGATAAATTATACATGACTAAAATTTTATATATTCATTAAAATGTATTTCAAAAAATATGCTAAAAAATTCTTGGAGTTCTTACATAAAACTTACAGATTGATTGAGTTCCTCCTTTTTTGGATTACTAACTGTGAGCTCCTCTTGCAAGTAAACAGCTTTTCCTGAAATAAATAGCCCTTTAAACATCATAATGTTTTCCTTGTGAATACAAAAGCTATTTAATATTTATGGCCAGTCTGTCAGACCTAATGACCATTATTTTATAATATGAAATAGCCTGTGTAGGGAATAAAATTTTCACAGGCAAGTAAGAAATAAGCCCTGTTAGTTAACAGGTGACGTGAAGCTATAACTGTCATCTATGTGGTGAAATTCCACCATCTACACCTGCTAACCAGAGAGGTTTTAAGTTCCTTGAAGAAGAAGATCTGTCTGTTACTATATTGTAAAAGACAATATTGTTATTGTATTGTAGGTATTACTTTGTCATTTTCATTTTATCTAACTTGAATCTATGTAGATATAATATCAAGGCAAAATTTGTTACATAGATGATGGTACTAATTTATAAAAGAAGTGTTAGTCTCCACAAGATAGTAGTAAAAGGGGAAGCCACACACTGGGTGTCTGGACAACATCAAATAACTACTTTGGTATACTCCCAAGAATCTATTTGAATATTCCACCAAAACTTCACTTCTCATTACAGGCAATTTCCTAAAAATATATTGAAATATAAAATATCTGAAGATTGAGACATTACTCATCTTCCAGTCTCAAGGGCAATATACACAAGAATTCAGGAGGTTATATGTAAAGTAAAAATATTATAAATAAAAAAAAATATGAGAAGGCAACAAAATAAGAAGCTATGTCACAGGAAACAGAGAAGTTAAAATTTTTCCATAAGTGAAAAAGAACGTATCTCATGGCTAAAAGTAATAGGCACCAGAGGCAATAAGTTGCTGCCAGCTTCTTGATAATTGCAGATTTATCAAAATATGTTGAAATAAAGTTTAATAAAATATCCAGAAAAAAATCTCTGGGCTTTCTGTTTATATAAAATATTAAAAATAATGGTTTCTCAAAAGGAGGGAAGACAATTCTTTTTTTAAATTTTAGATAATTAATATTACACCAAAAGTGTACTATAGACAAGAAAAATAGCATAAGCTATTTTTTAATATAAAACAGACTCAACTAGGGAAGCTAATACCTTGTATCAAAACTGAAAACTACGGCTTCTTGCCCCACCCAAACAATACCTTTATTCTTCCTTTCCTCTTCAATCACTCGACTAGTTCTAATGATGTAGTCATCCGTTAGTTGAAGTTGATATCTGAGTATCAGAACGAGTAAATATAAGTTTCACAGTTGTCTTTCCAGAAAGATGCTTATCAATGCAGGACCTTATCTATGGTACAGATACAGCTGAGGGCGCTGAATATGACATTGTGGGACTTCAAAGTCCCTCAGTGCTAAAGCCAGGGATATGACTTTCAAACATAAAATGTCCAACAAAACCCTGCCTTGGTGTTATAAAGCACAATCATACAAAATGCAGGGTTGTGTTTTCATAAGGTTACTGAAAGCATTCCTTTCCAGTTGGTCTCAACTGGCCCAAAGAACAGGGAAGACAGTTAAATTTACACAGCACACAACAGACTCAATCCCAAATGATAATTAGACAGTCACTTTCAACCCACCTGTACTATCTGCACAGCCCAAACAAATGTAAGGATTTTGGGCCCAGGGACAAAGCCCAGTCCAGGGAACCAGGTGCTAAAAGCATTATATCTGAATTAGCAATATCCAAAGGCACATTTTCACATTTTTACTTTTGTTTCTCAGCTTTTACAAGTTGACTTTTGATTCCAAAAGGATGAAGAAACATTCCTGTTGTGAACAGTCCTCAAACTCCAAGCTTGCCAAAGTCATATGAGAACTCCCAAAGCCAGAAATACACCATGCAGGCCATGGAAGCTGTCACAATGGTACCAAACAGTTCACTAGCTCCATAACTATATAAAATTAACATACTTTAATAAATGTATTACTAAAAATTACTAACTGTAAAACTAAAAATTACTAAAAACTACTAATAAATGTATTATTAAAAAAATTACAGAAACTTCATGTCAGCTATTTTAATATAGAAACTGACCAAAAAATTGGATAAAATACTTCATTTTCATCACGAAAAGTAAAGTTTCTCGTGGTTAGAAGTAATATGTACCAGAGGCAATAAGCTTCTGCCAACTTCTCGACGACTACAGATTTATGAAAATATATTGAGAATATATTGGGAATTCAGAATCTATAAATAACTGTTCTATATTTTAAAAATAGAATTTGTTTATAGAATAACCTCAAGAAACCTTTGCAAGTTCTGTGTAATGGAATATTGATGATAAATTATGAGGAAGGCAATTAAAAACAGGCCACATAAATAAATGCCCAGAGCACGTGAGTTGAGTCATCTCTTCCGGACACATTAACAGCAAATATTAACTGAGGATTTTGTATGTGTCAGATGCTTTCGAACCCACTGAAAAGTTACCACATGGGCATAAAGTCTTACAACTGACGTATTACTCACTTATACACAAGGTGAGAGTAAAGCAAAGCCAAATTAACGACAGTTGTCCATATTTTGCTTTCCCTATATCAATTTTTGCCCCACATAGTTAATTTTAGCTCCTTTCTTGTGATCATGACTTTGCAGAATCATGAAGGAATACAAGACACACGTTCACTGACAAACAATCTGACCACTAAGTATACTTTATACATTGTTAGATATCCCCATCTTTGTGGCAGTATGAGTGTGGTAGAGAAAAAGGAAACTAAAAGTTATTATAATTCAAACTACATCTTATTAATTATGCAACCTGAGCAAGTCGCAACGTGCCCTGAAATTTAAAGCAAATCTCAGTCCTTGATAAATATTCAAGAAGCCATGAGTAAGAAGAACAGAGGATGTGCTTTTCTACACCTTATCTTTTAAAAGCTACCCTAACTCAAATGCAAGAATATATTGGCTGTTGATAAACATATGTATTTTTAACACTAAAGTTTGCATAAAAGATTAATCATAGACTACTTCCTCGGCTTTTGTTATATTTCTACAAATGTAATTTAAACATATTACTTCTTCAAATGTGCCAAACAATTACTTTAGAAGTACGTTTTTTAGGTTTCAGTCATAGGTTTCCTCAAGACACTTTGTATTCTGCTCCCATCTCCTAAGTCCTCAGTCATGCTTTTATGTTTTTCTTCCTGGAGTTCCTGGGTTCTGAAATTAGCAAAAAACATAAAGTAAATAAACTATAATAGCTGAGTTAACAAATTTAGGAAAAACATCACGTGACACCTTTTTAGTTCAACAGACTAAAACTGCTCCATGACCAGCCTGGACAACATAGCAAGACCCTGTCTCTTAAAACCAAAAAACACCAACAAAAAATCCCTATGAAACAAACAAAAAAAAAACCGATTGATTGAATATTGATCAAGTACCAAAAGAGAGGGCAACAGATAGATGGGTCATTCAGGGCTTCCACATACTTAAGAATAGAATGATCTTCATAGTGAGACTTCAAATCACCCATTACACCAACTCCCCAGCCAGGGAGGTGGATTCACAGGAGATGAGATCCAGCCATCCTGAGAAGCACTGCAAAACACTAACTAGTCTAAGAGCA
Organism: Homo sapiens; assembly: GCF_000001405.40. NCBI lineage: Eukaryota > Metazoa > Chordata > Mammalia > Primates > Hominidae > Homo > Homo sapiens. Next base: position 18,086,084 of record NC_000024.10, read on the forward strand.
GTTAAAAGCTCCAGGTATTAGCTCCCTCTTCTGGTAATCTGGAACGCCATGGAGAGGTAAACTACATTGATTGTGTATATACGCTGAGAGAAGGGAAAAGGAGTAGAGAAAATGGAGGTTAAAAAAAGTGACACACACTCCTTGCCCAAATGTTTCTCTTTTTTTCGTCTCTCTCTCTCTCTCTCGTTTAATCTACCTTTTCATTACTGCCAAAAAGAGAGTAAGATACACAGTGGGCTGAAATAAAAAATCAAACCTATAGAAGTGAGAAAACAACGTTAAATAAGATGGGGACAAATTCTTTAATGAGCTAAAAGCCTAAAATATCTATGGGTGTCAATTAACAGAATATTCCCAATGGAAAGGAAAACTTCTTGTGCAAACTATACACAGGTGAGCTTTCTGTCAATCCCAGGTAATATATGAAGGATGAAACATTTCTGAGCACACAGAAAAAGTGAATAGCATTGAGAAATAGTTTCATCCAGTACAAGTCAAACCACAATACTTCCTTTTTTGAGCACAGAGCAGGTAAAAGCTTCAGGCCTGGATATTTGGAATTCGGCTACAATACATAAACACACAAAAATATCAGACCTGAAGGTCTGAAGTTAACTTTAAAATGTATGATCTGTTCAAGTGTCATACAGCTTCTCCAAATTTTCTATTTGGTGTTACTGTAGCCTAGTGATAGCATTTCATGTTAACGTTTAATATTTCAAAAGCACAGACCTAATATTTGTTTCTGTTAATGTGTAACTTCTAATGCTGGGTGAGATCACCTTTATAAAAAATAATTCTACTTGTCAGTAAACATTACAATATTTAGACATATATTTAGTAATTCTTTTTAATCTCATCATTCCGAAGATTCAAGATAAACATGCATATGCATAATTCAAAAGCTTCAACTCTCTGCTTTAGCTTTGCCTTTTTTCCTCTTAACAAATCTATATCTTTTAGTAAAACAAGGCTTTGAGCATAGATTTTCTTGTTTCAATCTGTAAAAAAGCATTAATTTTGGCCGATTGTTGTGGCTCATGCTTGTAATCCCAGCATTTTGGGAGACTGAGGCAGAGGCAGATAGGTCACGAGGTCAGGAGATGAAGATCACACCGGCCAAGGTGGCAAAACCCCATCTCTACTGAAAATACAAAAGTTACCTGGGCATGGTGGCAGGCACCTGTAATTCCAGCTACTCAGGAGGTTGAGGCAGGAAATTGCTTGAAATTGACAGGCAGAATTTGCAATGAGCCGACATCACACCACTGTACTCCAGCCTGGGTGACAGAGCAAGACTATTTCTCAAAAAAAAAAAAAAAAAAAAAAGTTTTAGCAAGAAAGTTAATGGAAGCAGAACAAATTGAAATAAATATACTTCTAACTAAATTCCAAAAAACAAAGTACAGAAATTAAGAATACAATTTCCCCTTCAAGTGATTCCTACTCAGCTGGGCATGGTGATTCACTGCTGTAATCCTAGCCCTTTGTGAGGCCAAAACAGGCTGATCACCTGAGGTCAAAAGCTTGAGACCAGCCTTTCCCAATATGGTGAAACCACAATCTCTACAAAAATTACAAAAATTAACTGGGTAAGGTGGTCGGCACCTTTAATCCCAGCTAACTGGAAAGCTGAGGTAGGAGAATCACTTGAACCTGGGAGGCAGAGGTTTCAGTGAGTTGAGGTAGTACCATTGCACTCCAGCCTGGGCAAAAGATTAAAACTGCATCTCAAAAAAAAAAAAATCCAATTCAATGTCTTCCTCAACTAGCTATTCCAGCGGCACATGTATTTACATTTACTCTCCCAATTTCTGTTAAAGTACATTTCCATATATTGTTAACATCCCCGTGTAATCTATGCTACTTAATTAACATATCTCAGTCCCTTAGGTAATTTTAGGTAATCTTTGTTTTGAGACTCGGTTCTGCTCTGTTGCTCAGGCTTGAGTGCAGTGTTGTGATTTTGGGTAAATGCAACCTCTGCCTCCCAGACTCAAGGCATCATCCTACCTCAGTCTTCTGAGTAGCTGAGACTACAAACACACATCACCGAGTTCCCCTAATTTTTTTTTAGAGATGAGGTGGTGCCATGCTGCCCAGACTGGTGTTGAACCTCTGAGCTCAAATGAGATCCCCATCTCAGCCTCTCAAAGTGCTAAAACTATAAGCACGAGCCACCAGACCTAGCCCCCTTAACTAAAATTTGGGAAGTTCTTCAGGAAAATAAATAAACAAAATGTACATTCAGAAATAAAACTCCAAAGGAATAAAATCCCCATGGATTTTAGTGGTGGTGCTGCCTGAATGTTTCTGAGTCATCTAAATGTTCATGAGTCATTGTGATTCAGAGTTAGTAAGCTCACATGAACTTATAAATGAATGAGCCAACATTACACTTATGTCTTCACAGAGTAAGAATTTACTCTCTATCATATATCAAGCAGCATACTAGGAACTTGATATAAAAATGTAGACCGATGTAGTCCTCATCTCTGAAGACCTCACAGTATAGTCAGGGAGAAACAATCACGCTAAGATAGGATAATTTTATAACTGAGGTAAATAAAGACTGCAGACAGGAATAAGACCTAAATGAGTTGCTCAGTGGGAGTCAGGGAAGGCATCTCAGGGGTGACACCAAAGCTGGGCCTTGAATGACACTATGGTTTTATCAGAGAGAGACAGGATTGATATTGCAGGTGGGGAAATACAGGCATGGTGGTTTTTATGAGAATGACAATCTTCCTCAAAGGCTTCAGATATTCACGGTTGAATAAACAGAAACTTAGTCAGTCACCTATCTTGAAGATGAAGTTATTAGTCTAAACACAATCTAATCATCTCTAAGATCTGTGCATCCAACATTCAATTTTATAACTGAAGCAAGCTGAATTTCCAGAAATGCTATGGAAAATTTTAGAGTGAGTGCCCTTAGCATTAAACAACTATGTCTCATTGAGAAGCTCCAAGCAAGAGTGGGCACTAGGGGGAAGACTTCCTACTTTTAACATCTGGCAGCAGCAGTTTTAGATGTATGTTTGAAATACTGCTGTGAATCCTGTGTGGTCTAAGACATTCACATGGAAAAGGAATACAATTTCTTAAAGGAGTAGATCCAACCCAACTTGCCAACACAAACTCCCTGCCACTCCTCATCCCCTTCATCTCCTTTCAAGTTACTTTCCTGGTGATGAGATCAAATGGCCACATGGATGACCCTTGGGGCCCTGGTGACTCCTTCACTCCAGGGATCTTTACTCTTGCTCATTTCCATGGCTCCATCCAATGGCAGCACAGTACCTTTGACTTCCACTCTCTACCTGAAACCTCATTCTGCAGTTCTGCACTCCTGGACCATCTTTATTCTTCCACTTGCCAGTCTCTCCAGATCTAGTTCTTTATCACTGAAACTACCACTCAACCCTCCCTTTCCCCCTAGGTTACCAGCCACCTGCCCTCTCCTCTGCTTACCATCACTACACAGGAGATCCAGGGAATCTTCATGAGATAGGCTGCCTTTCTCAAGGACATTGAATTATGTTCTGCAAATCTCCACTTCCCAAGCATCTCCATCTTTCCACCCTCACTGAAAGGGACAGCAAGAGAGACCCTTAAAATTCCTCCCCAGAGGTAGAACAGAAAACTTGCCTACAAACATGTGGTTTTGTCTCTCTCACTTCCAGGGTTACCCCCACCACAGCTGGGCCTTCAGTACAGGTAATCAGTCTGCTCTGCTGTAAAGAGCTGTTCATACATTACCCACATGAGCTACTCTGCACCTCCAAGCTGCTCCTGAAACCTTTCATCTATCTCCTTAATTTGCCTGAGAAGATGAAGTTTTTTAGAGTGTGTTTCTCATAATTCCAACTTGGCTGATCACCTCTGCAAATCTTGCATTTCCAGAAGACTCAAAGGATGCAAATCTGTATCCTTTTCAAGGCCCATCATTCTTTTATTTTCAGTCTTGGCCACAGTCCCTACTGCTCTTCTGGGACCTTGTTCCATCAATTGTAACATCTCATTCCTTGAGTCAATCCAGTAACAGCTGTAGGAAATAGCCACCCAGTAAAATATTTGTAAATACCACCTCTTGGTGCTTTTGATGTCTCTCAAGGGTACTCTTTTTCCAAAGAATAAAGTTTTCAGATTCCGCTTGACAAGCTTTCTCAAAATCATTTCAGAACATAGATAATTCCTTCTCACACTCTATTATAACTTTCATAAAAAACTTCAATTGTGAATTGATTACAAATATAAAAGTTCCAATCATTATAATATAAGTGCAGTAACAGATTCTCCCTCCACAGCTAGTCTCCACATTAATGTTCTGTCCAAATGTGTTATATTTATTTAATCTATCATTTTATACCATTTGCTGTATTTGTAGGACTGAATCAAAAGGAATAAACAAATCTCATCAGAAAAAAATTGATATGCAAAACAGTGAAGTACCCTATTTTTTATTAAAAATTCCAGGTATTTTTTAGTATATCTAAGATTAAATCTTTAGATGGCCAACAAAAACATGCCTTATTAACTGTAACAAGATAAAGATTACCTTTTGACACATTTCTGCCAGAAGTTGCTTTTCTATTTCTCTCTTATCTTCATTTAGCTTTATTTCTAAAGACTCAAACTTTATATGCTTAGGATAAGCATCTGCCAGTTGATCACCAATAAGCTGAAGGTTGTCAGCTATTAAAAAGTAACAGGTCAAATTAGGACACAGAAGCATGGTCAGGTGTGTAAGAGGCCAGACTTCTAGCTCAAAAGTAGAGTATACTTAGGGGAAAATATGGGTGTCTGCAATTTACTTTGAAATACAAAAAAAAAAAAAAAAAAAAAAAAGCAAGATAGATGAATAGATGGACAGACAAAAATGATGAAGTATGTATAATACAAATGTAATCGTGAAATCTAGGTGGTAGGTATGTAAATGTTGACTACAATTGTTTCAACTTTTCTATATGTTGAAAATGCTCGGGCATTTACCACCATCTACCACACTGAGCTAATTTATTTATTATTATTATTATTACTATTATTAATATTATTATTTGTATAGACAGGGTCTTCCTATGCTGCCTGCCCAAGCTGATCTCAAACTCGTGGCCTCAGGTGATCCTCCTACCTGGGCCTCCCAAGGTGCTGGAATCACAGGAATGAGCCTCTTTGTCTGGTTATAGCTTTTAAGAGTAAATCTGAAAAAAGTCCTTCCCATGCATGACATGAAACCTGGAAGCAATAAGGAGAAATATTTATCAATCTCACTACATAAAAATTAAAAGGTGGTGTCACAGTGTGAGAACTATGAGAACTGCTACCACAGTTTCTTTTATTTTCTTTCTTTCTTCCTTCTTTCCTGCCTTCCTTTCTTCCTTCACATTATTACAATGAAGCTTGGGAAATTAATACACAGCCCCAATGGCTGGCAAAAGTATATACTCAAATGATTAAGTTCTGAATGAATGGATGAATGAATAAATGTCTCTGTGGGGATTATAGAAATGCATGTAACAGACAAAATCCCAAGGGGGTAACAACACAAAAGGACCATTACTAATTCACAGATTATTTTAAAAGACCTAAGGGATAACTAAGCATTAAAAGGCAAGTTGCCAGCTTATGTTCATGCTACAAAGCCCATTATCAAGTCTAACAAATGGTGTGAAACCCACAGTAGTTACAAACTTTATAAATCTTTTGTATGAAGGCCAAAATTAAGGCAATTAATCAGGTCTGCGTAAACATTTAAGAACAAAAGTTATATTACACTTTACCAAACACATATTCTATTCATTAATGACATATTAATACATTTAATACTCTATCAATTGTATTTGAGAGGCATACCTAGTATACAAAGACACCTGGCCTAAAAGGCAGGTTTTTGAATGTTTTTTTTTTTTTAGAAATTTTGCCAACAGCGGATATGTTTACAAACAGTATCTCTTAGTGTGTCTGCAGGACTCTTGATACTGTCTGAAGTTTTCTTATTTGACTATATAAAGTTATTACAAAAGTGAAAATATGGGAATAATGACCTGCAGAACAGGTGAACTATTGTTTACAAACTAAGATGTGGTGAGCAAGGGAAAACATGTAATTTAAATGAAATGAAATGTCTTACACTTCTCCCTCAAAATTTGCTCCATTCTTTTATAAGGAAAACTACATAGAAAAACCTTGCTATACTTTACAAATACGTAGACTCCTACATTTTTGGTTTTCTTTATCAAATCCTGAGACCTATTAAAAACATATTTTCCCTTTATAATGCTATTCAGCTATAATTAACAAACCAAAGTAGATTACAGAAACTAAGTAATCTTACCGGTGATTTCTAGAAACCTGAAGTACGGTGATTTTTATTGAGTGCAATCCATCCTGCATAGTAAATACCTTAAGAAAATTAAAAGTTCCTACTTAGACACATGCTTATAGCAGTGTTTAAATGACACATTATAATATATTTATGAATATGAGATTAAGAAACATCCTTCAAAAAAATAAGATTACAAAGCAAAATTGAAGCTCTTTCTTACACTGTTAGATACATTACAAAAACATAGTGAGGTCAAAATAATAAAATATCTTTCTTGATCATGTAATTAACCTCTAAGTATTTTACGTCAAATGTCATTCAATTACATTTTTTTGAAAGTAGTGTTTAAAATTTAAATAAACTGAATTTTCACTGTCTTTACAATCATGATTAAAATGCACTTAAAATACTCTCAAACAGACATTTTGGGCAGCTATTTATATCTGTTTCTACTACAGTATATATCAATAATTATGTCTACTCTGAGAACACTGATATGTTTTCAAATGGATTTCCTTCAAAGAAAACATTTAGCATTGGCATCTTCTATTAGGAGAAACCATTAAGTTGTTTGAGCAGGATGAATTCCTGTTATAAGAATTATACAACTGGTAATTACACAATAAGTAGAATATGGAGTGATTATGAAATTAGAGAAAGATATATCAAAGATGAATTCCAGACAAGGCACAATGACTCACAGTTGTAATTACAGCACTTGGGCATGCTAAGCGGGCAGATGACATGAGCTCAGAATTCAAAACAACACTGCCCACCATAAGAAACCCAGTATCTATAAAAAAAAAAAAAAAAAAAATAGCAGAATGTGGTGGTGTGTGCCTGTACTCCCAGCCGCTTGAAAGGCTGCAGTAGTATAATTGCCTGAACCCAGCAGACAGTTATTGCAGTAAGCTGAGATTATACCGCTGCCCTTCAGACTTGGTGACAGAGTGAGACACTACTACTAAAAAATAAATAGGTAAATAAATACACTTATAAAACCGATAAGTAAAGTTTGGTTGCTTATGAGGAAACTCAACATGCTTAAAATTTTCATTCAAATACTGTACTAAGCCCAGGCATTGTGGCTCACATTTGTAATCCCTGCACTTTTGGAGGCTGAGGCAAATGGATCACTTGAGATCAGGAGTTCAAGACAAACCTGGCCAACATGGTGAAACCCCACCTCTACTAGAAATACAAAAATTAGCTGGGTACTTGGGTGAGCACCTGTAATTACAGCTACTTGAGCGGCTGAGGTGGGAGAATTGCTTGAACCCAGGAGGCAAAGTTTGCACCCCGAGATCATGCCACTACACTCCAGCCTGAGCAACAGAGTGATACTCCATCTCAAAGAAAATAATTACAATACCAAGCTTCTTGTGTCCTTAAAATTTGGAATATGAAATCTTTAGATAACTATGACAACATAAAGAAAATAAAGACATACACACACCACCAAGAGTGAAATTTAATGTAAACGATAGACTGGGAATAATGACATGTCAAGGTAGGTTTATCAATTGCAGAAAATGTACCACCTTGATGAAAGATGTTGACAGTGGGAAAGACTGTGCATGTGTAGGAGCACTGGGTGTATAGGAACTCTTTGTACTTCTCCATCTACCTGGCTGTGAACTAAAAACTGCTCTAAAAAACAAAGTCTACAAACACCACCCCGCCAACAACACACACACATATTCACAGGGAAACTTTGCTGCATCTACCTTTAAAGTAATAAACTGGGATGACTGTTCAACAATAATGGTGGAGAAATATAGTTCAAATAATTAGAAATGTACTAAGAAATAAAATGAGAGTGTCTTTATTATTAGGAAACTTTACAGATTTTTAAGAATTACATCACTTAAGTTACTTGATTCACCTCTCCACAGTCTGGTTCCTCATCTGTAACACGCTAAACATCTGTCATGTGTTTATCGCAGTGCCAAGCTCAGAGCAAACATTCAGCAGATTGGCAAAGTCTTATTAAATAACATGGAAAATAGATAAATCAGTTTTAGCTCTTAAAGCTGTAGAGATTGTAGATCACAATTTTACAAAAGACTAAATGGGATACCAAGAAATTAATTCCAAATTTAGTACCCACTTGTTATATAGCAAATGTATTATGTGCAGGTACGATGTAAATTCAAAGAGGAATGAGAAACAGAACTAGTTTAAAAGCAGTTAGCTATAATGCAGCATGTTAGAGTCTGCCAAGAAAAAACTGTTAATAAAAAGTTCAAAACAGAAAAGGAAATTCATTACATTTTCTTTTGCTAAACCAATTTCTGGAAAGAAAACAGAAAGTGAAGACTCATAGCCACATCTTTGTTAGTGATCGGCCACTGAAGAGTTAGAGGCTGCTAGTAAGAGGGAGTTCCCTTGCACTGAAATGAACGGAGATTGCAATGTTCCATTCAATTCAGGGTGCATCTACTCATAGATTAGCTGGTTTTGAATTTGTGTCTTGCCATGGAGGAAGGAAGAAAGAAAGGAAAAAAATAAAAACAGAATGGAGGAAGAAATAAAGGGAGGGAGGGAGAAAGGGAGGAAAGGAGAAAGGAAGAAAGGAAGGAAGAAAGAAAAGAAGGAAGGAAAGAAAGAAGGAAGGAAAGAAGGAAGGAAGGAGGGAAGTCAGACAAGTTAAAAAAAAAAAACTTCAGTGGGATTTTCTCAGTAGAGATATACACAGATGTGTTATATTCATTGGAAAACTTCCTTTTATTTCCATAATGTTGCTAGATCCATGGCCAGAAGTTAGGAACCTTCCCCTGCAGAAGTCTTATGCCCTGAGACAAGAAGGCCAGTGTGTTGTAGAAAAATGTTTATTTCCTCAGCTTCCAAGTGAAACTGATGATTAGCCAGACCCATTTGCAGACTCTTCACTTCACTCCCTAGAAGCCCATTTCAGTAGCTTACGCTTGGGCTATGAAGTATAAGAAAAAATTCTGCCATTTCTTCGCACCTCTGTGGACTGTTGGAAAATATAACCAAAATATTCAGCAAGGGACTGCTCGTGTGTTACAAAAATTTCCAAAGATAAATCTGTTACCACTAAAGATGAGGATTTCAAGAAACTTTTAAGGAAACAGAGAAATGCTCACACCATATAATTTAAATTTAAAAAGGACATATATACAAGATATATCTAAATATTTTGAATGTAAAATATGCTTTTGAAATACATATTGCAATGAAAACACGTTGAGTTAATGTTATTCCTAGCTGTTAATCCAAACATAAAGCATACCTACAGATATTTGCTGCTCAAATTAAATAGTCAGGCATATCAATATAGTTTAAAGATGAAGCTGTTCATTCCCAGACTATTAAAACAGCACATTAGTGTTTTCTATATGGTGTTAATGTTCCTCATCCTAATTTATTACAAACCCACTTGTCAGTTTAGCAACCTGTAAGCCAGATTTATAAAACAGGCCTAATCTTACTAAAACATGTTCATTATATAAATGCTTTCTGCTCCTATCTTATTGTGGGTTCAATTAATTATTTGAACAGTCTCCTTAAAGTCGATTCAAATGCAACATTTTCTCAATGGATTCAAAGAGACTGTAATATTTCAGGGTAGAGTTTTGAAACCCAAACATTGGATGAATTTAAATGTGAACTACTTGTTACAGGTTACACTTTTAAAAGTTATGGAACAGATAAACCTAAATCCGATACTTGAGTGTGCCCAGTACACCCCGATCCTTCAACGTTTGGTGTAGCTTTTCTCGCAGCTCATCTTGACTCAACACGTCAGACATGAGGAGCAAGTTGGACTAGAAGACAAAATGATTACAGGTTATCTGGGGGATAGAGGAAAGGTGAAGGAAGGAAAAAAGATCACTGGTCTCTGGGGACACCCTGAGTGGCCTAGCAGGGAAAGAGGTATTATGGAACATCAACAAGACTTCATTTCTACCTGTCCCCGACGAGGGGCAGTTGTGTATTCCTGAGTCAGTAGGCGCCAGCTTCCTCCCATCATCAGCTTCCTCCCAGGCCGCCTCCTTCGCCCCGCCATGGCCAGAGTTGAGTGCACAGGACAGGATGCAGGTCCAAGATGAGGGGGAATCTCCGTCCTCAAAAACCTGCCTGTGTCCCAGGTGAGGAACAAGCGTGCTGAACACTCTCACTCTCACAATCCCAAGTAGGTTTTCTATCAAACATGCAAGCCTCCTCTCTTCGCCGTTCTGAGGCATGGACGAGGACCGTGACCTAGGCACAACTCAAAGGTGGCTGGAGGGCTGGGACTCAAACACTAGGGATGAAAAGTAATGAGGCAGGACCGCGAGATTACAGCCCTCATATCCCATCCTGCCCCTCCTGGAGACCTACAAAGTACAGTCTTCCTGTTCTGAAGATACATGGCATGCACTTGGTTGCCTAGCACCCAACAGAAGCTCCGCCCACATCTCGCCAGAGCATATCCAGGGTATCCAAATAACTGCCCCCCGCAAACTGGGCTGAAGCCGCAGGAGTGCAGGTTTCCTCAGCGGGACTGAGAATGCCTTTCCCTCCTTGACCTCTGGCTGCAGGTAGGGGGATGGAGTGAGTCGAAACAGGCATTTTGAGACCCTGTGGGACATTGCTGGCCCTACATGACAGCACAGGCTGGTGCTGTACCTCCACTCCTCCCTAGGGTAGCCAGATCAGATCTGCCACGCCCCAACAGGCTCATCCATGCACTGAGCACACTTCCACCTGCGAGTGTCTGCTCTCTTGGGGGCTTTGCTTTCACAGTTAACAGGGTCATTCAGCTGACTCAGGGTTTCATAATAGAGCCACTTTTGCCTTTTGGAGCCAGCAGATTCTTTGTTTTGGGAGGCTGTCCTGTGCATTGTAGATTTAGCTGTATCCTCGGTCTCTATGTTGTCCATAGCACCTTCTCCCCCAAGCGAGACAACCATAAATGTCTCCAGACATTGCCAGATGTCCTCTTGGAAGCAAGATGGCTCAGGGTTGAGATCCACAGAGTGAAATGTTTTTTTAATAGCCACCGTTGTGTGTTGTGAGGAAAGGTGAGACTGACCTCATAATGCTTACATGTAACTAAAAAGAAAATGAGCCAAACCTCTCAGAAGCAATAATGAAAAAGTTACGGCCAGAGAATTGAACAAGAGCTAAGGTAATATTATAAACTGAGTAAAGAGTTTAAAGGAGAGGTGGTTGAAGATGGAAGTGATCCAGATCATCTCTGAGAAAAAGTGTAAACTCCTCAGGGCTTTGATGCATAGGATTTAGGTGGGGGGGCTAAAAGAAGAGCACTGCAGGGAGGGGAAAAGTGAGCAAAGGAATAAAAACAAACAAACAAACAAACAAAAATCCAGGACCTTCTTGGGAGCAGTGAGGAATCTACCCGAGTCCAGAGTTGTAGGTTGGGAAAATAAGCCTGATAAAGTATCCAAGTCCTGTGAGGACAAAATTTGATCAGTGTCAGCTTTGTACACAGCATTGAGGAAGTGCACAATGAGTTTTGATCACTGGCTGTGAAAAACGAACACTTCAAGAGGCAATATGAGTGACAGGACTTCTTAGGATGTGGAGAACGTGTAGGTTTTTGTGGGAAATAATCGAGGAGGGGGAGAACTTAGTTGGATTTTTAAAAATAGGTAGCGGTTGCAGGCAGAATCAGGGAGAACATTCTAGGCATGAGGACAGAAATAATAGTAGTTCTGAAGTGGATACAGTCAACGTGGATTTGGGGGGATAAAAAGTAAATGACAAAACTCTAGCAGAGGTGATAGATGGCTGAATAGGAACAGCTCCGGTCTACAGCTCCCAGCATGAGTGATGCAGAAGACGGGTGATTTCTGCATTTCCAACTGAGGTACCAGTTTCATCTCACTGGGGAGTGCCAGACAGTAGGTGCAGGACAGTGGGTGCAGAGCACCACGCACGACCCGAGGCATCGCAAGGCATCGCCTCACCCGGGAAGCACAAGGGGTCAGGGAATTCCCTTTCCTAGTCAAAGAAAGGGGTGACAGCCGGCACCTGGAAAATCGGGTCACTCCCACTCTAATACTGCCCTTTTCCAATGTGCTTAAAAAATGGCACACCAGAAGATTATATCCCACACCTGGCTCAGAGGGTCCTACGCCCATGGAGTCTTGCTCATTGCTAGCACAGCAGTCCGAGATCAAACTGCAAGGCGGCAGCGACGCTGGGGGAGGGGCGCCCGCCATTGCGGAGTTAGTTGTTTGATTAGGTAAACAAAGCTGCTGGGAAGCTCGAACTGGGTGGAGCCCACCACAACAGCTCAAGGAGGACTGCCTGCCTCTGAAGGCTCCACCTCTGGGGGCAGGGCACAGACAAACAAAAAGACAGCAGTAACGTCTGCAGATTTAAATGTCCCTCCCTGAAAGCTTTGAAGAGAGTGGTGGTTCTCCCAGCATGCAGCTTGAGATCTGAGAACAGGCAGACTGCCTCCTCAAGTGGGTCCCTGACCCCCGAGTAGCCTAACTCGGAGGCACCCCCACGTAGGGGTGGACTGACGCCTCACACGGCCGTGTACTCCTCTGAGACAAAATTGCCAGAGGAACGATCAGGCAGCAGCATTTGCAGTTCACCAATATCCTCTGTTATGCAACCAAGGCTGCTGAAACCCAGGCAAACAGGGTCTGGAGTGGACCTCTAGCAAACTCCAACCGACTTGCAGCTAAGGGTCCTGTCTGTTAGAAGGAAAACTAACAAACAGAAAGGACATCCACACCAAAAACCCATCTGTACATCACCATCATCAAAGGCCAATGGTAGATAAAACCACAAAGATGGGAATAAAACAGAGCAGAAAAACTGGAAACCCTAAAAATCAGAGTGCCTCTCCTCCTCCAAAGGAACACAGCTACTCACCAGCAATGGAACAAAGCTGGACAGAGAATAACATTGGTGAGTTGCGAGAAGAAGGCTTCAGATATTCAAACTCCTCCGAGCTACAGGAGGAAATTCGAACCAATGGAAAAGAAGTTAAAAGCTTTGAAAAAAAATTAGACGAATGGATAACTAGAATAACCAATGCAGAGAAGTGCTTAAAGGACCTGATGAAGCTAAAACCAAGGCACGAGAGCTACGTGACGAATCCAGAAGACTCAGTAGCCGATGCGATCAACTGGAAGAAAGGGTATCAGTGATGGAAGACGAAATGAATGAAATGAAGCGAGAAGAGAAGTTTAGAGAAAAAAGAATAACAAGAAATGAACAAAACCTCCAAGAAATATGGGACTTTGTGAAAAGACCAATATTCTGGCCAGGGCAATTAGTTCTGGCCAGGGCAGTTAGGCAGGAGAAGGAAATAAAGGGTATTCAATTAGGAAAAGACGAAGTCAAATGGTCCCTGTTTGCAGACGACATGATTGTATATTTAGAAAACCCCATCGTCTCAGCCCAAAATCTCCTCAAGCTGATAAGCAACTTCACCAAAGTCTCAGGACACAAAATCAATATGCAAAAATTACAAGCATTCTTATACACCAATAACAGACAGCCAAATCGTGAGTGAACTCCCATTCACAATTGCTTCAAAGAGAATAAAATACCTAGGAATCCAACTTACAAGGGATGTGAAGGGCCTCTTCAAGGAGAACTACAAACCACTGCTCAATAAAATAAAAGAGGATACAAATGGAAGAACATTCCGTGCTCATGAGTAGGAAGAATCAATATCGTGAAAATGGCCACACAGCCCAAGGTAATTTATAGATTCAATGCCATCCCCATCTAACTACCAATGACTCTTCACAGAATTGGAAAAAAACTACTTTAAAGTTCATGCGGAAGCTAAAAAGAGCCCGCATCACCAAGTCAATCCTAAGCCAGAAGGACAAACCTGGAGGCATCACACTATCTGACTTCAAACTATACTACAAGCCTACAGTAATCAAAACAGCATGGTACTGGTACAAAAACAGAGATATAGACCAATGGAACAGAACGGATCCCTCAGAAGTAATGCCATGTATCAACAACTATCTGATCTTTGACAAACCAGACAAAAGCAATGGGGAAAGGATTCCTTATTTAATAAATGGTGCTGGGAAAAGTGGCTAGCCATATGTAGAAAGCTGAAACTGGATCCCTTCCTTACACTTTAGACAAAAATTAATTCAAGATGGATTAAAGACTTAAATGTTAGACCTAAAACCGTAAAAACCCCAGAAGAAAACCTAGGCAAAACCATTCAGGACATAGGCATGGGCAAGGACTTCATGTCTAAAACACCAAAAGCAATGGCAACAAAAGCCAAAATTGACAAATGGGATCTAATTAAACTAAAGAGCTTCTGCACAGCAAAAGAAACTACCATCAGAGTGAACAGGCAACCTACAGAATGGGAGAAAATTTTTGAAACCCACTCATCTGACAGAGGGCTAATATCCAGAATCTACAATGAACTCAAATAAATTTACAAGGAAAAAAACAAACAGTCCCATCCAAAAGTGGGTGAAGGATATCAACAGACACTTCTCAAAAGAAGACATTTATGCAGCCAAAAAACACATGAAAAAACGCTCATCATCACTGGCCATCAGAGAAATGCAAATCAAAACCACCATGAGATACCATCTCACACCAGTTAGAATGGCGATCATTCAAATGTTAGGAAACAACAGGTGCTGGAGAGGATGTGGAGAAATAGGAACACTTTTACACTGTTGGTGGGACTGTAAACTAGTTCAACCATTTTGGAAGTCAGTGTGGCGATTCCTCAGGGATCTTGAACTAGAAATACCATTTGACCCAGCCATCCCATTACTGGGTATACACCCAAAAGATTATAAATCATGCTGCTATAAAGGCACATGTACACATATGTTTATCGTGGCACTATTCACAATAGCAAAGACTTGGAACCAACCTAAATGTCCAACAATGATAGACTAGATTAAGAAAATGTGGCACATATACACCATGGAATACTATGCAGCCATAAAAAATGATGAGTTCATGTCCTTTGTAGGGACATGGATGAAACTGGAAACCATCATTATCAGCAAACTATCGCAAGGACAGAAAACCAAACACCGCGTGTTCTCACTCATAGGTGGGAATTGAACAATGAGAACACGTGAACACAGGAATGGGAACATCACACTCCGGGGACTGTTGCGGGGTGCGGGGAGTGGGGAGGGATAGCATTAGGAGATATACCTAATGCTAAATGACGAGTTAATTGGTGCAGCACACAAACAGGGCACACGTATACATATGTAACAAACCTCCACATTGTGCACATGTACCCTAAAACTTAAAGTATAATAATAATTAATTAAAAAAAACTCTAGCAGAGGTGGAACAATAGCCATCGTAATAAATTATTTTAAATTTAGTGGCTTAATACAAGTGTATCATCTTACACTTCTGTAATATAGGAGTCCAATACAGGTCTTGTTTGGCTAAGATCGAAGTGTGCGCAGAACTGTGCTCCTCTTGGAGGCTCTAGAGGATAATTTGCTTCCTTGTACTTTCTAGCTTCTAGGGGCCTCCTGCATTCCTTAGCTATAGCCCCTTCTTCCATTTTCTAAGCCATCTACATCACATTGCTTTTCCATTCTTCTGTCACTTCCCCCTGACTTTCCTCTTTTGCTTCCATCGTCTACATTTAAGGCCATTGTAATGGCATTGATCAAGCTGGATGATCCTGGGCAATCTTCCTATCTTAAGGTCAGCTGCTGAACAACCGTAATTTCTTTTTGCCATGAGCCCTCACATACTCACAAGTTTTAGAGATTTGGATGAGGGCATCTTAGATGACGTCATATTCTGTTTTGTCCCCTCAGCTAGACATTTGGAAACTATCCTAGATTCTCCTCTTGTCCTCAGTTTCCCAATTTAATCTATTGTCTGAGTCTATGTAGCTACCTCCTCAGGGCCTCTAGGACAAGTTTTCCTTGGAGATTCTTCAAAGGTCCCTATTTAAAGCAATGGAATAATCAAGCAGACCATTCATGCCAATTCAGGTATGTCAGTCATGCCAGTTGCTTTATTTGCATTATATATTGGAATAGTAAATAATACTTGTTTTGTTGGTGAAGGGAAGGTGGAGGATGTCACAGAAATTTTGTATAAAAAAGTTGAAATTAGGCTGGGCATGGTGGCTCATGACTAATCTCAGCACTTTGGGGACTCTAATCTCAGCACTTTACAATCTCCTGACTCTAATCTCAGCAGTGCTGAGGTCTGCTGATCACTTGAGGCCAGGAGTTCAAGACCAGCTTGGGCAATATGGCAAAACCCTATCTCTACTAAAATTACAAAATTTACCCTGGCATAATGGTGCATACCCTTAATGCCAGCTGCTCGGGAGGCTGAGGCAGGAAAATCTTCTGAACCTGGGAGGTGGAGTTTGCAGTGAGCCAAGATCATGCCACTGGCTTGGAATCTTTGATCTAGACCTGTGCTGTCTATTACATAGCCACCACCCACATGAGGCTATTCTTGTTTAATTAAAAATCAATTCTATAATTACAGTAGCCATATTTCTAATACTCACTGGCTTTCATATTGGACAGCAGAGAGGTAAAACATTTGCATCCGTGGAGAAAGTTCCACAGATTGGACAGTGCAGAATAGTAATGTGTGTCTCACCTTTGCCCAATACCCTCAAGTGTTTGCTAAGTGATTGCAGCTCTTACCTTCCCTTCCTGGGGCAATGGGGCCATTTTCTCCCAGGGTTTCCAATTCTTCCACTTCACCTGTCAGGTTTTCTTTGCCAAAATTGAATGAAAAATTACAGCCTTCTTGCATCTTCAGCTGTTTACAAAAGGAAAACAAAATTAGCAACTCACAATAAGCATGGAATGTATATAAAGTAAACTCTGTCTTGTCTTCTGCCCACCTGTGTAGTTGGTAACAGCACCCTCATGCAGTTTTTCTTTGCGTTCTCTTCTGTCCGTGCTCCTGCTGAGTTAGCACCATGCTGCTCTAACATTTGTGGCTTTTCATATGGGGATTGGATGCATGTTATCTCCCTTACACACACACTGACACACCCACACGCAGACCACACACACCAAATCACACACACACATTTCCCGCCCCCGCCTTTTTTTGGTGCTGCTGCTGCTTCAATGTTTGTACTAAAGAAAGTAACAACCGCTTCTTTTGGCTCTAAAATTTAGCCCAGCAATAATTCATGATACCATTGTTTACTTTGTTGAATTTTCTACTGCCCATCCTTTCTCACATCACATTCTCTGGAGAATCATTGCCAGTTTTCATGGCTTTTGTATCATTCCTGCTTGTCTTTGTTACCCAATTTTCCTATCTCATCTGTTTTTCACCTCTTTTCTAAAGCAGGAGTAAAGGTTGTCTTTGGAAGACCAGATAGTGAATATTGTTGGCTCTGTGGGATACCCTGGTTGCAGATACTTAACTCTGCCACTGAAGGGTGAGAGCAGCTTAGACGGTAGTGAGAAAGTGGACAAGGCTATAATCCCCCACATCTCAGTGTGCATTTGGCCTTTCCATGTTATTCTATATAATATTAATTAAGCACGTCCTGTGCGTCAGACATTGTGCTGGGTACTTTACCATGAAGTGATACAAAATTACCATATAAAGGAGACGACCAACAGTAGATTAAGTTTCCCTCTGGTCACATTGCAAGTATGTAGCAGAGTTAGATGGAACCTAGCTTCGTTTGATTTCAAATCCCTTGTGTTAAAAACACACACAGTGGGGTTACCATTGCATATATCCATCTATGCTCCCACCCATCAGTCATTCATCTGTATTTTAATTATCTGTGCCAGAAGCCATGTCATTGCTCATGTTTTTTCCCCAGTTTCTCATAGGTTCATTTCTTTTGTGAATCTGTTGAAGTTTTTTGTTGTTTTTTGTTGTTGTTGTTGTTTTGTTTTGTTTTGTTCTGTTTTGTTTTCGAGTCAGGATATTTCAGCTTACTGCTGTGTCAGGTAATTCTCTCCTGTCAGCCTCCAAAGTAGCTGAAACTACAGGCACACACCACCACGCCCAGAAAGTTTTAGTGTTTCCGTAGAGATGTATTTTTTGTAGAGAAGTATTTCTTCTTCCATGCTGTTTGCCTTGGCTGGTCTCAAACTCCCGGGCTGAAGCAGGCTGCCTGCCTCAGCCCTCTAAAGTGCTGGCATTGCAGGCATAAGCCATTACACCTGCCCCAATCTGTTAAACTTCGTTGTAAGATCTCTCAGTAACTCAAAATGTCTTCCTTTATGGAATATTTCTTTCATGTCTTATAGCATACAAAACTTCCTTTCTTATAAATTGTTGTGTCAAGAGGCATATCGTAGTCTCTTTTATTTGCAAGGACGTATATTTATAGCACACATACTTCAGGTAGAAAGAAGAAAAATAGAGCACAAAGTGCTGCATTGCTTCTCTTTTCTAAGTGACATGAGGGAGACTTGGTTTTAGCTTCCCCCAATGGATATCTTATGTACATTTCTAAGGCAAGCTAATTAATTCCTTGGTCTTCTCACCACTGTCTATGGTTCTTAACTTACTGTCTACCTCTGTTAAATCTTCTAAGTGTCAGTGCTGGCGCTAACTGCTCCAGACCAAGTGAAGCCTAGATTACTCCACCAGACACTCAGGGTCCTTTGAGCTGAATGTGCCATACTTGCAGATCATGAGAATGTTATCTGTGATTTTATGTTAGAGGTCTTCTAGTTTCTAACAGAAATACATAGTATTCTACAAGAAATATCACAGTTTTATCATTTGTTTATTCCGGAAGTCATGCATCTTCACTAGTACACGGGAAATGGTGACAAGCTTACTGGCATCTTCCAAGTTTAAGTTAGAAAGCAAAACAAAACAAGAATTTTACACTTCCCTTAGTCATCTTTGAATTTCAATATTGACTGCTAAAAATATGTACTATTTTTTACTTCATCAGGAGCCACATATTTAAGACCATGTCTAGGAGCTTCTACTTTGTAATTGTTGGCCACCATGATAAACCAGTTTTTGAAATGGAGTTTTTGCCAGCTGGGAAGGCAGAATCCAAAGTGCATGTAGAAGCTTAAATTTCATAAGAATTTTTATTATATTGTAACAATACAGTGTAGTGTGATTTTAGAAGTGGAGGATCAGGACAGAAGAGGTTAATGAAATCCAACACAATTAAATGAGGCTTCCTCTGGAGTCCCAGAGACTGATAGAAGCCAGCCAAGGAATATCCTGGGAGTTGTTCTTTTATACTTTAATTCAGCACAGACTAGCATGACTTCTGACTTGCCTATGATATTCAGTTCACTATGTCATCTACCATGAATTGCTGCTACTTGAGCACTTAAAAGCCTAGTTCACCTGTAGCAAGTTGCAGCCTTGAAATGTCATCTATGAGTTTTCAGGCAGTTTTCATGAATCACATTTTTCATCAAGACCTACTGGGTTTCATCCATTAAAATTCAGACAGTTTCCGTGAATCATGTTTTTGATGAGGACCTACAGGATTTAAAAAGACCCCAGTGACCCCTAGTGGCACTTCCTGGCTGGTCATACATGCATGCTTTCCTCCCCAGTGACCACTTAGCCATGCACAGGAAGCTCAAAAGCAACACCAGAGATGATGACACCTGACTTTCTTGTCAAGAATATTTCCAGAAACCAGGCTTGGCTTGAGAACATGTTGTCATTCAGAGTAAATAGCCCTATAGATTTTTGTCATGAAAAGAGCCCCGTCCTTTCCAATTTATGTTCCTAATACATTCCTGGCACATTTGCACTATTTCTCTCAAGTACCCAAGTCAGCTTTACTGACTTTTGAGGAATTCATATTGTAAGTTGCTTGCAATGTATAATGTTTAATGTGTGATACTTTTCAACTATTCAGGACTTCTCACCAAAATATGATAGACAGGATTATGTGCCAGGTGTTGTTGTGACATTATTTTCTCATATTATGGGAAAAATACTAATTAAAAATTGTTTTGAGTACTTGTAGCAGTATTGCTTTCTGGGATGCAGCTACATGAATATAGTTTCTGTGCACTCCACTGGCCTGGTGGTGGACAAAAGAGAACACATAAAAATAATTTGTTGCATGCATTGATTATAATTCTTTCTCCTGCTACCATTCCCTTGTTAAGGCATTTTCACAATTTGCTCCTAATCTTTCAGGATTGATCATCATTGTAAAAGAAACTACTGCTTGATTGAGACACAAAAGCATCCATTTATCTAAAGATTCACTTAGGTTTGTCGTGACAACATGAGTGAAGTAAAGCATGCTTTAGATGTCGGAGACATTTTGGGACAATGGGTCACCCTCCTCCAGCCCAGGATTGGGAACAGCTTCCTCAACAAGGAGGCTGTCTCTGTTTCCTGTGGCTGTTGTAATAAAGTACCAAAAATTTAGTGGCTTTGGACAGCAGAAATTTATTGCCTCATTTCTGAGAGCCACTGTCTAAAATCAAGGTGTCAGTGGTGCCATGCTTCTTATGCAGGTCTTAAGGTAAGAATCTTTTTGGTTAACCTCCCAGCTTCTGGAAGTTCCCTGGCTTGCAGCAGTGTAACTCCAGCGTCCCTGTGTCATTTCTCTCCCTGCATGTATCTCCAAAAGATCCTTTTTTCTAAATACATGAGTGGTTTTATTAGGGGCCCACCCTATTATAAAATGACCTCATGTGAAATAACCATGTCTACATGTAACCTCTCCTTCCAAATGAAGACACATTCTGTGGTACTGTTCACTTGGGACATCAACAAAGGAATTTTGGAGAGAATACGCTTCAACCCATAACTGAGGTGTCATTTTAAATCTGTATTTTAAAAGAAAGAATTACATATAATGAGAAAACAGATCTCTTGTATGTCTCTTGACAATAGCAAACAAAGCAAAGTCAAGCTTTTCTTTTTCTGCACAAGAAAACCGTCTATAGAATTTACAGAATGAAATGTTGGCATTCTTCATTCCATGTGGGTAAGTTAATCTGTTGTTGCGCACACAGTCACTTATGACTATCGTCATCTGCACCAGCTCATAGCTCATGCTGCTCTGGACCTCACAGAAGAGAACATGTGGCTTTTGAACAACATGTTCTTGAAAAGTGGGGGCAACTCCAGCAAGTGGTTTGTGTCAGCATTCATTACTGCAGGACATAACTTTACCTTTTTAGTAAAGATAATTAACTAAAGTTCAGGTTCACGAACTAGAAGAAGATGGAATACAGATGTCAGGCTCTGAGATTGTATGCTTCACAATTTGTATGAATGTAAAAGTTTCCATTCATGGGACTACTTTTGTTTTGTTAGGGGAGAAAATATTTTGTTGAACAGCTAATTTTAAAACTAAGTCTCACACCCACCAAAAAGTTTATCTGAAAAATATCAAGGGTGATGCTACTTTATCTTGTAGTTATTTTTTCACTTAGAATGCTTATGTTCTCTTTCTGGTAAAAGTAAGCTAATTTTAAACCCAATTAATGCATTCAAATCTTCCATCCCAAATACATGGCCGGTGACTAATTTGAGGAATATTGTGTCAATGAACTTGTTGCTTTTTTTTATTTCTAAGAAAAATGTTGCCTTAATTATGTCACATATGAGACTTATTATGCTTCATGGCATAAGGCAAGAAGATGGAATAAATCACTTCTTTACTGATGTTTATGGTTTACATATAAAAGTAAGGCATGTTCTATAATTTTAAAAATCTGACGATAGAAAAAAAGATTTGATCTTTGTCAGGAAAGTGGCCTTTTGAAGTAACTCCCTTAGGCTGCACAGCTTACCTTTCAGACCACGTTTTCTCATCAGAACTATCTCTGTCAACTCCCTTAGCAAGTAAGTCTTCACAGCCAGTTGAATAGGTATTTAAGAAAACAACTTACAATAGTTATTTGTAGAATATTGTGAAGGCAAATTGTTTTATGTTTTCCCTCTAAGTGTTCATACACTTATGTTTTTCCCTCTAAGTGTCCCTCTAAGTTGATTTTATTAGGGAACCCTAAAGAGGGCAAGGAAGCAGCCTATATAAGAGAAAAGTAAATAAAAATGTAATCTGAAATGTTTCCATCTACTTTCAAATAAGTTGCTGTGCTACTAATAGAGATCATGACCTGGCAGGAACTAAGTTTTCTGTGATCAAATAGTCATTCAAGAAGAATGTTGCCACTTGTTTATTTGGTTTGTTTTTTTATTTGTGATTTTATTGTTGTTGTTATGAAGTCTCGCTCTGTTGTCCAGAATGGAGTGCAATGGCATGATCCTGGCTCACTGCAACATTTTCCTCCGGGGTTCAAGTGACTCTCCTGCCTCAGTCCCTGGAGTAGCTGGGACTACAGGCCCCAACACCATGTGTGATGTGTTTTTGTATTTTTAGTAGAGACGGGGTTTCACCATGTTAGCCAGACTGGTCTCGAACTCCTGACCTCGGGTGATTTACCCACCTCTGCTTTCCAAAGCCCTCAGATTACAGGCATGAGCCACGGTGACTATCCCATGTAGTTGATTTTAATGTAACAATCCAAAAATAAATGTCAGAGTCAAGATGTGGTAGATAGATTTAAAACTAACATATTCTGCAGTTGGAAATGAAATGCGATAGCACATACATTCACATTAATTCTTTTATACATTTAGAGATGTTGTAAAAATGTATAGGCAGTGTACACAGCAGTACTCAAGAAGCCAAGGAAACACGTGTGTAGTGCTAAGTGTTGCATATATGCTTCTGACAGTGGCTAGGTATAGTGGTCCAGCTGATTATTTCCTTTCCTTCAGAGAGTATACCGTTGATACTTACACTTGCAAAAAGTTGTAAGGCAGTTTTTAGGAGAGTTGTCAAAGAAAAGCCAGGATTACATTAACATTTGTACTCATCCTTTTAGATGCATCAAAGTTCTCTGTTAGAGCAGTAAAAAAATTGAACAGACCATTGATGCATACACATATCAATGTAGTACTTTGGTCATGGCAGTTGCTTTATTTGTATTATATATTGGAATTCTTAGTAATGCTTGTTTTGTGGGTAAGGCAAGGTGGAGGAAGTCACAGAACTTTTGTAAACAGTTTGGAATTGTCCTGGGCATGGTGGCTCATGCCTCTAATCTCAGCATTTTGGGAGGCTGAGATGATATACCACAGGAGGCTGGGAATCATCTCTTTGTTCCCATACTAAGATCTTACTGTAAAATAGGTAATGTCCACTGAAAAGCAGGTTATAAAACCTTTTCTAATGCTAAGCACTTGAACAATTTTGTTCCATTCTGAATTAACTTTAAGCAAGTAATTCTAAGCTTTTGTCTTGTGTCCTTGTGTGAAATAGCTACCATCATTTTTACCACACTTATTTGATTTTTACAATAAAGATATTTGTTCAAGATTGTGGTAGTTTAATATTCATTTTTAAAGTGCCGCCAACCACAGCTGTTTTTGTTCCATTTCCCCTATCGGTAGTGTCCAAACTAGTATGATGTCTTAACCTGTTATACAGCCCTCATATTAAAACAAACTAAATCCCAGAGCTATGGGTGCAGAAAAAGGTAAGACCCATCTAGAAATCTGGGAGTAATTTCAGTATTTTTTACTATGGTTGTTCCTTCCCTTAATGAGCATATAATCCTGAGTATTGTGATGAAATCCAACCAAGAGCAGCGGGGTGAGTGACAGCAGGAAGACATGGCCCAGCTGCACAACAGTGGCACTCCAAAAATAACCTTTCCTCCAGGCTAATGAAGATGAGGTAGGAACTAGTAATCCACATCCTGTGTGTATATTAGTAAAGTTTAGTGCCAAATTTCATGTATGGCCAATTATTTGAAGGAGCTGGAAGGAAAGTGGAGCGTTAAGTGGGACTTCCGATGTTGCCTGCAGAGAACAGTATTTCAGGCGTGAAGCGGTGAAGGAGAGCACTGGGGCACATGGGTAGGACTGTCAGCTGATAGATAGGAGCTGATCATGAGGAAAAATAAGCTGGCAAAGCTTGGATCTAGTAGGCAATTTCCCCTGAAGGCTCTTTAACATAAAAGGAAAGAAATTAAATCAGTCTTAAAATCAGGCTCCCCTTAGCACATGTGCATTAGCACTAAGTTTGTTATCTGCTTTAGTGCTCCAAAAGTGATCCAGAAGAAATGTGCATATGGAGTTTCATTCTCTTGTTATAGCCGAAATTTCCTAGGATACTTCCTTTGGCATGGATGTAGATACTGCCAATCTCTGTCTTCTTCATGCTGTACTTGTGATCTTTAACTTTTCAGTCACTTCAACACTTCCTGCTTGTCAGTCCAGAGTTCCAGAAAGCGCTGACTGTCCAGACACCACCTTTCACTCGGTAACACACTGGGGCATTTCTCTACTTATAAATTTACTACTCAGCATGACATGTTTATTGCAATAAAATTTACATGGTGGTGTCTTAATATAGAAGTGAAAACTTAGGTTTGTACAGAAACCTAAATAGTTTTGTTCTAAGATAAGAAACAGTAGGAATGTTTTATCTTCAACTAGGAAACTTTCCCCAAGGATGAAAGTTAACAGAAATATTTATTTAATTGTAATGGAATTGTAATTTTGTATCTTCTACTCTGCACATTGTAATTGTTACATAAGTTATCAAATGCACATTTTTCTATTCTTCAACTTCTGCAGTTAGCCTTTTTTTTATAAACTGAACTCTCTCTATGGAAAAGTTTTCCATTCTTTGCTTGCATCTAGCTGGATATATGAAAGACTGTATGGAGCAACATCTGTACCACTGGGAACCACACTTCCTTCAAACTGTGGGGCATCATCTATGGTTCTTCTGTCCAGGGTGGCTCTGCAGCTGCTTCTGACTGATCCTGCTGCCACGCTCACCACCTGCTTTGTTCTCCTGCCATTTTCTATTGTGATTTTTATCAAATGTTTCCAGATGGCAATATTGGGTGGGGCCAGGAAGAGAAATGTTTTGATGTAAGTTTTCAAAACTCTGCTCCCTATATGAGAGCCACCTCCCCTCATCCAGCATGTCTTTTCATACCTCCATCACTCCCCAGTGGCGGGTCTCATCCACATTCAGTCCAAGCTTCGGTTAGCTTCCTTAGAATCAGATAGTTACCGACTGCACAGAATGTGAACATCCACAAGAGACCACAATTTGCTTTATCAAGTCTGATCATTGTAGCAAGGATTTTTTTTGAAACAAACACAAAAATCCTTGAGAGCAAATCACTAAACAATGTTCAGTAATAGAGGAGACACTAAGTAAACACATGGCATAATAAAGATGTCTTGATTTACCCTCTGACAAAGTACAACCCTTCTTAGTATTTCCTCTGAGAGTGATAAGGTTAGCTTGTGTCTTGTGTGAAAAAGGAATGGTTTAACTTCAACTAGTAGACTTTCCACAAGGGTGAAGAAAGTAACACAAATAGTAACTATCCCAGTAGTGGAACTGTAATTTTGTATCCTCTACACACACATTATATTTGTTAAATCAGTTATCAAATGCAGATTTGTCTTTTCTCCAAGTTCAGTAGTTAGCCTTTTTCTTAAAGCTGAACTCTGGCTATGGAAAGGCTTTTTATTCGTGGAGAGCTTAAATTTAGCAGGATGTGTGACAGACTGTAAGAAGCAACTCTTGTGCCACTGTTGGCCCTCCCTCCTCCTGGGGCTGTGAAACATGATATATGGTGGTAGAAGTTCATTAATGGCGTGTAAATCATGGAGAAATTGCTAGTGAGAATAATTCTAATGATATGTGGAATGAAAATAAAAAAGGTGAAGTCATTTTGAAAAGAATGAAGAAGTAAATTAAATAAGAATGCATTGAAAATATGATAGATTCTAATCTTTCATATCTAACATTATTGTTTTAGGAGATCATTTTGTTTCACCAAGAATACAATGCTAATTGCATAAAACTCATATACATATAAAAAGTAGTATCTGATTTTTCCAGGAAAAAAAATCCAAGTGTAAATTCTATAGTAGTCAAGTTTCTTATTTTAATTATAATTTAAGTCTTGGTCATCTCTTTTATTAGCTCTCTAATTTACATATGTAAATCAAAGAAACATTTTCAGAAAACCATTACAGTTTATAAATGTAAGATGCCATTATTGAGAAAATATATTCCTCCATGAGTGGATTTGTCCCATCTCCCATCAACTAATCACACAGCCATATCCATTCATTGAATTTTATTAGTAAGTAATACACTGCTACAAACACTAATTCTCTTCTCCATGTCCATGTTGATTTTGTGTATACGTGTGAGTTGGTTAGAATGCATCTGCCTTATCTCTAACATTCAACAGCAAGATGAGCTAGAAGTCACATTTATATGAATGATTGACTCAGACAATTAACAGATCATTTTAAGGAACTTGGTAAAATCACAAATAATTTACTATCTAAAACTAAGTTCTATGGCCACACATTCCTGTAATGAAAGTGTTATTTGTATTATTAATATATACCTTTGGGAGAAAATAAATTTTACCCTTTACTCTTCCTGCTCTGACCACCCCTGTGCTTTCTTTTTCTCAGCCTAGCCTGACTACATCTGAGATGTTGGGATAATTTTAGTAGAGTAGGAGCATATATTATACAAACATAAATACCATATTTATTTTAAATGTAAAAGTATCAAACCTAAGAATTCACAAAAATTTTGTTTTGCACAATTTAACTTGAGATTTTAGTTGCTCATACATGACACATGGTTGGTTTATGATATAACCTAAGTTTAATTTTAATTGCCAAGGTTCAGTATATATTTATACATCTTAAGGCATTTAGGCACTGTGTTTTAGGTTTTAGGAATTCTTGCGTTTGAGAAAACTGAGTCAACACATTTGCATCATTTTGTGTACCATTCCCTGTAAGGCCCCCGAAAATACTCAAGAATCAAACATATTAATATTTCTATGAAGAGAAATGGATATTCCCTTTAAGCCTGAATGTTACATGAATGCAGACTGAAACAGCTTCCCTCAATTAAGGCTTTATTACATCAGAAATTGAGTTACATACCAATCTCATTTTTAAAAAGTCTTGCTTAATTGAGCTTTTTGAATTTCAGATAAAGTATTTTGAATCTGTCTTAATTATGATTTTGAAAACACAGTACAGAATAACAGCCCAGGTTGGATACAAAACATCATAATGAACAACAAAAAAAATACAATACAGGGTGATCTTCTGCCTATTATAGGGCATATGTGACTTAGATTTGGAGAGTAGAAAGCATCTTGCAGTTGAAAAGGGTTGCTTTGTTAAGTTGATTTTTTTAAGTAGACAGTGGGTACAGACTTAGTATTGACATAACTTGGCTTTTTAGCAATTATGTGAGATATTCAGTGTGACTTGATAAACCATCAGAGGATAAAAAAAGGCATATATTAGTAACATCTCACTGGCTATAGCATAGAAAATTTCACAATATACCACAGTAAGGAAGTATTCAAAATTATCTGTAGAAAAAGACTGTGGGTGCTCTACATTAGAAAAGCTGGCAATGTAGAACATATGTGTGGACAGATGTATGAGCTCTTAATGAGTTAGAATAGGCAGGGGTTACCAACTGGATATTTGAGAAAGTGGAGTAGGAAAGAGATGTTAACACCTCTGTCCTGGGTGTGATTTGATAAGCTGAGAGAATAGTAATGCAATTTACTGATAGAAAAAAGTGAACCTGTTTGAGCAGATTGCCTTTTAGAAACATACGGGACACCAAATAAAAAATTGCAATGGATACAAATGTCCAGAATTTGGAATCATCTAAAAGCATACATGTGTTACTACAGAAGTAACAATGAAAAACAGTCATAGAAAGTAATGTACTAGAATGGAAACTTTTTTTAAAAAGTTGATGTTATCATGGCAGACAACATTAAGTTATCCAAAAGCAGTCCGTAGCCTCTAAGTAGTTAGTTTAATCAGTATGTAAGAGAAGAGTTTTTCTTTTTTATTTATTATTACTATTATTTGTGGGTGTGTGTGCATGTGTGTGTAAGAGGAATTCTCACTCTCACCCAGGCAGGAGTGCAGGAGCGGAATCTCGGCTCACTGAAACCTCTGCCTCCTGGGTTCAAGCAATTCTCTGCATCAGCCTCCTGAGTAGCTGGGATTACAAGTGCCTGACACCATGACTGGCTAATTTTTGTATTTTTAGAAGAGATGGGGTTTCACAATTGTGGCCAGACTGGTTTTGAGAAAAATGATAATTTTAAAGAACTATGTTTATGCTAAACACAGATCTTGAGCATTCTTCTAGAATTCTTAGTTGTGTCATCTGCAGTAAAATAAGCCTAAGAATTGCACCAAAATTAGTTTCCCAACTCTGCCAGGAGATTCAAAGTGTTATTGTTATAGGATTCTAGAGACAATCATACTATATATCTGGAAACTCTATACACACACACCTACACACAAACACACCGTTTTCACTCAATAGACATTATAATAAGCACAATGAAAGCCTGATAATAAAATAAAGTTACTATGAAGCTGTAGAACAAAATAATTAAAGGCATAAGATAATTTTAAATTTAAACAACTGAAATATTAGATTTTAGCAATTAAAATTTTCTAATTGTTCTTTGGTCCACCATCATAGATTTCAAGCAGATAATTAATGTTGTATGAATGACATTGAGTTCCTATCAATGGAAATTAATTTATACCATTTAAAAAATTGTTTGTAGTCATATATTGTTTACTATGTAACTTCTTGTATTTGCTCTAAAGTAAGGCTAAATCACATCTTAGCCTCATCTCATCCAAGGAGGTGATTACAGTAAAGGTATACATGTTGGGTTAATGTGGAAAATAGTTGATGTGGATTAATGTGGGTTTCATGTATAAATTTATTATTCTCCTTATTAAGATAAGCTTGGAATCTTTTTTTCTGATGAACATTTAGTCTATTCAATAGGCAGTGTTCAACTGAGATCAACACTGTTCAAGGCAGCAGATAACAATATAGGCAAATACAATATTAATCCAAATTTCACATGAAAACTTTTGATGCTATTAATAATGTGGCAAATGACATGATTTTTACTTTATTATAATTTTTAAGAGAATAAGATAATGAAATGTGTACTGTTTAAGTGTTACAAGAAGCCTCTCCATGTTATTCTTTACCTGAAATTAGATTATAAAAATTACCTTTTTCAAAAGAAATTTATATTATAAATGTTCCTATGGCAAAAAGAAAAAAAACCTGGCCTCTGACTTGGAATCTAATATCATTTTATTAAGTAAGATACATGGTAGAGAGAAACAAACTATTTTATTTATCTGTCATGGTAATGACAAAAAAGACAGAAGTCTTTTTTTGTGATTTTTAATATTGACTCCTAAGAACAGTAAAAAGTTGGCAATGTAAATATGTTGCAATTTAGCCAGCTCTGAAAGAAAATGACTGATCATTAGCAAATCAGGAAAATTTTATTGTTGCCATTGAAAATTGCTTTACCCATCGTGTGTGTTCATTTACTATCAGAATTGAAATCAATTTTGTACTGCCAATTAATATTGCTGTTTTATTATCATGAGATTCTTGCTTTACATTCTAAAATGTTGTCTCTGAAAAATGAGTGAACACCAAGTAAGTTTTGTTTTTTCTTTAAAAAGGTAGTCATAAAATGCTACTCATATTTAGTAAAAGTAATGAGGCGAGTGGGACATGGTGGTGCATTTCTCTAATCCCAACTAGGTAGAATGCTGAGGCAGGAGTATTCCTTGAACCCTGGATGTGAGGCCTCATTGAGTTATGAGCTATCATCTTGTCACTGTAGTCCAGCCTGGGCCATGGAGCATAATCCTAAGTATAGAACAAAAAATAGAACCATGAAAAGTAATATAGCATTACAGTTTTTAATTCGCTAGTAGTAATGCATGGATAGTATATTTAGCCAAAACATTTTAAATTGGCAATACACCAAGAGGTCAGATGTTTGGGTCAGATTGCTAGCTAGCTCCTCAACTGGCTAAATCTGTAATAATTGGCAAAGTATTTGACCTAACTGTAATTGATTTTTTATTTGTGGATTTACTAATGCTACCCTCTAAGGAAACTAACTCTGATATTAATTAGATTACCTCAAAAACTTGTTCTGAATGGCACATATTAGACAGTAAAACATTAGCTACTACTACATATTATCAATTATTTTCATCTGCTTATTTTTAAAGCTCATAGTGCACACGATAAAATTCCAGAAGACCGAGAATGGCTGTTAGATACAATAGAATGCTCTAAGAGTCACTATCAAAAATGAGCATATCAGTGCATAAAATGTGTGGTAGTTTAGCAGTTATTTCATTGTTTACCGTAGTGTTTTTTCTTACAATTTTGTAGAAGCCTGTGTCAGAATTAAGAACTTTTTTAGAAGAGAATAATCATGGATGATTGAAATTAACATTTTAAGCTGATACTGAAAATTATTCTAAATTCTATTACATTTCTATTTGTATTTTCTTTCAAAGGCTAATGGAAGTCTTAAAAAGAAAATGGATACTTCCCTGCCAGGGGAGATACCGTGATCATGAAGGTGGCTTTCCCAGGGAAAGGCCGATATGTTGCACTCTAGATGTGCTGACCCGTGAGATTTCCCCAAATGTGGGACACTCAAATGCATAATTGGTGGAAGTGAAGGACTGTGTTTGTGCTTTCACATGGGAAAAAAAAGAGAGAGAAAATAAAATTGAGTCATTTAGTGGATATAGAAAATTGAAAGGAAACCACATACTGGAAACAATTCAATATGCCTACAAAAATTGGTGTCCTCCAGTACAAAACAATACAACATCAAATGGTTATTTCTTAGAAACATCAAATAGTGCTAGGATGACACTCGCAAATGCTTGAGAACTTTGTCTAGATGAGGTGGCTGGGGGAAGCCCCCAAAAGGCCGCAGATAAATCTGGGAAAAACAGAGGTAATTTTTAAATGCATAAGCCAATGTTTATGTATTAATATTGCCCTTAAAAATATTTACTTTGTGAAATGATTAGCATTGGTTTGTTTGTTCTTAAAAAGTAGTTTCCTTTTGGAAGCAACTTGTGTGAAATGGCCTGAAAATTATGTAGCTAAAATAATTCAGATTTTTTCCCTAAATTATAAATCATTTGAGGAAGTGTAAACATGTTATAGATGTCAGCTTTCTTGTATTTCTTAAAAGTTTATTCTAATGAAGAAAATAAAATATAAGGTATAAAGTTACTTTTATAATCAAATTTTCAATCTTTTTAAATATTTAGAATTTGGAGCCAGTTGACCACGATGCTTTAGATGGGCATAAGACCTCTCCAACAGAAGATACTCCATTATATCCTCATTCAACAGGCTCTATGTATCAACAGGTTAAATAATAATAATAATAATTTTTCAAAACTCATTTTGATGATTTACTTATATGGTCTTCAATTATTATTTTATTACATATTTTGTAACGTATCAGCTGTGACTGCAAACTAAAAAAAAAATTCTAGGACAGCTTTGGCAAGACGATCAGAAGAAGAATAGTTTAAGTGGGGTCATCTTTTATTTTACCCTTGTGATATTTTCTTTGTAATTAGGTACTACCTTGTCTTAGTTCATAAAAATGTGCAATATTTCAATAGAAGCATAAAGCAATTTATTTAGTCTTTCTCAAAATCCAGTGGCAGTAAAACTTAACAATTTTACCAGCTTTAATACA
This sequence comes from Homo sapiens, assembly GCF_000001405.40. Classification (NCBI taxonomy): domain Eukaryota; kingdom Metazoa; phylum Chordata; class Mammalia; order Primates; family Hominidae; genus Homo; species Homo sapiens. Next base: position 18,118,034 of record NC_000024.10, read on the forward strand.
AAATTTACTACAAAAAGTACTGAACAAAAATGTAAATAAAATCAATGTATGAGCAATGCTAAGTTAAAACAAATATTTGTGTTACAATATTTTGGGAAGATTAGCCACAATGTGAGTAATGCAGTTTTCTCTTTTCTTCCCTCTTTTCTCTTTTCTTCCCTTCCCTTTCCATTTCTTTTCCTTCCTTCCTTCCTTCCTTCCTTCCTTCCTTCCTTCCTTCCTTCCTTCCTTCCTTCTTCCTTCCTTCCTTCCTTCCTTCCTTCCTTCCTTTCTTCCTTTCTTTCCTTTCTTTCTCTCTTTCTTCTTTTCTTTCATTTGTTCTTTTAATGGAGTTTCACTCCTGTTGCCTGGGCTGGAGTGCAATGGTTGTGATCTTGGCTCACTACAACTTCCACCCCCTGAGGTCAACCGATTCTCCTGCCTCATCCTCCAAAGTATCCGGGATTACAGGCATGCATCTGGCTAATTTTGTATTTCTGGTAGAGACAGTGCTTCTCTGTGTTAGTCAGATAGTTCTAGATCTCCTGGACTCACAATCCACCCACCTTGGTCTCTCAAAGTGCTGAGATTACAGGTGGTGAGTCATTGCACCCAGCCAGGTTAATCATTTAAAGCTTGTCTTGTGCTGTAACATTTAGCATGACTTCTCATCAAGTTCATGTAGCCAAGGGATGGAATTACCTAAATCACAGTAGTTGCCCAGAATAGCAGCTGTATTGCTCAGAAACCTTATTTTTTATCACCAGAAAAAATAGAAAACGGGAAAATGTAAAAAACAAGCATATTTTAATTCTAAAACGTTCTTCACATTTAATCTTTGATAGTTTAATTTCTTGTTGAGATAAAGAATCTGGACATATTTTTAATAGAAATTATAAAATATTAAAATCAATATGCACAATTTTCATATGTCACAATGTGTGGAGCATAGTAGATTATGTTTTTGTGTTGGGGCACTTTTGTGGTAGAATGTATTAAGTGATGCTTCTAAAATTTGGTTTCATCTAACCCCAGTGAAGTGCATATTATCAGAATCCACAGTACCTTGAAGTACCATTGCGCCAAGATTTCTGACAGCTTTGCTAGCCAGTGACAATTTTCCTTGAAAGCAGTAAGTCTTCTAGTTTATTTCTATATTATTTTAAAGCTTTTGTTGTTAGATGTAGGGTTTACTGAAGATATAAGTGCCTTCTGATTTTAAATAATACATGTAATTTTTTATTTGATGTAATATCTCAATGCCCATTGTTGGAAACAATAGGATATGAAGTGTGTTGCATAGCTTGAGGAACAGCAATTTGTTTGTTCAAATTGGTTAGAATATACTATGTTTTTATCTTTTTATAGTACATAAGCAGTAGCATCGACCACTATGAATGCAAAATGCAGTCTACGTTAGTCAAGACCTATAAATATACCATCAGGGCTACTGATATTGGTACATTGTAATCCAACTATGTTATGGCCCTTCCTATTTGGCCTATTGTTATTTGCAGTCTACATTTCTCTTCTGGCCTAGACTTAGATTTTGGAATTTCTATTCCTTAGAGAGTGTAAGAGAAATATGTGTAGATTAATCCTAGCTCTGCATTACTGCTGCATCTCTACAAGTTTGCCACCTCAAGTGAATGCATCATGTTGTCCTGGTTCTAATCACCTCCCAATCATCCTGGAGAGGATTCTTCAAATGGAAATCAACATGTCCTTCTTTAATGGACCCCTTAAATTATTACTATTAAGCAGATGTCAGGATGTGACTCAGCCCATGGAAAGTCCATATGTCACATACTGGTATCTGCTTGAAAGTCCAGTTTTCTATTGATCACATGACCAGAACATTAATGACTATTTACTACCCATGAATTCAAATATTTGCCTTTATAAAATAATGATTTAATGTTTTTATTGCTTCATTTAAAAAAACAGCATGCAGTTTAATCATTGAGCTAATTTGCTCATTCCATCTTAGGTTTGTCCGTTCATTTCTGGTCTCTATGAAAGTCTGCCAAGAAGACATTGTTCATCCACCTTGAAACTGCCATTCGTCAACCAGGCATGTTGTTGTTAATCAGGAGCTCTTCAAAGGGCATTGCCCATGTAAGAGTGAGATCCGGTAATTCCTGAGGTGTTTCCAAACTTGATGCTAGAAAATACCAGACTACTTGCTGTTGAACAGGATGAGCATCTCCTTGTACTTCCCTGGTAACATTTTACTCTATAAAGCCATCTTTTATGATATTTTGGAAGCCTTCTGAGCACTTCCTCATTAGATTATTTCCTTAATTTCCCCAACACATTATAGGTGTTGCAAGTTTTGTAATTATTTTATGGTCTTCAGTCAAAGAAGCAGTCTCAACACCAAGGCAAGACAAGCTAGTAATTATCTTTCCAATGGCAGCTGTTGTTTCATGGCATCCAGGAGTGCCCTGGATCACAATTTCCAGCTAATGATGAAGAGGGGCATGTGTGGGCTTTCTGCCATGGCCTCAGTCTGCCCGAGAACATGTTGAAAGTACTTCTAAATCAGAATTTGGATCACAAAAGCCCAATGTGTAGACAGAAGGAGCATTTTACCATTCAGAAATGGCCAGATTTAGTGAAATTTCTTATTTAAATAGACCACAATTTATTGTTTTTCAAATTGATGAATTATAATTTTACATATTTACAAAGTAGAACTATTATTTTTATACATGCACACAATGAGTAATGACCAAATTTTTAAATGCCCTATTGGTAATTTCTGTATTAGTAATTTCAGACATACATGACATAATTGTTTAAACAGCTTTCCACATCCAAACTTCTAGTTATTTTGAAATCCATAATAAATTATTCATACCTATATTCTCCCTCCTATACAATCAAACTTTAGGACTCATTCCTTCTAACTGTATTTTTTACCCATTAACTAACTTACTTATTTGTTCGCTCAATATCTTTCACAGCCTATAATAATCCGTCATTCTATTCTCTACGTCCATGAGATCAACTTTGTTATTTCTCACGTATGAATAAAAACATGCAATCCTTGTCCTTTATATTTCCTGGCTAATTTCACTTAACATAATGTCCCTTATATGAAGCCCTTTTCTGAGTAATGTTTAGTTAATGTATTGAGGTTTTTATAAAACTGAAATAATGACTTGCTTAAAATTTACCTTAACTGTTACCAAAATTCCTTCAGTACATAGGACTGTAGTTTGGAAACAGCTAAATGAACAAAGATGTCTTGAAGCTGTCTTAGGACATGAATATTGTACTCTTTTCTATCTCCTGTGTTATTTAACTTTGGTTTGTCTTCAAATTAATAAAAATATTCTAGTAAATTATGTTGGGTACCAACATTAAAGACCAAAAGAAATCAGCAATGCACAAATTTAACTTTATAAATACAAAGAAAGAAGTTACAACAAATACCAAAAGTTATTTAATAAAAGGATATACCGTTTATACTCCTAATTTTCAAAGTAGTTAATTTCTTTTTAATTTTTGTGATTATTGCTTATTTCAAACATGGGGTATTATAACTGAGTTCACAGAAAAGTTATTATAAAAGAGTAATAAAATAATAATATACACTGGATGTAATATGGTAAAGTTTGGTCAAGTAGGCAGGAGTAAAGACAAGTGAGTCCTCTGCCATGAGTAACTTTGGGGAAATAAGTACATTTTGGGGAATAAGTTACTTAGTCTTTCTAGGCTTCAGTATCTTCTTTTGAGAATAATGCATTTTCTGAATTACATAAGATTATTTACATGATTAAATCAGAATTATTAACACTCAATAAATATACCTATTAACCATAGTTGTGGAAGAAAGAGGAGCATAGACAGAAGCTCCAAAAGTCAAAACATGGTTGTAGCCATAAAGCAAAATACAGTTTGTTTACAAGTATCTAAGACATTTCTGTATGCTTTTAATCGTGTCTTAGGGTTGTGACAAAGAAAGAAAGAATACCCACTTCCTGCCCTGGAGAAGCTGATTGCACAGAAAAAGAAACAAGGCAGATATACATGCCTCAGTACATTGCCGAGACAACATAAAGCACAAGCAACCAAGTACAAAGGTAAGATACCTAATTTGCAATTTTATATTCTGTCTGTTTCATTTGCTTCTTACTGGTGTGATTAACCATCTCTATATGTGTTAAATTCAACACCCTAGGGGTCATATGGGCTATAGTACCAGAACTTACATTACAATTTTTCTTCCAATAGTGGCTGTTAACCAAGTATTGGTGAACATCCCATATGAAGACTCTACTAAAAGTAAAGCTACCGTGACCGCGATGTTTGGATGACATAATTTACTGAATCTAGGAAAGAGAAAGAAAGTGTGTGTTTTGTAATCCTATAAATGATAAGTGCTGAGAAACTAGTAGCTGAAAGACAAACTATTTCTGCCCACTGAAAGGAAAAAAAATGAAGAAATTCTAGGAGAATCATTTACTACAGTTAAAATATTCTAATTTTTAAATTTAGTTTCTATCAATATCTATACAGAAAAGTAAAAAAAAAAAAATAATAATAATAAAGAGCTTGAGTATAAACATTACCAAAATTTAAGCATCCCATATTCTCTTATTTGGAGGTTTATCCTAAATAGGTGACCTACAAATATGATATAACTTTTTTACCACTTTATTTTCAAATGAATACTTTCCATAGGCAGTTTGATGATAGTTCTTAACTAATTTTTTTTACAAGTTCACATAACGTAATTTGAAAAAGAAATTTGTTTCTTTAGCAGAAAAAGCTCTCATTTGAGAAAAATACATAGAGAATTTTAAAAAAAGCACAGCTTATGAAACAGATAACATAAATATGTCAGTCACAGTAACTCAGAGATTTCAGCCATATTATGAAGAAGAACTTCCTGCATAATTCTTTTAAAGTACACTAATTTCTGAGAGAAAAACAGTAGCTGCTATCAGAATCTTCAAAGTAATAATAATGAATAATTAGAATTTACCTAACTGTTCTGCTTCTCATGTTTGAAAAATCATAGTCTATATTTTTACCTATGCATTCAATTGCAGGAATACTGTTTCTGGTGGAAACTATATACATATAAAAATTATATATATAATATATAAACTATATAAATTATATATAATTCATATATAATATATTATATAAAATTATTCTTATATATATTATATAAAATTTATATATAAATTATAAATGTTATATATTTATAAATTATAAATATATAATATTTATATACAATATATTATATATAATATTCTTATATTATATATTATTATATTATGTATATTCTTACATTATATATTATATATAATATATAATGTATTATATAAATAATATATATTATATTATATAAATATATATTATTTATAATTAAAATAAATATTAAATATAATGTAATATATAATATATAATATAATATAAAATAAATATATAATATGTTATTAAAATAATTAATTTTAATATATTATTAAAATAATAATAAATAATAAATAATATTAAAATATATAATTTATATTATATAATATATATTATATGTTTTATATTTTATATATAATATATAATATAATATATAAGAATAATTATATGTAATATATATTATATAATATATAAGAATAATTATATATAATATATTATATAATATATATACATATGTGGCTGTTGGATCACAGAATTCATGTGACAAGTAGTACCAGTATTTTTGAGTACCACAAGTTTTTCTGGTGGGTGAGATCTAACAGGGAGCAGATATTCCCACTCAAAAAGTGCTCACAACCTGAGATAAGAAGAAAAAATAATGCTTGTAGTATGAAAATAATTCTGTCCACTTGTCTTTCCATCAAGTGACAAATTAATATTAACAACAACTCATTTATCAATGCAGCCATTTTTGAAGGAGTATTTTAAATTTTGATATTAACAACAAATTGAGTGACTATACAGATTTTTAACTACAGACCCCTTAGGTCCATATTTTAATGACATTATATCTGTCTGTTTTTTTAAAAAATGTGTTTGTTTAAAAAAATCTTTTGATTATATACATTTACTGTGTCAATGCAACTGTAAATAAATTAACAAAAAAGGTGTTTTTATAAAGGAAACTCTTCTTTCTACATAGATCCCACAAGACAAATAAAGATCTGACCTTTTAAGTGGTGAGTTTAACTAGAAACTTCTTCAATGCACTAGAAAATATACTCATACAGATAAAAACATAAACAAATATAATTTCACACTTTCCAATTAAAGATCTGTAGAGAATGTGTTGCTAATTGTATTCTTAGCCCTCAGTTTTCTCTTGAAATGAACTAAATTTTGTTATAATTTGTTAATTTACTTACATGACTTCCCACCCTGAGTTTCAGTTCCGTGTAAGATTTGAACATTACTACTTACTTTGTTGGACAGAGGTGGACATTTAGAAGTCATACAATGCACTCAAAATTTCTCTTCTCACATTATGATTTTTAAAGCCATACCTCTCTTAGAATTTAAATAGAATAACGTTAAGCAACTTCAAGGCTTGGTTTATTAAAATATTTCTCATGAATACATTTTAAATATAAACATTTTGTACCATTAAATTTGGCTTCTTTTTACACTAAGGAAACATATGATTCAATAAAACTCAGTTTAGTTACCAACACCAAATATAGGGGAACACTTAAGAAATACATATATTAGGCCGGGCGCGGTGGCTCCAGCCTGTAATCCCAGCACTTTGGGAGGTCGAGGCGGGAAGATCACAAGGTCAGGAGATCAAGACCATACTGGCTAACACGGTGAAACCCCGTCTCTACTAAAAATACAAAAAATTAGCCAGGCGTGGTGGTGGGCGCCTGTAGTCCCAGCTGCTCGGGAGGCTGAGGCAGGAGAATGGCATGAACTGGAAGGCGGAGCTTGCAGTGAGCCGAGATCGCGCCACTGCACTCTAGCCTGGGTGACAGAGCAAGACTCTGTCTCAAAAAAAAAAAAAAAAAAAAAAAAAAAAAAACAAGAAATGCATATGCTTTTAATTTAATATTGTCTGACATAAATGATTTTACATATGTACCTGATAGCTACAAAATTTTAAACTAGTTGATCAAAAACAGACAAAAAAAACATGAGTTAACTTTTTCTAAATGAAAATAGACTTTCAAAGTAAACTATTATTAATGAACAAAAACAGCTTTATAATTTAAAAACTCACTAGTATTGCCTTGTCTATGGAATATATTGCATTCAAATTCAGGAGTTTGAGACCAGCCGAGCCAACATGGCAAAACTCAGTCGGTACTAAAAATGTCAACAACAACAACAAAAAACTTCCGTTTGGGCTGGCAGGTGCCTGAGGTCCCAGCTACTCGGGAGGCTGACTCAGGAGAATTGCTTGAACCTGAGAGGCAGAAGTTGCAGCTAACTGAGATCCTGCCACTCCAGGTTGAGCAACAGAGCAAGATTTAATCACACCCCACTCACGTGCCAAAAAAGAATAAATAAATAAGAAAAGATCAAATTAACTGTGAATACATCAGGTATTGTTTATGCCAGTTCACCTGACCAAAGACAAAAATCCAGGTACTGATGGAACTTACATTTTCACTTTAGTGGAAAGTAGTGACAACGTCTATTGATTTTATTTTTATGTAAGAAGGATAAGGATTTGGGGTTCATTTATAAGCATGTGAATAGTATAAGCTCAAAGGAGATTTGAGCAAAGAAAGAGGATGGTAGAAGAAGACATGCAAAAGAGAATAAGAAGAAAATAATATATGGTTGTTTGTTACATTATAAAGACCATGGTTTTAGCTTAGGAAAAAGGGAAGCTGGTATTGAATGCTCATAGGTAGAGTTACTTTTTAAGGTAAGGGCAACGTTCTATATTTAAATAATAGTGATGGTTGCATAACATTGAGAATATCCTGAAAATCACTGAATGTGTACTTTAAAATGGTTAATTTTATAGTATCTGAGATATAATTCACCTAGTTGTAATAGTGGTAATAGTGTAATACTTGTAATAGTGGAAGGTAGGAGATCAGTAAAGAGGCTGAGCTAATCAGATGAGAAATGTGGATAACCTGTATCTGGATGACAGCATGAAAAATAGGGAAAAGTGGTTAGATTCTGGACCTGTTTTAAAAGGAAAACATGAAGAATTTGAGGACTAATAGAAATGAGGAGATGAAAAGAAAAGCATCAAGGATGACCTTTCAGTTTTAGGCCTTTGCAACAGGATGTAATTACTATCAGGTGAAATGGGAAACACTTGGGGGAGGGAAGTTGTTTGGAAGGAACATCAGAATTCAGTGTATAGCCTTGAGATCAAATTGCCTGTTAAACATGAATATGTGCAATAGAGTCATATATGATTTGGGTTTGGTAAGAGACTGGCTGGAGACAACCATGTGGGACTCATAGTACCATTCAGAAATCCATCATACAGGCAGAGATAACTGGGAGATTGGGAGCAAATTCATCAGGAATTGTTCAAGGAAGAGGGTGTCTAAGAAGTAACTTATATTTGGTCAGGCCTGGTGGCTTGCACCTCCAATGCTAGCACTTTGGAAGCCTGAGGCAGGCAGATGGATTGGTCCTAGAAACTCAAGTCCAGCCTAGGATACATGGGAGAGACCCTGTTTCTACCAAAATTAGCTAGTCTGGGTGGCCTGTAGTCAAAGTCGCCCAGGAGGCTGATGTGCAAAGATCACTTGAGCATGGGAGTTTGAAGCTGCAGTGAGTTCTTGATTGCACCACTGCACTCCAGCTTGGACAACAGAGGCAGACCCTGTCTCAGTAAACAAACAAAAAAAAAACCAAAGACAAGAAATTAAAATTAATATATATATATATATAAATATTTGGCCAAAAAAAGGTGATTATTTTAAGTATAGTATATTTGGTAGACTGTTGGGGATGAGTGCCTGACTGGTAAGGTAAGTGGAATTTTCAAATGAGAGCATATTACCAATGGAAAAAATACTCACCTGAAATTCAATGTAACATTTTAAATTTAGCAATTAGGGTGTCACCGATGGCCTTTGAGAAAGGACTGTGACTTCCTTGTTGTGGGATAAAACCTGAGACAGTATATGAACTGATGGAAAGAAAATCACTAATAGAAATTCTCTGTTGATATTAAAAGCAGAGAAAAATGTCAGTACCAAAAGAGACAGTTTCTGTTGTGGATCATAAAATATGGAGTTTTTATATATGTGTGATAAGGAAATCAGGGCAGTGAAGAAGAGAACAAAAGAAATTACACGAAAGAGGAAAAGATCAATCACATTGATGGGTTGGGTCCAGGAGGATGTATTTTAAAACGTGATAAAGGTTTTGTCTTTGAATAAATACGTGCATATAGATAAAGGTGTGATTTAGATCAGAATAACAAACAACAGAAGTTGAGGAATTTAATACTGTACAGTATAAAACTTAACAAATTGGAGGAAAGGATGTTTATGATAAGTTATGAGAATAAAAGCAATGCAAAGAAAGTTCAGGAAATGAACATATTATCAAATAAAAACAAAATAGGTAACTTCTTGATTCTTCCCTCCCACTTTTTTAAACTGCTACTTCTATTTTTCCCATTGATATATTTTAACAAATGACCAACATCTTCTTGGGAAATATTATGTTCTCTCTCTGATAATTTGCATTATATTCTTACACATTTCATGCCTTTTTATTATATTAACAGAATTTTTATTCAGAAAAGCTGTCTAAATTCCTTTCCAATATTTACTGGATTTAAAAGTACTGTTGCCTTTTATCTTCCTTTTTAGCCATTTTTGTTGAATATTGATTGCTTCCCACCCATAATGACTAATTGACCTTCACAATATATCATTAATTTCTCTGACAGTTTGTCTAGAAAGAACCTAATATGAGCTATTTCATACCCCCCAACAAAATAGAATTTACATCTTCTATAACCATGCAAAGTCTGGATTTCCATTCTATTTATATTGAAACTTTACTTGATTAATAACTTCATAGCATCACGCCAAGAAACAGTATTTTAAATGCAAAATGACCAACATCTAACAATAAGTGGAACTTAAAGGGCTCACTGTTTTGTATTCCTTTCCAAATCAGAAATATCTGCTAGATAGTTTTCTTAGTGTCATCATGGTTGGACTTGGCTTAGACCTTGTGCCATTTTGTTTTAGTCAATGTCAGCAGCAGACATTGACTGTAGAGCACCAAAAGAAAACTTATGAGAAATATATCCCTTTCTTCTTACTACTTGAAGACAGGAGTATCATCTTGGTGTTAAGAGGTAGTTAAGGCATCATAGAAGTTTTATTGTCTATTTCCTTGAAACATTGTTTGCTGAAGAAATAATATGTCAAGTTATTTGACATATTGACTAAATTATGTCAAATGCTTTAATTGACTGCATATGTCAAGTGGTGGTTCAATATTTCCTAAACCAGATATATATGTTTTATTGTGATTAGTGATCCATACTTACCTTTTTACATTTTCCATGAATAGTGAATTATACAGAATCTTGTTTTCTTCTGTTTGGATTTGATACAGAACTATACTGGATTCACTGACAAGAAGAGTTTGAATTAGCAGCATGCTGAGAATGGACACAGCGTTTGAAGAGACTGATAAAGAAATTACAGGAGGAGTTTTATCTTTGGAAGAAAAAATGGTCCTTGGGCACAGACCCCATGTGAGCTTTACTTTCAGAATTCTCTGCTCAACTGTTCTCTGTTGTGGTGAGGCCACCTATGCTTTGTATATGTTTGAAATTAATTGAAAAGCTATTGACAGATTCTGATGTCATTTGCCGTGAACTTTATTACTGTGTAAGTACTTTTGGATCAAATTACCCTAATGTTTTTCAACAAAGACTTTAGAAGAAATAAAGCTACATTACTTTTTTTGGCACGTTCTTCCTTTAGGATCTATGGTGAGGTAAGTGACGACACAAATGTCTCTCATTCTGTTTCCAACAAGTAAATAGAATACAAATAGTTCCCTAACAAGATTAAGGATGGGATAATCATTGTTCCTCTAACTGAAATACATCCCTGTTTAGTTTTATTTAGTTTTCACAATTCTGAAAATTTTCCTATTCAATTTTTATCAGTCATAAGATAATGATAGCTTTTAAAAAAAAAAATGAAAATGGAATTTAGTTAGTGGTTTTTTTCTGCTCCTTTTAATATTATTCTCATTCAGCCTAATGGGCATTCTAAATAGCAATGAGGGATATGAATATAACCTTAAATTAAGGAATGAGGGTAGAGTGAGACAGAAGAAAGTATGGCTCAAAAATAATCTCATAAGTTTTATTTGTCAACTCATGTGATTTAACATGTTAGTGGTAGATTTTCTACTCATCCTTAAATTTGGAGCTGTGACTTGGAATATCAAAATGTAGCTAAACAATTCATTTCCATATGACTTGTCTGTTACTATACTGATTTTCACGAGTACTGTAAATTTTGTAAGAACTAATTTCATTCAGATCTGCATTTAGACTTCCAAGATAGTAAAATATATAAAAAATATACATTTTATAGAATTAGGAGTCACTGGGGATAAGTGTTACCTTTCTTTAAAAGGTAAGTGCAGAAGTTTATAAACACATGCAAAAATGTGCAATCTCACGATTTAATCTTCTATGCAAATAAAAATTAGTAATAGCGAGGGCAGTTGGTGGCACTAGCAGGGCAATAAATACTCCTGCAAAGCCAAAGAATTAATACCAGTTATAATGCATGAAGTGATTTTGGGCCATACTCTGGAGATAATTTAAGTTTAATTGACTGAATCTCCTGAAAGAAAAGGACTTAGGCAGAAACAACAAAAAATGAACAATACATTAGCCAGAAAACTCAACAAATAAATAAAACACCTGAAAATATTAGAACCAATAAATCTCCGTGTAGTAGAAACACATCTAGTTTTGTTGCTGTAGTTGTTGTTGTTTAGAGACAGTGTCTGTCACCCAGGCTGGAGAGCAGTGGTGTGATCTCACCTCCCTGCAACCCCCAGCTCCCAGGTTCAAGGGATTCTCCTGCCTGAGCCTCCCGAATAGCTGGGACTACAGGCGCACACCACCAAGTCCAGATAATTTTTGTGTTTTTAGTGTAGATGGGGATTCACTATATTGGCCTGGCTGGTCTCAAGCTCCTGACCTCGTGACCCACCCACCTTGGCCTCCCAAAATTTTGGGAATACAGGCATGTGCCATCGTGCATGGCAAAATTTGTCTTTGTTACAAGGTTAATTTAAGAAATTTTATACATTTCTTAAATTTCTTACAATAGGCTGAGGATGGTGGCTCACACCTCTAATCCCAGCACTTTTAAAGGCCAAGGCATACAGATCACCTGAAGATGGCAGTTCGAGGCAAGCTTAGAGGACATGGTGAAACCACCCCTACTACAAATACAAAAGTAGCTGGGTGTGGTGGCACACGCCTGTAATCCCAGCTACTTAGGAGGTTGAGGCAGTAGAATCACTTGAACCTGGAAGGTAGAGGTTGCAATTCTGTGATGATGAGAAATGTTGAGATATTTATGTATAGTGTGTGTGTGTGTGTGTGTGTGTATATATACACAGCCACACACACACACATACACACACACCTGTTAGCTGTGTATATACATTCTTTGGGAAACAGAAGATACTTATTTTTAATTGGGTTATTATTTTCTTGTTCTTTTGAATCTGTTTTTAGTTCCTTGTACATTTTGATTAACCCCTTGTCTGATATACAGTTGGCAAATATTTGCTCTCATTACATTAGTCTGGTGATTTATTTTATTTTATTTTTATTTTTTGCTGTAAGGAATTTTTCTAGTATGATGTAACCTTATTTTTCTGTTTGTGCATTTTTTTTGCTTGTGTTTTTGAAGTCTTATCCAAAAATATTCTTGCCCAGACCAAGGTCATTAAATATATTTTGTGATTTATTCTACTAGTTTGACAGATTGCTGTTGTCATTACATCTTTAATTTTAAATGTTTTTAAGTATGTATTCTTATAGGTGAGGTCTCACAATATTACCTAGTGTAGAGTGCAGTGGCATAAGTGTTTCACGCTATAGCTTTGAACAGCTAGGCTCAGGTGATCCTCCCTTCTGGGACCCCTGAGTAGCTAAAATTATAGGGGCACATCACTGTACCGGGCTTTTTAATCCATTTGAGTTAATTTTTGTATTCAGTGAGAGATAGGGTTGTAATTAGGTCCTTCTGCATGTAGCTCTCTTGTTTTCCCAGCACCACTTATTGAAGAGACTGACATTTCCTCATTTGGTTTTCTTGCCACCTCTGCAGAATATCAGTTGGCTATACAGGTGTAGATTTATTTTTGCTCACTGTGTTCTGTTGTATTGGTTTATAGCATTGTGGCATGCCCAGTTCTGTGGATTCAATCCCTAACCCCATTGACATCTTCAGGATGGCTTTGGCTATTCATGGTTTTATTTTTGTGGTTTCATATTTATTTAGGATTTTTTTCAATTTCTGTGAAAAATGCCATTGGTGTTTTGATAGAGACTGCACTCAACTTGTGCACTTCTTTGGATCATATAAACATTTTAACCATATTACTTTTTCCAATCAATGAACATAAATATCTTTCCACTCATTTATGTCATTTTAACATTTTATTAGTGTTTCATAGATTTCAGAATGCAGATTTTTTAAATCTCCTTGGTTAAATTTATTCCCTTTTATCCCCCATACCTATTGTGAATGAGATTGTGTTCTTAATCTTTGTTGTTGTTGTTGTTTTTTTTGGTATTTTGCTGTTAGTGTATGGAAATGCTATCCAATTTTATATGTTGATTTTGTAAACTGAAACTTTACTGACCTTCTGTATTAGTTCTAACTACTTTTTAGTTGTGTGTTTAAGGATTTCCATAGTTTGTCATTAGCATGTATGGACAATTTTATTTCTTCCTCTCTAATTTGGGTAGCTTTTCTTACTTTCTCTTGTCTAATTTTTCCGGCTAAGGACTTTTATTATTACATTAATAGAAGTAGTGAAAATGAACATCTTGGTCTTCCTTCAGATCTTCACAGAAAAGCTTTCAACTTTTAATTCCCTTTGAGTGTGATATTAGCTAAGGGCTTGTATATGTGGTGTTATCTGGTTATTCGGGTCTGTGTCTTTTGTTGTGTTGAGTTACGGTTGTTCCACGCATAATTTGTTAAGAGATTTTATTGTGAAACTGTTGAATTTTGTCAAAACTTTTTTCACTTATTGAAATGACTGCATAGATTTTGTTCTTTATTTTGTTGATATAATGTATGACATTTAATGATTCTAGTGTATTAAACCATTCCTGCATCCCTATAATCTCACTTGATCACGGTGAATGATTTTCTAAATGGGCATTATAAGTCATTTTCCCAGTATTTTATTGAGGATTTTTACATTATGTTTATCAGATATTTTGGCCCATAGTTCTCTCTTTTTTCTTGTATCCTTGTCTGGTTTTGTATCAGAATAATGCCATCCCAATGGAATGAGTTGGAACAGTTCCCATATCTTCCTTTTTGTGTTATGTTTTGACTAGGTTAAAAAAAATTGGCAGCAGTTTATTTTTTGTGGTAGGTAGAATGCAAGAGTGAATACATCAGGTCCTGGGCTTTTCTTTAATAGGTGATCTTTTATTGCTGATTTGATTTCTTACCATTAATTTGTTTCTGGGTATCAGTTATGGTATCTCTTTTATGGCTCTGATTTCCTTTATCAGGGGCTTTGTTTTCTTTTGTTGTTTTTTGTTTTTGTTTTTTGTTTTTACTTTTGAGTTTAGATTTATGTTTTTCTAATTCCTTCATTGAAACATCAAGTTGTATATCTGATATCTTCTCATAGTTGAAGGCATTTATTGTCATAACTTCCCTCTTAAAACTGCTTTGGTTGAATCTCATAGGTTTTGGTGTGTTGTGTTTCTATTTTTGTCTCAAGAAATATGGTGTTTTCTCTTTAATGTCCTCACTGACTCATTGGTTATTCAGGAGCATGTTGTTTAATTTTGATGTACTTATGAATTAGTGATTTCAGAAGAGATACTTTATGTGAGTTTGATCTTTCCAAATTCATTAAGATGTGATTTTTTACCTAATGTATGACATATCCTGAAAGATATCTCATGTATGCAGTGGAGAAGAATGTTTATTCTATAGCTCTTGGATGGATAGTTCAGTAACTGTTTTTAGCATTTTCACTACATGGCATTTTCATCCAATGTTTACTTGTTAAATTCTGTCTGCATTATCTATTCATTGCTGAAAGTAAGGTGCTGAATTTTTCTAATATTATCTTGCATTTTTTTCTTCCTTTGGATCTATTAACATTTGTATTATATATATGCATATATTATTTGTATGGATGTATTCCCGTTATAATATGTTATTTTTTTTCTGCTGCTTAATTCTGTATCCTCTCTTTGTTTCTGATGTTTGGTGGTTTGATTATATTAAGTCACAGGGATATGTTTATTGAAATTGAATGTGATTGTAAGCCTTCAAGATTCCTATAGCAGAATATTTATATTTTATTTAAGTTTGAAAAGGCTTCTGTTATTATTTATCCAAATAAGCTTTCTACTCTTTTCTTACACTTTTTTTTTTTGAGATGGAGGTTTGCTCTTGTCTCGCAGGTTGGAGTGCAATGGTGTGATTGTGGCTCACTGCAGCATCCACTTCCTGGTTTCCAGTGATTCTCCTGAGTTCCAGTGATTCTCCTGACTCAGGTTTCTGAGTAGCTGGGATCGCAGATGTCCACCAATACACCCGGCTAATTTTTGTATTATAATAGATAAACCATTTCACCATATTGTCCGGGCTACTCTCAAGCTCCTGACAACATATGATCCACCCGCCTTGGCCCCGCAAAGTGCTGAAGATACAGGCATGGGCCATCACACCCGGCTCTACCACACTCTTGAATGCCAGTGTCTGACACATTGGCTCTTTGGATGTTATCCCATTAATCTCATGAATCTTATTTATGTTTTCTCCTCTAACTGTATATTTTGAATTGACCTCCCTTTGAGTTTTGCTGCTTGACCACTTCTATTGTCACTGCTGTCAATTGCATTTTTTATTTTGTTGTGTTTTATTCTTCAAGATTTCTGTTTGTTTTTTCCTCCCGTATTTTAATCTCTTCTGTAAGCTTCTCTGATAAATTTCAGAATTCTTTGTGTTTTGCTGAAGTCCACTGCATTGTCTTCAAACAAGTATTTTGAATTCCTTGTCAGGCCTTGTGTCCATGCCCATCTCTTTTGGGTCAGTCACCACCAGCACTTTATTTTGACCACTTGATGCCGTCATGTTTCTCTCATTGATCCTAATGCTTGTGACTATGCATCAATGTCTGTGCAGTGATGTAGGTGCCTAATGCAGTGTTTGTAGTTTGCCTTTGTTTGGAAGCTTTCTTCCACAGTAAGGCTGTCCGGAGATTCAGGGCAAGGAGGAGGAAATTAAGGTATTTTAGCCTATGATAGCTTCAGCCCTGGTAGCACGAGGGGAAACATTAATGAGCAGACTTTCATGGCTGGAGTAATTTGACTGACAAAGTCGACTCAGTGCCAGGTTGCACCTGTATCACACAGTTGAGCACTGGATGCACTCAAGGCCTGTAACTTCCATGGTCTGCCCTCTGATCTTTATTCAGTGTCTGAGGTTACTGTAGTCAATCAGTGGGAATATTGACGGGAACTCAGCTCCATTCTGCGGAGATCATAGTTTCTAATCTGTTGCCGGGGTTGGTCTACATGATTACCCCTGGGTATCAACCTCCCAAAGTGCTGGGGCAAGGGGACAGGCAAATAAATGTCCCAAGGCAAAATGTACTATGCCTACCTCCTTCGCCCAAGTGAGCATCCCACCTCCACCTCCTGAATAGTTGAGACTACAGGAATGTGCCACCATGCCTGGATAACATTTTTGGTGTTTTCTTGTTGTTATTGTTGGGCTCAAGTGATCTACTCACCTCAGCCTGCTAAAGTGCTAGGGTTACAGGTATGAGTCACTACACCCAGCTAAAATTTACTTTCTAAAATTTAACTTTTAGATCATTTCTTTTTATTCAGTCTTATTTCTCATAAATGCAGTTAAGAATGTTATTGCTTTAGAGTTTCTCTTTGGGTATCCCTGAAGGAATAAATGGACTCTCGATATTCATTTTCTAAATGGTGTTAGAAAATGAATAGTTACTTTAGATGAGTAAAGACTATTTGGCCTCTTTTTGTTTTCTGGCTTCATTTCATTGTGTATGAAGACTGTATTATTTTAACCCTTCTGTATATGTGAAATGAATTTTTACTCTTTCAACTGAATGTAGTAGAAGATTGTTTAAACTGATTATACAGCTACTACATAATTTTGTTTTTCTTCCTTGTGCATATTAGTCTAATTATTGGGATAACAATGTCAAAATTAAATTAATTTTCGTATTAAAAACTTCTGATAAAATTACCTAAGTACACACAAACAAAAACATGCCCACACAAATCACTTAATTTCTAAAACTTTTAATTTTTCTGCTTCTCTAGTACCTTGTATTCCATCACACAGCAAAATCTGGCAGCTCCACTTCCAGAATTTACTTGAACTCCACAGCTTATTTCCGATTTCCTGTTATCACCAGAGTCTAAAACACAGTTTATATTGCATTCACCTCCTATTTTACACCGTAATTTCCTACTTTACACTCTAACTTTATATAAAAAAGAAACTACCTTTTCAAGATCTAATTCACGCAATTTTATTTGTTCTTAATTGAGACTTCTTTCTAGGTGCTGTCACACCTTGTAACGTCAGATACAAATGTCTCTATCCAATTTCATGAGTTCCAGTTATTTTATTTTAAGGGAATGTGTATATACATTTATAAATTTGTGTATGTGTGTATTCACTTATTCTTTATTTTATATGTTTTGCATGCATATATTCACTAAATCCCTGATAATGGAAAGATAACAAATCTTTTTTTTTCTTTCTTTTTTGTATGTAAATTATTTTCCGAAGGAGGTGGGTTGGGAGAAATATATCTTAACTTGGCAAGTTTAAAAGAGAAAGTGGCCATTACTAATGAAAATTATTCTCTAGCATTTTCATGTTTATCTTTAATAGCATTGCTGATGACATATTCCCTCTTATCAGTTGTGTAGGTGCCATTCACTGCAATATACTGGCCATCCGCACTGGCAACGACTTTGCTGCCATTAAGCTACAGGTGATAAAATTGATCTATCTCATGATATGGCATTCGTTGGTGATTATCTCACCTGTAGTGACTCTGGCATTCTTCCCTGCATCTCTGAAACAGGGGAGCTTACACTTTCTATTAATCATATATTTTGTATTATTGTTGACACCATGGCTGGAGTTTTCGAAAAGTGGAACTCATCTTCCTAGCAACACAAAAAATAATTCCAGCATGGTGGGTAAGTATGGATGCTTATCTTAATCATGCTAGTATATGCTGCCATCAATTCTCCTGCTTGTCAGCAGTGAAACTGCAGCTGTCAAATGAGGAATTGATAAGAGACACGAGGTGGGACATACAATCCTACACTACAGATTTCAGTTTTTAGAAAATGTGATAATAATATTGATATTTAGTTTCTTTGGAGGGAACGTTTTACCGAAGTGTTGTGACTCAATAATTGCCGTGTAGTTCATCAAAACCTACATATTAGCCTTTGGCTTTAAGCTCCGCTTCTGTCAGTATTTGCAACCAAGGTGGTCGGGCAAAGTATTGCCAGGAGATACTGAAAATCATCCAGAAGCACTGTGATATTGTGTAAGCATCTGGAGAAAATTCAGTTAAAAGAATAAAAGTAAGCAGCTGAGGAATTACTATCACTCATGGAGAAGGGTAGGATATTTTCAATAAGTGAGTATGCAATATCCATATATACTTTCACAGAACAAAGAGTAAAGAGGCTGAGTGTGACTTTATAAAGATACTCATAAAAAATATAAACAACAAAACCTTGGAAGTAGTTTCTAATAAAATTGATTTTTCTAATGTGACTATGCATTAATAATTTTTGTTTTCTTAAATATAATTGTACAGCTTATTAAACAAAACAAAATGAAAAATCCATCTGGCTACAAAAACTAAGCAGAAAAAATAACCATAATACATTTTTCACCTAGTACATTTTGGAACCTATACCTTTAATTTAATAAGTGCTTGTAATATAGCATATACACTATCAGTGAACATTTGCTTTTCACCCTTTTCCCTCTGTGGTACAGAAACATTTTAGTTTGATGTAATGTGATCCAATTGTTTTTTGTTGTGCTTTTCTAGTCTGTGCTTTTGGGGTCATAGAATTGAGTGTTCAAAAATACAGTTAAATTAAAAATAAGAATTACCACATAATCCAGCTACTCTACTTCCAGATACGTACTCAAAGGATATAAAATTAGCATGGCAATGAGATATCTGCACTTCTATATTCATCTCAGCATTATTCATAACAGCCAAGATACGGTAACAACCTAAGTGCACATCAAGAGATAAAGTGTGGCACATATACACAATGAGATATACTATACAGCCTTAAAAAAGGAGGAAGATCTTTTATTTATTTGTGACAAAATGAATGGAATTGGAAGATATTATGCTCAGTGTAATAAGAGAGGCACAGAAAGACAAGTATAGAATGATCACTATTATATGTAAAATCTAAAAAAGTTGAACTCATTCAAACTGTGAATATGCCAGATGTGGTGGCTCATGCCTGTCACTCCAGCACTAAGGGAGGATGAGGTGGTTGGATCACTTGAGGTCAGAAGTTTGAAGCCACCGTGAGCCATAATTGTGTCACTGTACTCCAGCCTGGGCAATGCAGCAAGGCCGTGACTCTTTCTACAAACACACAAAAAGTAGTCAGAGATTGGAGTGTGGGGTGGTGATGGGCGTGGATAGAGAAAGGGGAGGTGTTCATCAAAGGGTAACAAATTTCAGTGAGACAGGAAGAAGTTCTGGTGATCCTTTGCACAGAATGGTGATCACAGTTAATAAATGTCAACTTAAAAATTGTTTAATAAAAAAAAGGACAGGCATGGTGACTCATGTCTGAAATCCCTGCACTTTGGGTGGCCATGGAGGGAGGATCAGTAGAGGTCAGGAGTTCAAGACCAGCCTGGCCAACATGATGAAACACTGTCTCTACTGAAAATATAAGAATTAGCCAGGTTTGGTGGCATGCACATCTCACCCCAGCTACTCGAGTGGCTGAGGCAAGAGAAAAACTTGAACTCGGGAGGTGGCAGTTGAAATGAGCTGAGTTTGCACCAGTGCACTCAAGTCTGGGCAACAGGAGCAAAACTCTATCTCAAAAATAAGGATTGTTTAAAATGTAGAATTTATATATTCTTACCACAAAGAAAGAAATGGTATGTATGTGAGGTAATGGATATGGTAACTAGCCCAATATAATTCTTTTGCAATATATACATGAATTATAAAATCACTTTGTGTCCCATAAATATTTATATTTGTTAATTTAAAATACAAATTTTAAAAGAATGAATTGCAGTTAAAACAAACTTGACTTAATATATGTAGACAGTAATATATGCTAATGTTTCCTTCTATTTTGAATATTTGGCTTCTGTTATTTCTTGAGGAAACAAACACCATGGGAAGGGATGAAGAACACTAGATCTTAACATTGTATAATTTACATTATTTTGTTGGTGGTGGTTTTTCTCCATTTTTTTCTACCAAGGCAATGGTGACAACTTTCTTATTCACACTTTCTTTTGTGTTTCTTTTTCCTGAGAAATCACCACCAAAAATAAAACTTGTGTAGATTTGTGTATATTTTTTACTGCTCCTTGTTATGACCCTCTTCGCCTTTGCTTTGGATTTCCCAGCTTCTTAAAACACTGATTTGCTTATTATTTGTTGTCTCCTTGTACCATTACTTCTTTGCTCTACCTGCAGGATCATTTCTTTTTATTTTAGTTTAGTTTAATTTTTTTGAGAGAGAGTCTCTGGCACAATCTTGACTCAGTGCAACCTTGGCCTCTTGGATTCAGGTGATTGATTCTCCTGCCTCAGCCTCCTGAGTATCTGATATTACAGGTATGCACTACCACGCTTGGCTAGTTTTAGAACTTATAATTGTGATGGGGTTTCACCGTGTTGCCAAGGCTGGTCTCAAACTGACCTCAAATGATTCCCCACCTCAGCCTCCCAAAGTGCTGCAATTACAGGTGTAAGATGCCACACCCCATTTGATCATTTTCTTTACTAGATCTACATGCTGCTTGTCTTAGTTCTAGATATGCCACTGTCAACTCATTTATTTATTTTCTATGATAGGAAGACTCATGGAAAGAGTTGCCTGTGACAAGGTTTAATTTTATTTTTCTTAACTCTCCTTTCTTCAGGCATTTACCCTGTTTTTGGAATCATATCTTATACTTGTCACTAAATCCCATATATCACTTGTCTATTGCGTATTACTCAAACAGTCGTGTGTATCTGTAAAACTGATTCACACCCTCATTCTTGAAATACTATTTTGCTTTGGATTACATGACTCAACTTTCGTCTGATTTCTCTATTTAATTGTCAGTGTGTTTTGTTTCATTTTATCTCGTAGATGTCTGTTTGTTAGACCACTAATATAACTACACAGAATACCTCTTTCTCCTTCCCTTTCTCCTTTCCCTTTTCCCTTCCCTTTTTCTTTTCTTTCCTTTCTTTTTTTTAAGAAAGTGTTCTGTAACGCAGTCTGCAGTGCAGTAGTGAGACCTTGACTGACTACAGCCTCAAATTGCTGGGCTTAAGCAATTTTCCTGCATTGGTCTCCTCAGTAGCTGAGACTACAGATGCACACTACCACACCTGGCTTTTTGTTGATGTTGTTTTGAGACAAAAGCCTCTTAAGTTTTAAACCTGTAGTACTAAGGAATTCAACCAGTGATATGATCGGAATTCAACCAGTGATATGATCTCTGAATTTCTAACATTGTGCTTTCCTTTTTCTGATGAGTGACCCAAGATTAAGAGAGCTAAATTTAAAACTTCCCCTGAACTTCTTTACACTTTCTACATGCCTCTCTCTTCCATCATTTTTTGTCCAAAACTACATCACCTGTATAACATAAAAACTGGGGATATTCCACGTCCAATTATTTTCCCTCGTCTCTTTCATATTTTATCTATAACAACTTTTTTATTATCTACCACCTACAAATGTTTTTTTTTTCTTGTTGCTGTTTATGCATTAAAGGTGAGGTCATCATTTATTGTTCCCTAAATGATAGTATCAACATCTTAATTTACTTCCTTCTTCTGTGTTACCTTGTTCAATTCATTTTTCATTGAGGGTCTAGAATTATTCTACTTTTCAATGAATAAAACACATCTCTTGTCTTTTCCTTTCTATTCTTGATCCTTTCTGCTTTACTATTAACTGTTACTTTATGAAGTGAGGAGCCATTTCAGTGTTATTTACTATTATATCCACCATTTTAAGCTAAAATTCTGAGATATAATAACCTCTCTCTAAGTGTTTAATATTATAATAAATAATACAACTTTGTAATTTCAGTATTGTTTTTGAATACTTAGTCTACATAGTATTTATGAAACAATATTTTAGTTGATTTGCAGATAAGCTTATGTTATTTTTTCACTCACTCCTTCCATTTGTATCCATCCTAGCTGTAAGACATTTAGAGGTGTGAACTTGACATATTCTTCTCTATACTTGAGAGCCTGTTGAAGTTATATGAATAAAGAAATGTACATTGACCATTTAATTCATATAAATAAATATAAATGTTTAATAGTTAAAATTTACTTAAACGTTTTTATTACTTAAATGTATTATTACAGTTATTATTTACATTTTTTATTATTCAAAACTCAATACAGGAAACAAACATGGAAAAATCTCAAGTAATTTATTATTTATCATTCCTTTTATTGTAGAGGTCACAAGCTTTCTCCTTACTGGTTAGGGCCATATTTCCAGAACAGTCGTAACATTTCACTTCTCATTTCCTAGTGAAATCTGAGGAGTGTCTTTTGAACTCTATGGTGATATGCCTACAACTACCTAGTGTAACTCTGTCTTCTTAGGAGGGTATGACTCTACAAGATGAGTATGATAATGTCCTAAAATACCATCCTTACATTTAATTATATAAAACACCACTAATGTAATAATAATACATGAGCTGCACATTACGTAGTCTATTTAGAGAGTTAATTTTTACGCTCAAATACTTTAGTTAGAGACTGTGAGATTAAACTGACCCAAGATGGAACTTAATTTTTTGTAACAACTACCATGCTATGGTGAAATGAAAACTGAACTCTTAATAATTTGGAAAACAATAAAGTCATATCACTTATAAGTTGCTAACAAAAACATGTATTTCTTAACTATTACTTATTACATGAAAGACAGAATGGCTTTCATGATAATGATGGAAGCAGTGTCAAATAAAATCTTACAAAACAGTCTGGACACGATGGCTCATGACTGTAATCCCAGCACTTTGGGAGGCTGAGGCAGGTGGATGACTTGAGGTCAAGAGTTTGAGACAAGCCTGGCCATCATGGTGAAACGCCCTCTCTACTAAAAATAAGAACATTAGCTAGGCATGGGGGTGCATGCCTGTAATCCCAGCTACTCAGGAAGCTGAGACAAGAGAATCCCTTGAACCTGGAAGGCAGAGGCTGCAGGGAGCCAAGATCGCACCACTGCACTCTGGCCTGGGTGAGAGAGTGAGACTCCATCTCAAAAAATACCTCTCCGAACATTAAAAAGCAAGGTAGATTTAATCAACTTTCTATTTTACGCTGTAATTAAAGTTAATTGGGTTAAAAGTGAAGAGATATAAGGAAGAGACAACAACCTCAGACTTGATTTTTGGAGCTCTGGAATCTAATAACGTCACTCAAGGGTGCGTTTAATGAAGAAAGACCTGACCTCTAAGTTTGGGCAAGACAGTATGTGGCATTTTAACTTCCCATCATCACCCACTCCATGGCTTCATGGAAACCGTGAATAAGATTAAATTCTAGATGCAGATTTTGATGCATGTGTGGAAATACAGAACTTATTTCAAATAATTGCGGTTGTGTGATTTAAAATGTCTGAGGTTCCCTTGGAGATTTTCAGTTCAGAGTCTTTTCTTTAGCCCACCTCAGAGCTTTCTTGGGTGCAGAAGTTGACTCCCAGGAGGCATTTGCGGAAAGGAAATATACTAGTCAGAGCCACCTATAGCAAGGAATAAGAGTCAGGTCAAGTAGTACACAAACAAAATGCCTGGAAAGAAGTGGCTGGTGAAGAAAAGTGATGTGGAAAATCAGCTTTGAAAAATTCTCACAGTTCGTTGCTGTTTATATTGGATTGGGTTTTAAATAGAGACAGAACTTGCCCTGTGGCCCACAGTGGAGTCCTGTGGCAGGATCATGGCCTACTGCAGCGGCAACCTCCTTGGGTTCAAATGATCTTGCCACCTCAGCCTCCTGAGCATCTCACCTCTCTGGACTCCACCAATCCTCCCCGCTCAGCATTTCACAGTACAGGCATGGGCCTCCAAAACTAGCTTATTTTTGTATTTTTTTATACAGAAGAGTCTTTCCATGTTGTCAAGGCTGGTCTCGTACTTCTGGGCTCAAGTGATTTGTTCTCCAAGCCTTCCAAATTGGTGGGATTACAGATATGAACCACCACACCCAGACTCCTACTGGTATATTTAGAAGGATATAAATATGTCCACTTTTGGATGCATGCATGGCGAAGACCCCAAAACTTTTCACTTTTCCCTGACTTTTGACTAAACACTAGAGTTCCTGAAAAGTCTATATGCAAATTCTGAATAGTTTTTCTTTTCTTTCTTTTCCTTTTTTTCTTTTCTTTCCTATGATTTTTTTTAATGTGTCAAAGATAGTAGATGACCAAAAGGATGACAGAACACAGGTTAAGTGGCCACACATGACAAAGAATACAGACTACAAAACTAGCTGTAAGGAGTTGTTAAACAAGTACACAACCCACAAGCTAAGCAATTGTGGAGGTCAAGAATTTGTTATCTGAGTATGCTGAATAATATGCAAAGTGTTCAGCATTCAACAATAAAATAAAAGGCATTCAAAGATAAATGCAAAAAAAGCACATTCAGAGAAAACATAATTAAAAGAAGCTATTTCAGAAAGCCCAGGCATGGTACTAACTAGGGAAATATTTCAATTCTCTTCAAAAAGAAGAGAATTGAGACCTTCAAAGGTCTGTTCTCAAAGACCTAAGGGAACCCAGTAGAACAGTGATTCAAAATTGAAAATACCAATAAAGACATACACATTATTTAAAAAATGAAATCAATAATCTGTAACTAGAAAGATTGAATAGCTTGTGTGAGCATGCAAAAAGCGTAATGAGGCAACTTGAAGATGGATTGTTTGATATTATTCAGTGTATGAAACAAAAACAGGAACAAGAATAATGAACAAAACTAAGGTTGCCATGGGATTCTATCAAGAATATCAACATATTCATAATGGGAGTTTCACTGAAAAAAGAGAAATACAGGGGAAAAAAAGAATATTTGAATGAACAGTGGCTGAAACTTCACAAATGTGTTGATAGATGGAAATCTACTGATCCAAATATCTCCAAAGGAAAAAAAAAATACTTCAGGAAGAATAAAATCAAAGATATCCACACTGAAACACATGCACTGAAACTGACAGAAGACAAATAAATAGAGAACTTTAAAAGAAGCAAGACAGAAGTAACTGATCACATGCAAGTTATCATCCATGACATTAACAGCCAATTTCTCATTAAAAATTATGGAGGAAATAAGTCACTGTGTTGAGATCTTCAAAGTGCTGAAATAAAAAAAAATTAAGTCAATCATAAACTCAATATCTGTCCAAACCAAAATTTAAATTTATGAGCAAGTAAGTCATTTCCAAGCAAACAGAATTAAAGAGAGTACGTTACTACTAGATCAGCCTTACAAAACATGATGAAAACATGTAAGGAATGAAAGTAAAATAGCACCTCATGTGCAAATAAAGAAATAAAGAACATCAATGAAGTAATTACACCAAGAAATAGGAAAGCCAATATTATTGTATATGGGGTTTCTGTGACTTTATTTTTCTACTAGATTTAAATGACAAGAGGAAAGATACAGTATCTCACAACTGTAATCCCAACCAAGGATCGGGATTTCCTTGAGCTGAGGAGTATGAGACCAGTCAAGGCAACAAAGTGTGAACCTGTCTCTACAGAAAATGAACAAAATTATCCAGCTGTGGTGGCATACACTTCTGTCCTAGGTACATGAGGGGCTGAGGTGGACGGATCCCTTGAGCCCAGGAGCTCGAGGCTGTAGTGAACCATATTTAGCCTATGTGACTGAAACCCTGTCTCAAATGAAGTAAAATAAAATTCAATAATAAAATAAAGAAATGACAAAGAATAAAACAATAATTACATATCTGGGTTGTTAGTACATATTGTATAAAAAACAATTTTTGACAAAAAAACATAGAAAGGTAGGGAGAGCAATATGGGAAAATGATTTTTGTATAATGTCAATACTAAGTTATTGTAATTCACACTATATTATTATGAATTTAAGATATTAATTATAATACCATTAATAGCCAATAAGAAAATAACTGTTCAAATATACTGAAGAGAAATGAAGGAGTCTAAATTGTACCCTAGAAAAACAAATGCAAAGATGAGCAGTTTTGGAGGAATGATATATAACAACAACAATAACAAAACTTGTAGAACAAAAGAACAAAAATAGGAAAATAAATTCTTGTCAGCAATTAATTTCAGTCCAAATAAACTCCAGTTAAATGTCAAAGACTAGCAGAATAACTTTTTAAACGTTTTAAAAGTGGGGAAAAAATAATGCAAACGGTAACCAAAATAGAGTTAGAATTATTAGACAAATATCAAAATTGTTTAATTGATCAAGAAGATGTAACACTTTCATATATACCTAATAAAAGATCCTCAGGATATATGAAGCAAAAAATGAATAGATTTGAGGAGCTACACAGTTCTGCAATAATAATAATAGTTGGAGATTTCAACACCCCACTTTCAACAATGTGTAAAATGACCAAATCCAAGTTCAATAAGAAAACAAAGGTCTTCAAAAGCAGTATAAACCAAATAAATCTCTCAGACATATACAAAACACTCCACAAGCTGACTACACATTCTTCTAAAGTGTATATGTGTTATTCTCTGTGCTATCTTCAGAATAGACTCTGTGGTAGGCCACAAAGCAAGTTCTAATTATATCTAACATTATTGAAATCACATATAATGCTTTCTTCAACCACAATGGAATAAAACTAGAGGCCCGTTTTCTTTTTTTTTCTTTATTTCTTTTTTCTTTATTTATTTAAAGAAAAATAGATAAATAAGTTGGAGTCTCACTCTGTCACCCAGACTGGAATTCAGTGGTGTGATCTCAACTCACCACAACCTTTCATGGTCAAGCAATTCTCCTGCCTCATACTCCTGAGTAGCTGGGACTACAGGCACACACCACCGTGCTAGGCTAATTTTTGTAGTTTCAGTGGAGACAGTTTCACTGTATTGATGAGGCTAGTCTCAAACTACTGACCTCAGGTGATACACCCACTCCGGTCTCTCAAAGTGCTCGGATTATACGCATGACCACCACGCCTGACTGAGATTCATTTTCTAAAGACTGAAAAATGTATATTGTTTGGAAAATAATAAATACACTCTTCAACAACCTATGGTTAACTGAAGAATCTGCAAGGAATTAATTTTCACAAACAAAAGAAAAACTAAAACATACTAAAGCTTCTGAAATGCGCTAAATCAATGTTGAGAAATATATATGTGTAAAGATAGAGATAAAAAAGAAGAAATGTAAAATTTGTAACATAAATGTACACACAAGGAAGCAGAAAAAGTGTAAATTAGAGGAGAGTACTTTTGTAAAAAATATGGCAAAGTAAAGGAAGCTGCCCATCAATTGCCCCCAACCCTAACCCCCCAAGAACACCCACAGAAAAACCAAAACTGAGTATACAGTGCTGAGATTATCACCATCAATAACACAGAGCTCAAAAGTGAGAATGAGCCTGCTCCTAGGGTGACAGAGAAGTGAAGAAACCAGGCAGAGGGTAAAAAAGTTGGCCTTTTATATTCATGACACTTGTCCCCTAGTCTGCTGACAACCAAGTGTGAACAAAACAAACAAACAAAAAAACTCCTCTGACTCTTGGTTACTACACTTACTAAAATAAAGTTTAAAGTGGATGGCCAGCTTCCCCATCATTTTGGATTCCCTGGCAGGAGAATTATTCCTGTCTTTACCCAAGGAAGTCTTGTGAGTGCCTGAAAAGAGAAAAAAAAACCTGAGGAAAACCAGGGATGAAGTAGAAAGAAGGACTACCATCTCCAGCCTGGATAGCTCAGTCACAGGAGATGCCAAACCTGAGTGCCTGCACAGCATTACCATAAGGTAGGAGGTATATTGCATAATTTCCTTGATCACAAACCTATAGAGAGCCTTCCCACACAGGATATCCCCTTCAAAATGTCTCAGATAGGAGACTGGCAGTGTTTCAAAGTTTGTTTGTTAGAGCTGAAATAAACCTGGGCTTAAGGCACCATCTACTGCCAAAACAGAGGCACTGACCTAGCCAAAATCAAGCAAACAATACCCCACAATACTTATGTCTTAAAGAAAACTCAAAGCAATTATATACAACAAAATGTAAAATAAGACAGAGAAAACAATAAACTAAATAACTAGTCCTTCAATAAAAAGATACAGATGTATAACCACGAGCAATAATACCAAACAGGAAATTATAACCTCCCTTAATGGACAAAGCATAAACCATTGACCAATGCTAATTAATGAGATGGCTATCAGTGATTATTGGATCAAAAATTCAAAATATCAGCTTTCAGGAAATTCAGATCTCTAAAACAACACAGAAAAGGAACTGATAACGCTTCTGAAAGAAACTTTAAAAAATGTACTGAAATTATTTAACAATAAAAAAAGTCCTGGAACTGAGAAATATACTGGTTAAAGTGGAAAATTAAGAAGGCTTTCAATAGAAGAATATATCAAACAGAATAAACAATCAGTGAGCTCTAAAATGAGTTATCAGGAACAGGTGTGCAGGCTCAGGCCTGTAATCACAGCACTTTGGGAGGCTGCGATGGGTTGATCACTTGAGTTTGGCAGTTTAAGACCAGTCTGGGCATCATGGTGAAACCCTGTCTCTACTAAGAATACAAAAAATTACCTGGGCATAGTGGTGCACACCTGTAATCCCAGCTATTCAGGAGGCTAAGAGAGGAGAATCACCCAAACCTGGGAGGCAGAGGTTGCAGTGAGTCAGTGTCGTGCCATTGAAGTCCAGCCTGGGCAACACAGAGAGACTTTGTCTAAACAAAACAAAACAAAACAAAAAAGTAAAAGAAAAAAAGAAAAGAAAAGAAAATTAACATAGGTTATTCAGAAATGCACAAAGAACAAAACAGAAAAACAATCAAAAAGAATAAAGAACATTTACCAGATATACAAAATTACCTTAAATAAGCAAATCTAAGATTTAGCAATATTCATGAAAGAGTTCCGCAAAAGGAAGGTATATACAGCATATTCAAATGAATAATAACAACTTTCAAAAATTTGAGAGAGAGATAAATATACAGGTTCAGAAAAATCGGCAACTACAAAAAAGATTAATACCCCATAAAACTACCCCACAACAAACAAGAATCAAACTCTGGCTCTCAGTCGCCACTGCCAGCTCGCCTACCTTGTTCTTCTGCCGCTCCTCTGTCCCACTCCTCTGTCCATCGCAGTAGAAGAAGAGATCGCTGCGCTCGTCATTGACAATGGCTCTTGCATGTGCAAAGCTGGCTTTGCAGGGGACGATGCTCCCCAAGCCATGTTTCCCTCCACCGTTGGGTTCCCCGGACACCAGGGCGTGATGGTGGACATGGGCCAGAAGGACTCCTACGTGGGCAATGAAGCCCAGAGCAAGCGCAGCATTCTGACGCTGAAGTACCCCATCAAGCATGGCATCATCACCAACTGGGACAACATGGAGAAGATCTGGCACCACTTCTACAATGAGCTGCATGGGGCCCCGGAGTAGCAGCCAGTGCTGCTGACCGAGGACCCACTGAACCCCAAGGACAACAGAGAGAAAATGACTCAGATTATGTTTGAGACCTTCAATACCCCGGCCATGTACGTGGCCATCCGGGATGTGCTGTCCCTCTATGCCTTTGGGCGCACCACTGGCATTGTCATGGACTGTGGACACAGGGTCACCCACACGGTGCCCATCTACGAGGGCTACTCCCTTCCCCATGCCATCCTGCATCTGGACCTGACTGGCTGGGACTTGACTGAGTACCTCAAGAAGATCCTCAAGGAGAGAGGCTACAGCTTCACCAACACAGCCCAGCGGGAAATCATGCGCGATATCAAGGAGAAGCTGTGCTAGGTCTCCCTGGACTTCAAGCAGGAGATGGCCACCCCTGCATCCTCCTCTTCTCTGGAGAAGAGCTATGAACTGCCCGATGGCCAGGTCATCACCATTGGCAATGAGTGGTTCTGGTGTCCGGAGGTGCTGTTCCAGCCTTCCTTCCCGTGCATGGAATCTTGCCGCATCCACCAGACCACCATCAACTCCATCAAGAAGTGTGACGTGGACATCCGCAAAGACCTATACACCAATACGGTACTATCCGGTGGCACCACCATGTATCCAGGCATTGCTGACAGGATGCAGAAGGAGATCACTGCCTTGGCGCCCAGCACCATGAAGATTAAGATCATTGCACCCCCAGAGCGCAAGTTCTCAGTGTGGATCGGTTGCTCCATCCTGAACTCACTGGTCACCTTCCAGCAGACATGGATTAGCAAGCAGGAGTATGATGAGTCAGGCCCCTACATCGTCCACCACAAATGCTTCTAAATGGAACGAGCAGATGTGTAGCATTTGCTGCATGGGTTAATTCAGAAGCATAAATTTGCCCTTGGCAAATGCATACACCTCATGCTAACCTCATGAAACTGGAATAAGCCTTTGAAAAGAAATTGTCCTTGAAGCTTGTATCTGACGTCAGCACTGGATTTTTTGACCTTGTATTCAAGTTAACTGTTCCCCTCGGTATTCGTTTAATACTGTGTACATATCTTTGAGTTCAATCTTTAGTGCACGTGGCTTGGTCACTTCGTGACTGAGGTAAGAACGTGCTTGTGGAAGACAAGTCTGTGGCTTGGTGAGTGTGCATGGCCAGCAGTCTCTGATCTGTGCAGGGTATTAATGTGTCAGGGCTGACTGCGCTGGGATTTCTCTAGAGGCTGGCAAGTGCTCCTGAACCAGTTGCGTCTGCCCTGCCTGTCTGTTAGGGCTGGAAAGTCCAAACCACAGGACACAGTTTCCTTTCTTAGCTGATGTTTTTTGCCAGAACACCGTAGGCTGTCACTTGCCTTGAGTTGGAAGCAGTTTGCATTTACACCTGTAAATGTATTCATCCTTTTAATTTATGTAAGGTTTTTTGTATGAAATTCTTGATTCTTTAAAGAAATGACAACAAATTTTTGTTTTCTACTGTTATGTGAGAACATTAGGCCTCAGCAACATATCATTGTGTAAGGAAAAATAAAAGTGCTGCCAAAAAAAAAAAAAAAAAAAAAAAAAAAAAAAGAAGCAAACTCTCAAAGGTTGAGAAATAAAGAAAATTCTAAAAGCACTAAGGGAAAATAAACAAAAAATGGAGGAGCTTGAAATCATTCGGCAAAAGACTTGTCAACAATAGGTTTTTAAGGAAGACACAGTATTAGAAGACATAAATTGTGACGTCAAAAACATAATTGGAACAGAGGGTAAATGTCTAGAGTTTTTATGTGACAAATGTTGTCAGCTTAAACTAGTTGATTATTAACTATAAGATGTTTTCTCTGAGCCTTTGATGACCATCAAAAACTACAGCAGCAACACTAATGATAAAAACAAATGAATCAAAGCTTATCACTACTGAAAATATTTAAATGCTAAACATTTAAAAGCATTCATGGGAGGAAGAAAGGAAAAAATGATGTATGACTCAATCAGAAACAACTAACAAGATAACAGTAGTAAGAACTTATCAATAATTATCTAGAATGTAAATGAATTAAATTATGCAATTAAAAGACGTGGAGTGACCAAATGGATTTTAAAAATGGGATTCAACTACATGTTACCTATGAGACCCACCTAATCTTTAAGGACAAACAGGCTGAAAGTGAAGGAATAGAAGAAGATACCTCTATGCAAATGGTAATAAAAAATTAGGAGTGGCTATACTCCTATCTATAAAAGAGATTTCAATTCAAAACCTGTCATAAGACCAAGAAGGTCATCATTTAATAATAAAGCAATCAATTTATCAACAGGATATAACAATTATATATATACATCTGCACTCAACAATGGAGCACCTAAATATTTAAAGCAAATATAAATAGAAATGAAGAAAAAAATGGCAATAAAATAATTGTAGGAAATTTCAGTACCTCAATTACAACAAGGAATAGATAAACTCGACAGAAACTTAATAAGAAAATGCCAGACTGGAATTCTAGTTTTAACTAAATGAACCCAACAGACATATACAGAACTTTTCATAGTGTACAGCCGAATATATATTTTGCTGTAACACACATGGAAGATTCTCTAAAATAGACCACATACTAGGCCATAAACAAGTCTTAACAAAGTAAGATTGCTAAAAGCATATTTAATATTTTTTCAGACCATCATGGTAGCAAACCAAAGATCAGTAAGAGGAGAAATCTTGAAAAAAAGTCACAAATACTGAACTTTTTTTTTTTTTTTTGAGACAGAGTCTCGCTCTGTTGCCCAGAATGCAGCACAGTGGCACAATCTCGGCTCACCGCAAGCTCCGCCTCCCAGGTTCATGACATTCTCCTCCCCCAGCCTCCCAAGTAGCTGGCACTGGAGGTGCCCATCACCACGCCTAGCTAATTTTTCATATTTTTAGTAGAGACAGGGTTTCACCGTGTTAGTCAGGATGGTCTCGATCTCCTGACCTCATGATCCGCCCGCCTCGGCCTCCCAAAGTGCTGAGATTACAGGCGTGAGCCACCGCCCCTCAGCCTATATGAACATTTTTAAAACACTGCTCTTAAGTAATGAATTGATGAAACGAAATATAAAAAGAAAAATTCATAAATATCTTCAGATAAATAATAGTGGAAACACAACACACCTAAACCTATGGTGTGCAGTGAAGCAGCATTATGATGCAAGATTACAGCAATAAATCCACACATTAAACAAATAAAGATACCAAATAAGCAACATCTCATTGTATCTAAGAAACTGGAAGGAAAAACAATTAAATTCAAAGTTAGCACAATGAATAAAATAACAATTAAAACAGAAACAAATCAAATAGGGAACATAAACATCTGATGACAAAAAATAAAAAATAAAAGGCAGCCAAATTTTATAGCAATAAGTAAAGTATTCTCTCTTTGCAGATGACAATCTCCTATATGTAAAAACAGCTCAAATATTCTATTTAAGAAAGTGTTAGAACCAATGAACAGATTTGGTAATGTCATTGTACAAATAATTACCTAACTGAAAAAGAATTCAAGAAACTCGTCTGACTTATAAGCATATCAAAGAAATTAAATACTTAAAAAAAAGGTAACCAGAAAGTAACAGATCTCTCCATTGAAAACTATGAGACATTGATAAAATCAATTTAAGAAGACAAAAATAATTGGAAAGATTGTCTATGCTTATGGATTGGGAGAATTAATATTGTTAAAGTATTTATAGCATCAAAAGCAATACACAGATTCAATGCTATTCAATCAAAATTTCAATAGCATTCTTCACAGAAATAGAAAACAAAATATAAAACTTGTATAGCTATATAGAGAGCCATAAATTGTGAAAACATTGTTGAGAAAGAAAAAAGAAGTAGGAAGAACCACACCACCTTATTTGAAATTGGCATGAACACAGAAACATAGCCAAATGAGCAGAACAGAGAATCGAGAAATACATCCAAGCATATATAGTCAATTAGTTTTTGAAATCTGCAGCAAAATGATAACATGAGAAGAAGATCATCTTTACTATGAGTAGTGCTGGGAGAACTAGATTTCCACATGCAGAAGAACAAAATTGGATTCACATTTTACATCATACACAAAAATCAACTGAAGATGAGTTGGAAAATCCTAAATGTAAGACTGCAACCTCTAAAACATCTAGAAGAGAACATAGAAAAAAGCTCATGAGTGATGGCCTCGGTAATAATTATTTTGAATATCATATTAAAAACTCAGTCCACATAAAGAAAAACAAATGAGCAAGACTACATCAAATGAAAAACTTTTGCACAGTAAAGGAACCAATCGACCGAATACAATAGCCAAAATATTGGGGAAAATATTTTCAAGCTATGTATCTGATGATGGGTTAAGATCTAAAATTTATGAAGGACTTGTATGTGGGAAAGAAAGTTTCTGGGGTGCCAGTTGATTTTATCTGCCCCGTGTGAGACACCCATGGGGAGCCATGGGCGGCTTCTGAGGAGCAAATCTCCGTATTGCCTTCATGTCTTTATTGCTGAGAGCACAACGGCGCAGTGCATTCCACTGGTTGCTCAGGGAGATAAAACTCCCTTGAAGCAGTGGAGTATAATCAAACCTCTTGGCTTTTCGTGAAACCTGCTCCCACCCGTTTCAGTCCTAATAAATTAGAGATCTTAAGTAGTTTAGACACACGCCTTTGCTCAAGGGAATTCACAGAAACCGCCAGTGCTATAAGAATTCAATGACTCACCAGTTCTCCTTCACGGATTAATCCTTTTCCTCATTCCTTCCTCCCCCTCCCATCTACCCTAAGAACAAAGAGCTTGTAAACCATTTAATTAGGTGGAGCCTGACAACTGTGGGCCATGAGCAACCCTCCGATGCTCGGGCCCCCTGGACCCGCCTTTTAAGTGCTTATTCTCTCTCTTTCTAACTCCTTTGTCTCCCCCAGACTCAAAGTACCTGCCGGGTGTTGTGCGACTGTTTTCCCCAACATTGTACAACTCAACAGCAGCAAAACAAATAAACATATTAAAAGCTGAGCAAAAGCTCTGAATTGACATTTCTCCAAGGAACATATAAAAATGGGCAACAGGTATTTGAAACATTCAAAATCATTAATCATCAGAAAAAATTTAAATCAAAGGTACTTTGAGGCGTTACATAACTCACATCAGGAAAGCTATTATTAAAAACTCAAAAGATCACAAAGGTTGGCTAGGATGTACAGAAAATGAAACTCATGTAGAGTGTTGCTGGTAATGGGTAGCAGTTATAAAAGTTGGTATGGAGGTTTCTGGAAAATTAAAAATAAAACTACCTTATGTCTCAACAACTCTTCCTTTAGACATATAACCAAAGGAAATCCCTAACTCATGGAGATATTTGCACTCTCATGTTCATCGCAGCATTATTAATAATAG
This sequence comes from Homo sapiens, assembly GCF_000001405.40. Classification (NCBI taxonomy): domain Eukaryota; kingdom Metazoa; phylum Chordata; class Mammalia; order Primates; family Hominidae; genus Homo; species Homo sapiens. Next base: position 18,153,579 of record NC_000024.10, read on the forward strand.
CTGAAATATGGAAAAAGCCTTATTGTCCAGTACAAAGAAATATTACTTAGCCCTAAACAAGAATGAGATCTTGCCATTTGCCAAACCATGGAGGAGCTTGGAGGAAACTATGCTAAGTGAAATAAACCAGACACAGAAAGAAAAATATTTATAATCACATATATGCAACAGAAGGGAGGGTGGTGCCAGGCTTTTTTTTTTAATGAGTTCTCAAAAGCTAATAAAAAAAAGATCTCCCTCCTTATCACAAGAATGACACCAAGCTTTTCACAAAGTATCCACCCCCATGACCCGAGCATCTCCCACTCAACCTCACCTCCAACACTGGGGATCAAATTTCAGCATAAAGTTTGTAAAGGCAAATATCCAAACTATAGCAGTAACTATGTGAGATTAGAAATATGTTAATTTGTTCCAGTATAGTAGCCTTGAAATATCAATATGTATCCCATAGCATATGTCGTACACATGAAATGAACATAATAGGATGCATTTTTATTTATTTATTTTAAAATGTTTATTATATTTAAAGTTCTAGGGTACATGTGTACAGTGTACAGTTTTGATACATAGGTATTCATGTGCCATGTTGGTTTGCTGTACCCATCAACTCATCATTTACATTAGGTATTTCTCCTAATGTTATCCCTCCCCCAAATCCCTACCCCCTACTCCCCAACAGGCGCTGGTGTGTGATTTTCTTTGCTCTGTGTCCAAGTAATCTCATTGTTCAATTCCCACCTATGAGTGAGAACATGTGGTGTTTGGTTTTATGTCCTTGTGATAGTTTGCTGAGAATGATGGCTTCTAGCTCATCCGTGTCCCTGCAAAGGACACAAACTCATCCTTTTTTATGGCTGCATAGTATTCCATGGTGTATATTTGCCACATTTTCTTAATCCAGTCTCTCATTGATGGACATTTGGGTTGTTTCCAACTCTTTGCTATTGTAAATAGTGCCATAATAAACAAACGTATGCATGTGTCTTTACAGTAGCATGATTTATAATCCTTTGGGTATATATCCAGTAATGGGATTGCTGGGTCAAATGGTAATTCTAGTTTTAGATCCTTGAGGAATTACCACACTGTCTCCTACAGTGGTTGAACTAATTTACACTCCCACCAACAGTGTAAAAGCATTCCTATTTCTCCACATCCACTATAGCATCTGACTCTTTAATGATCGCCATTCTAAGTGGCATGAGATGGTATCTCATTTTGGTTTTCATTTGCATTTCCGTGATGACCAATGATGATGAGCATTTTTCCCTGCATCTGTTGGCAGCATAGATGTCTTCTTTTGAGAAGTGTCTGTTCTTATCCTTTGCCCACCTTTTGATGACTTTTTTTTCATGTAAATTTGTTTGTGTTCTTTGTTGATTCTGGATATTAGTTCTTTGTCAGATGGGTAGATTGCAAAAATTTTCTCCCATTCTGTAGGTTGCCCATTTACTCTGATGGTAGTTTCTTTCACTGTGCAGAAGCTCTTCAGTTTCATTAGATCCTGTTTGTCTATTTTCACTTTTATTGCCGTTGCTTTTGGTGTTTTAGTCATAAAGTGCTTGCCCAAGCCTGTGTTCTGAATGGCATTGCCTAGGTTTTCTTGTAGGGTTTTTATGGTTTTAAGTTTAATATTTAAGTGTTTAATCCATTTTGAATTAATTTTTATGCCACATGTAAGAAAGGGATCCAGTTTCAGCTTTCTACAAATGGCTAGCCACTTTTCCCAGCACCATTTGCTAAATAGGGAATCCTTTCCCCATTTCTTCTTTTTGTCAGTTTTGTCAAAAATGAGATGATTGCAGATGCATGGTGTTATTTCTGAGGCTTGTCTTCTGTTCCATTGGTCAATATATCTGTTTTGGTACCAGTACCATGCTGTTTTGTTTACTATAGCCTTGTAGTATAGTTTCAAGTCAGGTAGCATGATGCCTCCAGGTTTGTTGTTTTTGCTTAGGATTGTATCGGCAATGCAGCCTCTTTTTTGGTTCCATATAAACTTTAAAGTAGTTTTTTTCCAGTTCTCTGAAGAAAGTCATTGGTAGCTTGATCGGAATAGCATTGCATGTATAAATTACTTTGGGCACTATGGCCATTTTCAAGATATTGATTCTTCCTATCCATGATCATAGAATATTCTCCCATTTGTTTGCGTCCTTTTTTATTTGTTGAGCAGTGTTTTTTAGTTGTCCCTGAAGAGGTCCCTCACATCCCCTGTAAGTTGGATTCCTAGGTATTTTATTCTCTTTGAAGCAATTCTGAATGGGAATTCACTCATTATTTGGCTGTTATTTGTGTATAGGAATGCTTGTGATTTTTTGCACACTGATTTTCTATGCTGAGATTTTGCTGAAGTTTCTTATCAGGTTAAGTAGATTTTGGGCTGAGACAATGGGGTTTTCTCAATATACAATCATGTCATCAGAAAACAGGGACAATTTGACTTCCTCATTTCCTAATTGAATACTCTTTATTTCTTTCTCTTCCCTGATTGCCCTGGGTAGAACTTCCAACACTATGTTGAATAAGAGTGGTGAGAGAGGGCATCCTTGTTTTGTGCTGGTTTTCAAAGGGAATGCTTCCAGTATTTGCCCACTCAGTATGATACTGGCTGAGCGTTTGTCATAAGTAGCTTTTATTATTTTGAGATACATTCCATGAATGCCTAGTTTATTGAGAGTTTTTCGCATGAAGGACTATTGAATTTTGTCAGAGGACATTTTGTATCTATTGAGATAATCATGTGGCTTTTGTCATTGCTTCTGTTTATGTGATTGATTAAATTTATTGACTTGCATAAGTTGAACCACATTTGCATCTCAGGGATGAAGATGATGTGATAGTGGTGGATAAGCTTTTTGATGTGCTGCTTGATTCAGTTTACCAGTATTGTACTCAGGATTTTCACCTCGATGTTCATCAGGGCTATTGGTCTAAAATTATCTTTTTTTGTTGTGTCTTTGCCAGGCCTTAGTATCAGGATGATGGTGGCCTTATAAAATGAGTTAGGGAAGATTATTTCTTTTTTTTATTGATTGGAATAATTTCAGAAGGAATGATACCAGCTCCTCTTTGTACCTCCAGTAGAATTCCGCTGTGAATCCTTCTGGTCCTGGACTTTTTTTGACTGGTAGGCTATTAATTATTGCCTCAATTTCAGAACTAGTGTTTGTTCTATTCAGAAAACCAAATCCTTCCTGGTTTAGCTTTTGTAGGGTGTATGTGTCCAGGAATTTATCCATTTATTCTATATTTGCTAGTTTATTTGCATAGAGGTGTTTATGGTATTCTCTGATGGTAGTTTGTATGTCTGTGGGGCTGGTGGTGATATCCCCTTTATCATTTTTATTGCTTCTATTTATTTGATTCTTCTCTCTTTTCTTCCTTATTAGTCTTGCTAGAGATCTATCAATTTTGTTGATCTTAAAAAAAAAAAAAAAAAAAAAAAAAAACCCAGTTCCTGGATTCATTGATTTTTTTTGAAAGGTTTTTTTGTGTCTCTATCTCTTTCAGTTCTGTTCTGATCTTTGTTATTTTTTGCCTTCTGCGAGCTTTTGAATTTGTTTACTCTTGCTTCTCCATTTCTTTTCATTGTGATGTTAGGGTGTCAATTTTAGATCTTTCCTGCTTTCTCTTGTGGGCTTTTAGTGCTATAAATATCCCTCTACACACTGCTTTAAATGCGTCCAGAGATTATGGTACATTGTGTCTTTGTTCGCCTTGGCCTCAAAGAACATCTGTTTTTCTGCCTTGATTTCGTTATTTATCCAGCAGTCATTCAGGAGCAAGTGGTTCAGTTTCCATGTAGTTGTCTACTTTTGAGTGAGTTTCTTACTGCTGGGTTGTAATTTGATTGCAGTGTGGTCTGCGAGACAGTTTGTTGTGATTTCTGTTCTTTTACATTGGCTGAGTAGTGCCTTATTTCCAATTATGTGGTCAATTTTAGAATAAGTGTGATGTGGTGCTGAGAAGAATGCATATTGATTCATAATGCATAATGCTGTTGATTTGGGGTAGAGAGTTCCATAGATGTCTATTAGACCTGTTTGTTGCTGAGCTGAGTTCAGATCCTGGATATCCCTGTTAACTTTCTGCCTCATTGATCTGTCTAATATTGACAGTGCAGTGTTAATGTCTCCCATTATTATTGTGTGGCAGTGTAAGTCTCTTTGTAGGTCTATAAGGACTTGCTTTATGAATCTGGGTGCTCCTGTATTGGGTGCATATATATTTAGAATACTTGGCTCTTCTTCGTGAATTGATCCCTTTACCATACGTAATGGCCTTCTTTTTCTCTTTTGATCTTTATTGGTTTAAAGTCTGTTTTATCACAGACTAGGATAGCAACCCCTGCTTTTTTTTTTTCTTTCCATTTGTTTGATAGATCTTTTTCCATCCCTTTATTTTGAGCCTATGTGAGTCTTTGAATGAGAGATGGGTCTCCTGAATACAGAACACTGATAGGTCTCAACTCTTTATCCAATTTGCCAGTCTGTGTCCTTTAATTGGGGCATTTAGCCCATTTACATTTAAGGTTAATATTGTTATGTGTGAATATGATTCTGTCATTGTGATGTTCGCTGGATAGTTTGCCCGTTAATTGATGCAGTCTCTTCATAGCATTGAAGGTCTTTACAATTTTTCATGTTTTTGCAGTGGCTGGTACTGGTTGTTTCTTTCCATGTATAGTACTTCCTTCAGGAGCTCTTTAAAGGCAGGCCTGGTGGTGACAAAATCTCTCAGCATTTGTTTGACTCTAAAGGATTTTATTTCTCCTTCACTTATAAAGATTAGTTTGGCTGGTTATGAAATTCTAGGTTGAAATTCTTTTCTTAAAGAATGTTGAATATTGGCCCCACTCTCTTCTGGCTTGTATGGTTTATGCTAAGAGATCCACTGTTGGTCTGATAGGCTTCCCTTTGTGGGTAATTCAACCTTTCTGGCTGCCCTTAACACTTTTTTCTTCATTTCAACCTTGGTGAACCTGACAGTTATGTGTCTTGGGGTTGCTCTTCTCAAAGAGTATCTTTGCAATGTTATCTATATTTCCTGAATTTGAATGTTGGTCTGCCTTGCTAAGTTGGGGAAGTTATCCTGGATAATATCCCAAAGAATGTTTTCCAACTTGGTTCCATTCTTTCCATCACTTTCAGGTACTCCAGTCAAATGTAGATTTGGTCTTTTCACTTAGTCCCATATTTCTCAGAGGCCTTGTTTGTTTCTTTTTACTCTTTTTTTCTCTAACCCTGTCTTCTCACTTTATTTTATTAATACGACCTTCAATCACTGACACCCTTACTTCCATTTGATCATATCGGCTATTGAAGCTTGTGCATGTGTCACAAAGTTCTCATGCCGTGCTTTTCACCTCCATCAGGTCATTTAAGGTCTTCTCTACACTGTTTATTCTAGTTAGCCATTCATTTAATCACTTTTTGAGGTTTTTAGCTTCCATGTGATGGGTTCGAACATGTGACTTTAGCTCAAAGAGATTCGTTATCGCCGACCTTCTGAAGCCTACCTCTGTCAACTCATCAAAGTCATTCTCCATCCAGTTTTGTTCCATTGATTGTGAGGAGCTGTGATCATTTGAAGGAGAAGATGTGCTCAATTTTTAGAATATTCAGCTTTTCTACTCTGGTTTCTCCCCACCTTTGTGCTTTTATCTACCTTGGGTCTTTGATGTGGTTGACCTACACATAGGGTTTTGGTGTAAATGAACTTTTTTTTGATGTTGAAGCTATTCCTTTCTGTTTGTTAGTTTTCCTTCTAACAGTGAGGTCCCTCAGCTGCAGGTCTTTTGTAATTTGGTGGAGTTCCACTCCAGATTCTCTCTGCCTGGTTGTCATGAGCAGAGGATGCAGATGCCGAAGAGTAAATATTGCAGAACAGCAAATATTGCTGCCTCATCCTTCCTCTGGAAGCTTCGTCCCAGAGGGGCAGTTGCCTATATGAGGTCAGCCCCTATCGGGAGGTATCTCCCAGATAGGCTACACAAGGGTCAGGGACCCATGTGAGGAGGGAGTCTCTCCATTCTCAGAGCTCAAATGGCATGCTAGTATAACCACTACTCTCTTCAGAGCTGTCAGACAGGGATGTTTAAGTCTGCCAAAGTTGTCTGCTGCCTTTTGTTCAGCTATGCCCTGCCCACAGTGGTGGAGTCTAGAGGCAGTAGGCCTTGTTGAGCTGTGGTGGGCTTTGCCCAGTTTGAGCTTCCTGGGTGCTTTGTTTACCTACTCAAGACTTAGCAACGGGGGACACCCCTCTACCAGCCAGGCTGCCACCTTTGGGGTTGAATTCAAACTGCTGCATTAGCAATGAGCAAGGCTCTGGGGGCATGGGACCCACCAAACCAGGCATGGGAGAGAATGACTTGTTCTGCCAGATGCTGTGACCTTGGGAAAAGTGCAGTATTTGCACAGGAGTACCCCCATTTTTTCCAGGTAGTCTGTCATGGCTTCCCTTGGCTAGGAAAGGGAAATCAACCAACCCCTTGCAATTCCCAGTAGAGGTGATGCCCAGCTCTACTTCAGCTCACCCTCTGTGGGCTGCACCCACTGTCCAACCAGTCCCAAAGAGACGAACCAGGTACCTCTGTGGGAAATGCCAAAATCACTGATCTGCCTTGATCATGCTGGGAGCTGCAGAACAGAGCTGTTCCTATTTGGCCATTTTGGAACACCCCCAGGAAAAAATAGGATGCATTTTTAAAGGTATTTTTTTTTTTTTTTGAGACGGAGACTCATTCTGTCACCCAGGCTGGAGTGCAGTCGTGTGGAGAGTGCTTCCTCCACACACTTCCCCGTCCCTTTCAATCAGCTGGCTGTGAGATCATTGAAACCAGAGATCTGAGGCTCAGGACAGGCCCAAGCAGGGTTGTGTCTGCCTGTCTGCATTTCAGGGTCACTGTATGGTAGGTTCAGTTCTTTGCTAGAGAAAAGGCTATTGTGTTACCAGAGGAGGGCTTGTTGAGTTGATTCGAGAGACAATACAAGCATCAATATTTGGAATGTCCGAGGTTAGTGTTGGGGAAACCAGTCCCACACCACCCAGTGGGTACCCTGAGTCTGGAGGAGACAAAGGAATTAGAAAGAGAGAGAATAAACATTTAAAAGGTGCATCTAGAGGACCAGAGCATTGAAGGCTTGCTCATGGCCCATTGCTCTTGGGCTTCACCCAATTTATTGGTTTACAAGCTCTTTGTTCTCAGGGCAGCTGGGAGGGGGAGAAATGGATGAGGAAAAGGATTAATCAGAGAAGGAGAACTCCTGAGCCATTCAGTAAGATGTTTGGCACTGGCGGTTTCTGTGAATTTCCTTGAGCAAAAGTGTGTGTCTAACCTACTTAAGATCTGTAACTTATCGGGACTGAAACGGGTGGGAGCTGGTTTCAGGAGGAGCCAAGATGTTTGATTATACTCCATTGCTTCAAGGGAGTGTTATCTCCCTGAGCAACCTGTGGAATACTGCTGAGCAGTTATGCACTCGGGGCATAAATACGTGAAGGCAATAAGGAGACTTTTCTACTCAGAGGCTGCCCATGGCTCCCCATGGGTTTCTCACACAGGGGTGACCAACTCAACTGGCACCCCAGAAACTCTCTTTTCCAGTTAGTAATTATGGGTATTTGGTTTGGACCAAAGACAGGATAAGAGATAAACAAAGAATATTGGGGTGGCCCTGTGGTGACAGCATTTTCCAGACAGCAGGCCTGCTTTACCTGCTGGGAAGAAGGCTGGGCCTCAGAGTCCCACAAAACTTCTTCTTCCATCTGATCTCTTTTAGAGGGACATGAATAAAATGGGCCTCCACAGTCCCAAGACAACACTCAAGGACTTGGGCTTGGACTTTCCTGGAGACAAGACAATTTGAATGGCACTGACTGCCAGGTACTGTCATCCCATGGGCCACGAGACCATTTCGCCTGTTCAGTTCCCCTCTACTCTTTATGGGTGACTAGGGCATGGAATGGGTGTCGAGATGACAGGGCTCTGTCTCTGGGATAAGGACAGACCCCAGGGAAGGGGAAGCCACCAGCCAGGAGCCCAGGCCAGGGGCCAGGTTTGGGGAGCAGTTTTCTCTGATCGTATGCTTACTCCTGCAGCCTGACTCATCACCTGAATTTATGTCTATTTTGGAGAATGGAGAAAACAGACTTAGAAAAAGACACTTGTGGGCCTGTCACCTAAAGACAAACCCAGCTGTAATTCTGGTGTGTTTATTTTTAGCTTTTTTTTTGGTTTCTCTTTTCTCATGTTTCTGCTTCATATCAGTACTTTTTTGAGCACACTCCCTGCACTCTGTGATCTTCCTTTGATGAGGAGGATCCTTTAAGATAAGAAAAGTGAAGGCTGGCCAGCTGTGGATCTGGTCTACATTTGGGGCTGGCCTATGTCTTGTCTGGCCTTCACATCGTGTGTACTTTTTCTCCTCCTTTCCACCTACCATTAGGATATTATCATCTTTCTTGGCACCTCTTTTGCCTGCTTATATTTAGATCCTGCACTGCCCAAGTGTGTGACCCTTGGTGGGTTCACGTGACTTCTCACCTCTAAAATAGGGATGGTGCCAGGACCTGCCATGGGGATTGTTGCAAAGATTAAGTGGGGGTGGTTATCAAAAGCCTAAGAGTACCATTGAGACACAGTGAGCATACATGAAATACCAACTGTTTATTATCAAGTGCTGCCTAATTGTTCTTTAGGATCAACCATTGTTTATTCACGTAACTATCAAGCTCTTGTTAATCGTTTTCCTATTTTCAATACTGGAGAACAATACTTCATTGAAAGTCATAGTAAATAAAGTGCTAATGTATTATCAGTTTCAAGTAATAGGCTTTATTAAGTGCCTCAAGGGCGCCAGGTCAATGAGAGCCTGACCCAAGTGTTTGCAGCCACAGAGAAAATGGGAAAGGCATTGCAATTTGTGATATCCTGGGATCCACAGCCACGAGTGGTCAAATTGAAACAGGAAACCTCATTCCTCAGCTTGGCTTCAGTTTCTTTCCAAGTCCTACTGCTCTGGCCTGAGAGAGCCTCTGCCCATCAAAATATCGTGTTCTTTGTGTCCCCCAGGCCACTGTAGGGTAGTGAGATATACCAGTAGGGGCCCACCCATGATGTTGCCACCCTCCCTCTCATCTTTCTTGCTCCTTTCCTCTGCCCTCTGGCTGCTTACAGTAACATGCTGGACCACTCCATGGCTGCACCTGAGTCGTGGCTGATGCCACTAGCACTGGCATCCTCTAAGGAAATTTCCTTCCAGACTGGGAAGTTGGTCTAAAGTTAGGGGCTGGACTTCATGATGCACACTGCAGACACCTCTGTGGTTGTGTCTATTGATACCCTTGGTGATGTCTACATGTGGATCTGCTTTGGACAGATCTTGAGTTTTTCAGCTGTATCTGGTGATTACTTGGGTCTCATTTGAGGGAGTGGAAGTGTGGGTAGAGCCAGGATTTTCTGCTGGAATCTGTGGTGCTTCATTAGACTTGGAACCAGGACAGCTGGAACAGAGACTATTCCTAGAGTCTCTGATACCATATATTATTTCTCATATATTTTATTTTGAAAATAAAAAATATATGCACATGACTGAAAAATACAGAGGTGAGGCAAGAGTTACACAGAAGGAGCTGCCACCATGTGCACCTCACCCTAGTCCCCTGAACTACCTGTTAACAACCAGGTACAACAGAGGAAGACTGAGTTTCTTAGACTCCCACCTTTCCTCCACCCTCAGCCAATGGTAGGAATATGATGATTTTAGTTTCTTTCTTAGTTATCATTGACGTTGTAAGTAACTGTAGAGTATAAATATTTAGATATACATCTTGTTGATCCAATACAATAGAATCTTGTGACTTTCCTCTTGTAGGAAGTATATTAGTACTGTGAATTCCCATACATGTCTTGGTATTCTATGGGTATACACATATTTTTTCTTTAGCTTTCTATTTTCTTGGAGTTTCTATTGCCTTTTCTTCTTTCTATTTAAAATTAAATTGTCTCCTTTTATCACATCCTTAATATCTTCCCTCATTTCTAACCTCCCATCTGAAAAGTCACTGCTGGATGCCTTCCTTTTTCCTGTTCCCACCCAACCAATATCTCTCTAGGCCTGGGATTGAGCTGTCATTCCAAGGGCTTTCATAACTGCCTCCCTGGGTTTTTACATGTCAAATGCTATTTCACTACTGCAAATCTGGGACTAATCTCCCAGAGAGCTAACCACTTTTCTTGTGGTTTATTTTTTTAATTGTGTATGGTTTTGAAATAATTTTTAGATTCTGTCTTCCATTTTTTTTCAGACTTACACATTTTAAGAGAATTTCAAACTGTTTTTCCTAATCTCTAAATTTTCTTATTATCTTCCTAAATTTTGTTACTTTCTATGGATGCAATATTTTCTACTTCTCCGAGACTATAGGGAGCATGCATTCTGAACTCTGCTTGAGCAGAGGTCATGGGGCCAGAAGGAAAAAGGAACTTAAAGACTCATTTCTCTGGAGGTGAGTTGTCTGTTTTACCTTACTTGACTTTTTTTTTTTTTTTTTTTTTTTTTTTTTGCATTTTTTAAAACCGTCGAACACTCATGTTTGCCTGTGCAATTAGTAATAAGGCTGAAATGAGGATGGTCACAGGTTCATTTCACATTGGGACAAGAGGAACTGGCCTTCAAATCAGGGTTCTACACATGGGAAGAAAGATTTCCACTGGGAATCCCTAAGCTTCCTTGTTTCCTCTGCAGAAACTTTCACCTTCAGTTGTCCTTCTGCTGCCTTGGCATGGTGATGCTCTTCCTCCACTTGCCACCTGAACACACAACTTTGGACATTGTGCTCATGGCTTTTCCCTTCTCTTTGTCTTGAAGAGAGACAATGCAACCCATTTCTCTACTGTGATGGAACCAGAATGTTCATATTAGAACTGGAAGATGATGTCCTCTACAGCATAGGGCACATAAGCTTCCGCATGAAAGAGGAAATACCAGAAAATAGACACAAGGACAGGAAGATCACTTTGAACTATAAAGGTCCTCAGGGGCAACTGGGTACTGTGTTAGGTGGTCACTCTTCTGTGCAGAAGGAAGGACTGTGTGAGCCTTTCCCTCAGGCCTGTTCTGTGTCTGAGCTCAGGGCCAACTTAATTCTCATTATACAGCCTCATAGATTAGGAAAAGAAAAGAATCTGCCTTCTCAGGCCTCCTGCCCATTCATATTCTGAGCTGCGGATCGTGATTCCTTATTTAAAAACAGCTTCATTGACGTGTGATCAGCATATGGTAAACTGCACATGTGCAGAAAGGAGAACTGATGGTTTTCTCCATGTGAGTATTTCATTCACCACAAGGCCAGAAGTGCTATGAAGGTCATGAAAACGTACCTTCCTCCTGGCAATAATGATCTCTCCCTGGCCAATCTAGTACCACAGATCTGCTTCTTTCACTAAAATTTAGTGGTATTTTATAGAATTACATGTAAATACAGTATGTACTTGGATCTTTGTGCATCGTTCTGATCTGGGTTCTTTTATTCGGCAGAACTACTTTCAGAGTCACTCTGTTCTGATTGCATCAACAGTCCATTCCTTTTTATGCCGAGCCACACACCATGGTGTGGATGTGCCACAGCTTGTTCACCCTTCTTTTGTGTATGGGCATTTGGGGTTCCTGGTTTGGGAACATTGTGTATAAGGATGTCATGAATATTTATTTATGTATATAGCCTGTAAACTCGCCTTCATTTCTCATCATTCATTCCTAGGAGGGCAGTGGCCACATCATGTCATGGTAGGTCTGCATCGACCTTGCTAAGGAACCACTGTGCCTTGTGCTAAGTGTTTTGTCCATTCCCTGCTTTCTGTCTTGCTCCGTCTGATTTAGTCATACTAACCTCTTGTCTCCTTCATCCTCAAGGGCAATAACTTCTTAGCATACCACCCTTCCTTTACACTTGGAATCACCAGCTCCTTCTCTATATGCTGGCTTTGATTCCCTCACTAAAGTTGCCTTCTGTGACCCATGTGTAACACATTGCCCTCAAAACATCCTATGTATGAGAAGGTTTTGGGATAAGAGACTGTTCCTGATGAGTATCAAGTACCTACAATGGCTCTGAATGGAAGAAAGATGACTGGTTGTGTCTTGTCACCCATTGTCCCTGGAGCTCATCTCGATTGATAGAAAGAAGACTGGGTGTGGCCTGGACATACATTCAAGTGACTCACAAACTTTTTCTAAATGACAACTGGAGACCTGGCTGGGGGCTGGAACCTGAAGTTACTTGGAAGTGGTGTGATTGAAAGTGAGTCACTCAATCACCTGATCTTGGCCCTTTTCTCTACATGTGGGATTACCCATACCTGGCAGAGTCACTGTGAGTTCACCTGAGCAAGTCACCTGCACGTGGCGGTGCTCAGAAAATGTTAATTTCCCTTTACTTAAGTGGAATGACACATGGATATTATATGCTGAGGTCTGGATTACAATAGAGCAAGATGCAGAAGACCTTGTAAACCCTGAGGAGACATCACTGATCACTGGGTGTCTGGATAGGCAGCATAGAAAAAGTGACCTGGAGCTGGAAATGGCCAGACGGTGTCTTACAGTTATCTAAACAGGCATGAGTGGGGCAGGAGAGGGATTACCACTTTATACCCACTAGAATGTCTTTTTTGTTTTTTGTTTTTGAAAAATGGAAAGTTGGAGAGTTTCTGCAGCAAATGGAACACTTGTGCATTGCTGGTGAGAATGTGAAGCGGTGGTGAGGGTTGCACAATAACATAAACATACTTACAAATATTTAGATACATGCACAAATGTTTAGATTGGTAAATTTTATGTTATATTACTTTTACCACATACAATAAAGGCTTCCTGAGAACTGATCCTGAAATAGTTCCACGTGGAACAAAACAAGATCCTTCTGTCCCAGAGTGAGTAGGAGCCTTTTATTTTCTTGAAATGGAGTCTTGCTCTGTGGCACAGGCTGGAGTGCAGTGGTGTGGTCTCTGCTCACTGCAGAGCTTTGACTGTGGCCCCAACCAGCTAGTGAGACTCACATTTATTTGGTAAAGAATAATTGACCAAGGCTCAAGTCAACACCACTAAAGGGTAATTGACAGTGTGGAATTCCCAATTAGAAAGCAATTTAGCACTGTACTAAGTCAACCATTAATCTTAGGACCGTATGAGTAAGCAAGCTAGTTAGATAAACACCCCACTTTAGTGTGTTTCTACTCTAACTTACTTAACTAAAGGGAAAAGGCCATTTTCAGCCAAGTTTATTACTGGAGCTTATGTCAACTCCCTAGGCCTTGCAAGAAGGTTTGTATCTGCTAATTTTCCCCACCATCTTGACTGAACCCCAACAGATATCAAAGCAATAACAGGAATTTCTAGAGTACAAATTAGTTTCTGTGAAAATTGAAAAAATTTCAGTACATACTTTGCAATGCTTAATACTTGATACAGATTAGAAATCTGGAGGTTTACCTTCTTAAACCTGCTTTTTCAAAAGTGAACCAAAATGTCAATTCACTTGTTTTTGGTCTGCTCATTTTCCTTCACCTTTTGCGACATGGCACTGCTTTTGATTGACATTTGAATACAGAGATTAATTTATTAAAACATTTCTCACTGTTCTTTTCCTTTTTGCTTTTAGACATTACAAGTGAAACTTCTGGTAATTTCAACAGTGCACACTGTAAATAAGAATAAAAACTGGTCGGCATCTGGCAATATGGTAGAAAAGTAACAGCTCTGATCTGCAGCTCCCAGTGAGACAAACACAAAGGACAGTTGATTTCTGCATTTCCACCTGAATTACCCAGTTCATCTCACTGGACGTGGTTAGACATTGAGTGCAGCCCACAAAAGGCAAGCAGAAGTAGGGTGAGTGTTGCCTCACTCAGGAAGTGTAAGGGGCTGAAAACTTCCTTCTTTAACCATGGAAAGCAATCAGGGGCTGTGCTATCAAGCCCATAACCTGCAGTTTCCCCATGGTTCTTACGACGCACAGACCAGGAGATTCCCTAGTGTGCCTGTACAACCACAGAACTGGGTTTCAAGCACAAAACTGGGTGGCTGCTTTCACAGAGGCTGAGCTAGCTGCAAAATAATTTTCATACCCTAGTGGCACCTGGAACACCAGTGAGACAAAACCAGTCACCCCCCTGGAAAGGGGCTGAAGCCAGGGAGCCAAGTGGTCCCACTGAGCAGGCCCCACTTCCATGGAGCACAGCAAGCTGAGATCCACTGGCTTCAAGTTCTCACTACCTACATAGAAGCCTGAAGTCAACCTAGAATGATAAAGCTCGGTGGGGAGAGGTTCGACCACAATTACTGAGACTTGAGCGTAAGGTTTTCCCCTCAGAGTGTTAAGAAAACTGCCAGGAAATTTGGGCTGCATGGAACTCACAGAAGCATGCAAAGCAGGTGTGGCCACATTGGCTCTCTAGATTCCTCCTCACTGGGTAGGGCATCTCTGAAAGAAAGGCAGCAGCCTGAGTCAGAGACTTATATGTAAAACTCCCAACTCCCTGGGACAGAACACCTGAGAAAAGGGATGGCTGTGAGTGCAACTTCAGCAGACTTAAAGACTCCTGCCTGCTTGCACTGAAGAGAGCAGTGTATCTCCCAGGACAGTGCTCAAGCTCTGCTCAGGGCAGACTGGCTTTTCAAGTTTGCCCCTGACACCTGTGCCTCCTGACTAGGAGACCCTTTCCCGCAGGGGTCAACAGACACTTCATAGAGAAAAGCTCTAGCTGGCACCAGCCAGGTATCACTCTGAGTCAAAACTTCCAATCATTGCTGTTGTGCAACTTCATATGGTGATACCCAGGCAAACAGCAACTGAAGTAGACCAGCAAACTGTAGCAGACCTGCAGAAGAGATGCCTGACTGTTAGAAGAAAAACTAACAAACAGGAAACAGTGACATCAACATCAACGTCAACAAAAAGGACTCTCACACAAAATCCCAGTCCAAAGACATTCAGTATCAAAGATCCCAGGTAGATAAATCCACGAAAAATGAGGAATAGCCAGCACAAAACAGCTGAAAATTCAAAAAATTAGAATGCCTCTTCAACTCCAAATGATCGCAACTCCTCTCCAGCAAGGGCACAAAGGTGGATGGAGAATGAGGTTGATGAGTTGGCAGAAGTAGGCTTCAGAAGGTCAGTAATAACAAAATTCTCTAAGCTAAAGGAGTATGTTCTAAACCAATGCAAGTAAGGTAAAAGCCTTGATAAAACGTTACAGGAGCTGCTAACTAAAATAACCAGTTTACAGAAGAACGTATATGACCGCATAGAGCTGAAAAACACAGTGCAAGAAACATTGTGAAGCAAAAACAAGTATTAATAGATGAATCAATGAAGAGGAAGAAAGATTATCAAAGATGGAAGATCGACTTAATGAGATAAAGCATGAAGACAAGATTAGAGAAAAATGAATGAAAAGCAACAAACAAAGCCTCCAAGAAATATGGGAGTATGTCAAAAGACCAAACCTATAATTGATTGGTGTACCTGAAAGTGATGGGAAAAATGGAACCAAGTTTGAAAACACACTTCAAGACATCATCCAGGAGAACTTCCCAATGGAACAAGACAGGCCAACATTCAAATTCAGGAAGTACAGATAACACCACTAAGATACTCGCTGAGAAGAGCAACAGACATATGACTGTCAGATTCTCCAAGGTTGAACAAAAAGAAAAAATGTTAAGGACAGCCAGACAGACAGGTCAGGTTATCTACAAAGGGAAGCCCATCAGACTAACAGAGGATCTCTCTGCAGAAACCCTACAAGCCAGAAGAGAGTGGAGTCAATATAAAACAACCCTAAAGAAAACAATTTCAACCTAGAATTTTATATTAATCCAAACTAAGCTTTATGAGCAAAATAAAAATAAAATTGTTACAGATAACAAAATGTAGATGGTTTTGTCACCACCATGCCTGCCTTAGAAGAGCTCCTAAAGAAAGCACTAAATATGGAAAGAAAATACCGGTACTCACCTGGTGCAGTGGCTCACGCATGTAATCTCAGCATTTCGGGAGGCGTAGGTGGGCAGATCATGAGGTCAGAAGATGGAGACCATCCTGGCTAGCACAGTGAAACCCTGTCACTACTAAAAATACAAAAAAAATAGCCGGCTGTGTTGGTGGGTGCCTGTAGTCCCAGCTACTCAGACTCACGGGAGGCTGAGGCAGAATGGCAGAAACCCAGGAGGCGGCTTGCAGTGAGCCAAGGTCACGCTACTGCACTCCAGCCTGGCCAACAGAGTGAAACTCTGTCTCAAAAAACAAAAAACAAAACAAAAGAAAATCGGTACTCACCACTGAAAAAAATAGCAAAATATAAAGACCAACAACTCTATGAAGAAAGTGGATCAACTAATATCCAAAACAACCAGCTAACATTCCCATGCCAGGATCAAATTGACACATAAGAATATTAACCCTAAATGTAAATGAAATAAATTTGCCAATTAAAGTACACAGATTGGCAAATTGGATAAAGAGTCAAGACCCTTCGGTATGCTATATTGAGGAGAACCATCTCATGGGTGAAGACACACATAGGCTCAAAATAAAAGGATGGAGGAATATTTACCAAGCAAATGGAAAGTTACCAAAAAAAAAAAAAAAAAAAAAAAAAAAAAAGCAGGGCTTGAAATCGTAGTCTATCCTAAGGCAAACTTTAAGCCAACATAGATCATAAAAGACAAAGTAGGGAGTTGCGTAATGGTAAGGAATCAGTGCAACCAGCACAGCTAACAATCCTAAATGTATATGAACCTAATACAGGAGCACTCAGATTAAAAAGCAAGTTCTTAGAGACTTACACAGACTTAGATTCACACACAATTATAACAGGAGACTTTAACACCCTACTATCAATATTACGCTGATAAATGAGACAGAACTTTAACAAGAATACTCAGGACGTGAACTCAGCCCTTGACCAAGCAGAGCTAATAGACATCTACAGACGTCTCCACCCCAAATCAACAGAATATACATTCTTCTCATCACCACGTAGCACTTATTGTAAAATTGACCACATAACTGGAGGCAAAACACTCCTCAGCAAATGCAAAAGAATGGAAATCAAAACAAACAGTCTCTCGCACCAGAGTGGAATAAAATTAGAACTCAGGATTAAGAAACTTATTCAAAACTGCAAAATTACATGGGAACTGTAAAACCTGCTCCTGATTGACCACTGGATAAATAACAAAATTAAGAAACAAAGAAAGAAGCCGTTTAAAATCAATGAGAACAAAGACACAACCTACCACAATCTCTAGGACACAGCTAACGCAGTGTTAAGAGAGAAATTTATAGCACTAAATGCCCACATCAAAAGTGGGAAAGATCTAAAATCAACACCATAAAATCACAATGAAAAAAACTAGAGGGACAGACATAGTGGCTCATGCCTGATATTTCAGCACTTTGGGAAGTTGTGCCAGGCAGGTCACCTGAGTTCAAGAGTTCAAGACTAGCCTAGCCAACAAACATGATGAAACTCCATCTCCACAGAAAATACAAAGAAAAAGAAAGCCTGGCATGGGGGCTCACACCTGTAATCCAGGATACGTAGGAAGCTGAGTTGAGATAATCTCTTGAACAGAAAAGATAAAAACCACAGTGAGCTGAGGTAGCACCACTCCACTCCAGTGTGCATGACAGAGCAAGACACCTTCTCAAAAAAAAAAAAAAAAATTAAAAAAAGGAAGAAAGAAAGCAAAAGAGCTGGAGAAGCAAGAACAAACATATCCAAAAACTGAGACAAAAAAAGAAATAACTGAGATAAGAACGTAACTGAAGGTGATAGAGTCAGGAAAATCCCTCATGAATCCAGGAGCATTTTTGTTTGTTTGTTTGTTTTTTGTAAAGATTAACAAAATAGATACACTGCTAGCCAGACTAATAAAGAAAAAAAAGAAAAGAATCAATTAGACATATTAAAAAAGGATAATGGGGATGTAAAAACTGATCCCACATAAATACAAACTACCATCAGAGAATACTGTAAACACCTCTATGTAAATAAAGCAAAAAATCTATAAGAAATAAGTAAATTCCTGGACACATACACTTCTGCAAGACTAAACCAGGAAAAAGTAGAATCCCTGAAGAGACCAACAGATTCTAAAGTTGAGGCAGTAATAGCCTACCAACCAAAAAATGCCCAGACCAGACAGATTCACAGACTACTTCTACCAGAGGTACAAAGAAAAGCTGGTGTCATTTACTTCTGAAACTATTCCAAACAATAGAAAGAGAGGGACTCCTCCTGAACTTATTTTATGAGGCCAGCATCATCTTAATACCAAAACCTGTCAGAAACCAAAAAAAAAAAAAAAAAAAAAAAATAGGCCAGTATTCCCGATGACCATCAATGTGAATATTCACAATAAAATACTGGCAAACTGAATCCAGCAACACATCAAAAAGCTTATCCATCACGATCAGATCAGCTCCAACGAGCAAGGCTGGTTTTAACATATACAAATCAACAAACGTAATTCATCACATAAAGAGAACCAAAGACAAAAACCACATAATTTTCTCTCTCGTTGCAGAAAAGGCCTTAGATAAAATTCAACATCCCTTCCCACTAAAAACACTCAATATACCAGGTATCGATGGAATGTATCAGAAACTAACGAGAATTATTTGTGACAAACCCATAGGCAATATTATACTGAATGGGCAAAAGCTGGAAACATTTTCTTTGAAAACACAGAACACAAGGCACAAGACAAGGATGGCTTCTCTCACCACTCGTATTCAACATAGAGTGGAAAGTTCCACCCAGGGCAATCAGACAAGAGAAGCAAATAAAGGGTATTCAAATAAAAATAAAGGAAATCAAATTTTCCCTGTTTTTAGAGGACATAGTTGTATATTTAGAATACCCCAGTATCTCACCTCTAAAACTACTTAGCAGTAGACAAGAAACTTGTCTTTTGTATGAGTTTGCTTAAGCTTATAAGCAACTCCAGCAATCTCAGGCTACAAAATCAATGTGCAAAAATCACAAGTATTTCTATACACCAATAATAGAAAAACAGAGAATCAAATCATGACTGACCTCAAATTCACAATTTCTCCAAAGAAAAAAATAACTAAGAATAAAAATTACAAGAAATATGAAGGACTTCTTTATGGAGAACTACAAACCAGTGCTCAAAGAGAGGACACAAAAATATCATGTTCATGAATAAGAAGAATCAATATCATGAAAGTGACCATGCTGCTTAAAGTAATTCACACATCTACAATGATCTGATCTTTGACAAGCCTGAATAAACAAGCAACTGGGGAAGAATTCCCTGGTATGGGAAAACTGGCTAGCCATATGGAGAAACCTGAAACTAGATCCCTTTCTCACACCACATAATTAACTCAAGATGAACTAAAAGACTTAAACGTAAAACCTAAAACCCTAAACACCCTAGAAGAAAATCTACACAATACCATTCAGGATATAGGCATGGACAAAAACTTCATGGCAAAAAGACCAAAAAACAATTGCAACACCGTCCAAAATTGACAAATGGGACCTAATTAATCTAAAGAGCTCCCCACAGCAAAAGAAAATATCATCAGAGTGAACAGGCAACATACAAAATGTGAGAACATTTTTTCAACCTATCTATCTGAAAAAAGTCTAATATCAAAAACCTACAAGAAATTTAAAAAAACTTACAACAAAATAAAAAACAAATCCCATCAAAAAGTGGGCAAAGGATATGAACAGACATTTCCCAAAGGAAGATATTTAATCAGCAAACAAACATATATAAAAAAAAGCTTAGCATCACTGGTCATTAGAGAAATGCACATCAAAACCACAATGAGATACAATCTCACACCGGTCAGAATGGTGACCATTAAAAAGTCAGGAAACAACAGGTTCTGGTGAAGATGTGGAGAAAGAGGAATGCTCTATACTGCTGGTGTTAGTACAAATTAGTTAAATCATTGTGGAAGACAGTATGGTGATTCTTCAAAGATCTGTAACCAGAAATACCATTTGACCCAGCAATCCCATTATGTGGTG
The DNA here is from genome assembly GCF_000001405.40 of Homo sapiens. Taxonomy (NCBI): domain Eukaryota; kingdom Metazoa; phylum Chordata; class Mammalia; order Primates; family Hominidae; genus Homo; species Homo sapiens. The sequence goes on from NC_000024.10 coordinate 18,173,668, forward strand.
TGCCTCCAGAGGATTATAAATCATTCTACATAAGGAAACATGCACATTTACATTTACTGCAGCACTATTCAGACACAAAAAAGACATGGAACAAACCCAAATACCCATCAATTATGGATTGGATAAAGAAAATGTGGAACATATATACCATGGGATACTATGCAGCCATGAAAAAGAATAAGTTCATGTCCTTTTCAGGGACATGAATGGAGCTGGAAACAATTATTCTCAGCAAGCTAACACAGGAACAGAAAAGCAAACACTACCTATTCTCATGCATAAGTGGGAATGGAACAATGAGGACACAATGGGGCCTGTCAGGGAGTAGGGGGTAAGCGGAAGGAGATCATCAGGACAAATACCTAATGCATGCAGGGCTTAAAACTTAGATGATGGGTTGATGGGTGCAGCAAACCACGGTGGCACATGTACACCAATGTAACAAATCTGCCTGTTCTGCACATGTATCCTAGAAGTTAAATTATAATAAAAAATAGTCAAGTTAAATGACCAACTAAATAGTATCCATGAATTTATGATTATTCCATATATGGCTTTTACTTAATACTTTGTGCTTTGTGTCTCTAGGAAAGCAAAATAAAAATATGTTGTACCAAACATTTTAAAAGAATTTACTAGAAAGCAATTGGAGCCAATTTTTTTATCTGTTGATGAAGACAAGTGTAGATTAAAAACCAACTCTCCTAATGCTTGTCAGTACCGCAAGGTGCTCAGGATCAAAATAAAACTTCCAACCTAAGGATATCTGGCAGCCTCCAGAACTTTAAGAAAAGCCGAGAAACAAAGTATCCAGCTTCAGGCTCTTTCTAGGAGAGCATGCCCAAGGCCTTGGGGACCCTTGGACCCTGGAAGAAGGGCGGAAGTGGGGTAGGTGGGGGCGGTATTTGGAGCCACTGCCCCTCTGGCAGCCACTGCTGCTCCCCATGGATGGCTTGGAGTCTCAGCCTTCAGCAGAATCAGCAGGCTTTCCGCAAACAGTGTTTGGTGTGCCTGCCTGTTTTCCATCTCTGTATCTTCCTTAGTGATGTATCTACTCAGGTTTTACCTTGAAATTGGGTTGCTTATCTTTTTGAGTTTTAGGGTATCCTCGTATATTGTACATACAAGTCGCTTTTCAGATTAGTTTGCTAAATTTTTCTATCTGTGGCTGGCTTTTTGGTTCTCTTTACCGGATTTCACTTATTTTTTTTTGAGGTGATGTCTCATTTTGTCACCCAGCCTGGAGTGCAATGACCCGAACCAGCCTCACCGCAATCCCCACCTCCCAAGTTCAAAGGATTCTCCTTGCTCAGACTCCTAAGCATCTAGGATTACCGGCATACACCAGAAATCCCAGTTAAATTTTTTTATTTTTAGTACAGACGTGACTTCACCATGTATACGATGCTGACCTGCAACTCCTGTCCTCAGGTGATCTGTCCGCTTTGACCTTCAAAAGTAACAGGGTGTTTTACAGATAAGACATTTCATCTTTTAATAAAGTTCATATTATCCATTTTTTTCTTTCATGGACTTGCTAATAAATAATTACCAAAACCAGGCCCATGAAGATACTTTCCAATTACAACTTTGCAGTGAAAAGATTTAAAGTATGGGTATTTTTGACTAATTTTTTAACTATAAAATTTTTGTCTATGTTCATTTGTTTCCATATAGTTTCCAGCAGTTTTCTTGACACTTGTGAAACAGCTTTATCTTTTCCAAAGAATATTCTTCGCATTTTTGACAAAATCAGTTGACTTGGGACAGTTTGGGGGCTATTCTCTTCCACTTATCTGCTGGTCTGTTAAATTATGAATGCCACACTCTTCTTTATTACATTAGCTTTAGTGTAAATATTCATATCCAGATGTGTAATTCCTTTAGCTTTGTTCTTCTTTAGTCTTATTTCATCTATTCTAGGTTTAGGAAGAGTTTGTTGATATATTTACCTGGAATTTGATTGGGATATGTCTGAAATAACCATAAATGTACTTCTCCAGAACAAGAAACGTCTCTTTATTTATTTATTTATTTATTTATTTATTGAAAAAGAGTTGTGTCACCCATGTTGGAGTGCAGTAGCACCATCTCAACTCACTGAGATTCTCCCACTTCAATGACCCAAGTAGCTGGGAACACAGGCGTGCCCACCAAGCTCAGCTTATTTTTTTTTGTATTTTTGGTAGCGTTGGAGTTTCACCCTGTTCCCCAGGCTGGTCTCCGACTCATTGGCTCAAGTGATCTGCCTGTGGCAGCCTCCCAAAGTGCTGGGATTACAGGCGTCTGCCAACATGCCAGGACTCTCTGCATTTACTAATATTTCTGTTGATTTCTCTCAAAGGTGACTTATTGTTTACTGAATGAATTCTGCATATTTTGTTACATTTATACTTAAAGGACTCAATTTTTTGGGTAGTATTGTAAGTGGTGTTTTAATATTTCAAATTCCAATGATTTCTATTCATGATTGCTGATAGACAAAAAATCAGTTGAGTTTTATCTATTGATCGTCTCCTTTGCTTCTTTTTAATCCCCATTCAAGGTTTGGGAAGGTTGGCTCTATTTCACTTCCACTTCCTGAGACTGTCGCCTGGATTAACCCACCCCGAATTTCAGAAATTTTCCCAGGCTACCACCAGAGGGTGCACGGAGCCTACGCACTGAGCATGCAGAGCCCGCAAACAAACTCTCTGAGGAGCAGGGTGTCCTCACAGTGCCTCGGATAGCACTTCCTTCTCCTCAAGACACACCGGAGAGAGGCCGTGGTTTCAGGGTACCTGGGGACACCTGAGGCACGTTCGTAGTGAAGACTAAGCCTCCTTCATCTCAGGACCCGCCCAAGAGTGGCCGCAGCTTTGGCCCACCTGGGGTCGCGTCCACCATGAAGATGAAGTCTCTTTCTCTTCTGGACATGTCCAGGAGTGGCCGTTGCTACAAGACATCTGGTGCTACGACCAGGTGAGAATAAAGACGTCTCCTCAGGACCCTCCCAGGAGAGGACATGGCATTCAGACATCTGGTGGACAGGTGAGGAAAAGACCCCCTGTCTGCAGCACCCAGAACTGAGGAGGGTCACTGCTCTGAGCCTTACTTCCCAGCCCTGGCCTCCAATTCTGACTTTACGAAAGTGTCCCTTGAGCGAGGCAGTGACCACGCATTGTCACAGCTACCAAAGTGTGGTTTGCAGATGATCTGAGCTTGTTTCTGGCGGAGATTCTGTTACAGAGAAAGGAGAGGTGCTGAGTGGAACTACTATGACAGGCTGAGGTCAGGGGAGACATCACAACCTCCAACAACACTTTTTTCATGCTTTAATGACTCATTTTTCTTAGAGAACTAAAGTAGTTGAAACAATATAGAAAAAATTTTAAGTAGGCATATTAGAAGCTGAATTATTATTTAAGTTTAAATATATGGTATATGCCCGGTTAACAACATTTTTTCTTTTCCTGAGACAATCACAGTTTAATTGAGAGTGGATTTGTAATGGTGATGAAAATGTCTACTTTATAAAGGTTGACATCCTACATTAGCTGAGATATACTAACAGTATCAACCTTTGATATTAAAACATAAAATTAATTGAAGAATTCTGAGCCAAATATCAGTGACAAATGGTCCATGACACAGCCATACTCAGGAGATCTTGAGAACATGTGCCCCAGGTGGTGTGTGCACAGTCTATATTTATGCATTTTCAGGAGACATGAGACATCAGTCAAACACATGTAAGATGTACATTAGTTTGGTCAAGAAAGGATGGACAACTTGAAAATAGCGATGGGGCTGCACTTTCAAGTTACAGGTAGATTTAAATATGTTTTCATTGGCAGTTGGCTGAAAGAGTTAAGTTATTATCTAAAAACATAAAATCAACAGATAGGGATGACTGGGTTACAATAAATAGTAAGGACTGTAGAGACCAAAGTTTTATCATGATGATGAAGCCTCCATGTAGCAGGCTTGAGAGAATAGAAGGTAAATATTCCTTATCAGACTTAAGGTATGCATTGCTGTTAATGATGGTCAACTTTTTCTAAAGTTCAAAAGGGAGGAGCGTGTAATGAATCATGTGTGTCCCTCTTTCTTGTCGGGAACTGAACCACTTTTGGAATGCCTTTGGTCAAAAGGAGGGGTCCATTCAGATGACTGTGGTGGGTGGGGGGACGTGAGAGTTATTTTTTTTTACAAGTGTTTCACTTCTATTTAAAAAACTATAACCTATTAAATTGTTATAAATTATAATTAATCTAAGAGTAAAAAGGGATTTCTTAAATTAAAAAAAAAATCGAACACTAAAAATCCTAAGCCACCACACTTTGCCAGATCTTTTATTCTTTCTCTTTTTAAAGTTGTCAGGGATGCTTTGCTTGTAAGTCATATAGTTGACTCATTGACCATCGGGGTATAGTTCTGTTGCTTCTTCAAATATTGTACCTAGTAACCTTCCCAAATTGTTTTTAAGTAAAGTTCTTAAATTGTAGCAGTAAACAAAATGAAAAGACAATGTTACACAATACTGAGGTTTATCACAGGACATAAAAAATTTCAACTCTTATTCCTTTTCTTCTTCTTCTTCTTTTTTTTTTTTTTTTTTTTTTTTTTCTGGAGACAGGGTCTCATTCTTTTTCCCAGCCTGAAGTGCGGAATTGCCATCCTGGCTCGCTGCAGCCTCTAACTGCCAAGCTGAACTGATCCTCCACCTTAGACTCAGCTATCATCTCTGGCTAACTTTTTGTATTTTTTGGTAGAGACAAAGGTTTGCCATGTTGCCTGGACATGTCTCAAATGTCTGAACTCAAGTGGTCTGCCTGCCTTGGCCTCAAGAAGTGCTGAGATTATAGGCATCAATAAAACATTTATGTTAGGGTTAGATAAAAATCAATCTTTAGGCTAAGTTATGAACATGTATATAATGCAATTTTTTATTTGTGCCTAATTTTCATCATTTTCTGTGTTGACATTACTCATTTTAAAGTCACATTCAAGGGATAAGGCAAAATCACCTGTGAATTGGCATATTTGTTTATTTCTCTGTTTGGGAAAATGTCCTTAGTTTTTTCACGATGCAAAAAAATTTCAATTCTGTTATGCAAAAAACAGAAGAGAATCTTCTTTGCAATTAATTTTATAGGCCCCTTCACACAGGGAATGTGCTATTTATAAAAAAAAAAAAAAACTGAACTACAGATCTTAAACACTGAAAAAAATTAACAGTTTATTATAATTTATTTTATCCTATCAATTAATTGTATTTATATACAATCTTGAAAGTTTACAGTCATCAACAGTTCTACTGCAGTTTCAGGTGAAATGGGAATTTAGAAATTTCTATGGAGCTGTAGGCGTAGTGAAACATTTTGTTAAAATATGTCCGTGCTTTTGGCAGCACTTGTGAAGGGATGCCTCCAAATTAACCTCAATGCTTTTCTTCTCAGCAAAATGACCTGGGCCACTCAGTATGACTTTCTTTGTTGCTGATGTTCATGCATGTTCTCTTTTTACCATAAATTTATGACTCTGAAGATATCCATTTGACATGGTGGCATTAGGGCTTTCAAAATGACTAGATTTTCTACTCGCCATCCATTAGGTACTTACATGTTTCTACTTCGACTCCCCCAGAACATGAGTAGTTTCTGGTTAGCCCCACGGAGAGTGCAGCACAGGTCCCAATATAGCAATGCAGACTCCACCCCAAGGCCACCCTTCACCCCTAGCTGCATGATGCTGTGCATTCCAGGGAAGTTGGATGACACACAGCTTGTTGTTTTTACAAACAAAATTATTGTGTTAATTTCATTTTCATATGGTTTATTGCTAGTGTGTAGAAATAGATTTTAGTGTATCGATATTTTATACTGTATGTTTGTTTAATTTGTTTACTAGATTTTATTATTTCTTGTTGTTTTCTTATTTTCTGTATATGAGATCATGAGATCCATGAGTAGATAGTTTTACTTTTATTTTTCCACATATCAATAGCTTCGTATATATTTTTCTCTTCCAATTATTTTGGATGGAACTTCTAGTACTGTATCAAATACAATGATGAAAGTGTGCATCAGTGCTGTGCTCCTCATCTTAAAGTTTTTGTTCCCAACAATTCAGATGCTGATTGTTACAGGTTTTGCATAAAGATGTTTTATCATATGAAAGAAATTTGAAACACAGTTTATTGGATGTTGTTAACATTAAATATGTTGACTAACTTTAAGTATTTTCTGTAACAGTTGAGATAAACATGTACTGTTTTCCCATCATTTAGTTTACATGGTACATTGAAAAACGATGGCTTCAGAATGTTAAAGACAAACAAACAAACCCTAAATTTTCTAAAAAATGAACATAATTATTGAGGTGCATAATGTCTTCCCCATGTAGCAAATTTCATGTACTATTATTTTGTTAAACATTATAATGTATCTAATTATCATATTTATTAACATTTAGAGTTTTGTCCCAGTTGTATCATCTGCTTAATTCAATTTTCAATTGGAGTTAATAATAGTTAAGGTTTAGTATACTCTTATGGGCATTAGGGGTTAGAGATGAGAGTCACAGACAATATATTTAAAATTCTTTTGAAGGGTGATAGGATGACATTAAGAATGGGATAGAAGTTTGGGATTAGGGATAGGGGTTTACAATTGCAGAAATAAGTTTAGATTGAGGGTTAGGTCTGGGGTTGGATTAGAGGTTAGTGTTGTGGTAGGATTAGGGTTATGGTTAGGATTAGGATTAGGGACAGGGGTAGTTGGTGTTATGTTTAAGGCTAGGGTTAGAATCAGAATTAGCTGTTAATTTTAAGATCAGGTTATGTTTAGGTTTAGAGTAAGAAATAGGCTTACAGTTAGAGATTGGGGTTAGTGTAGGGTTAGGTTCTGGGTTAACATCATGGTGAGGATTAGGATTAGTGCCAAAGGTGAAAGTTGAGGTGACAGTGAGGGTTAAGGTAAGAGGGTTAGTGCATTAGTGTTAGGGTTTGGGTTTAGGGTTAGTGTTAGGATAAGAATAAAGATTTGGTTTAGCATTTAGGGTTCATGTCCTGGTTAGGGTTTCAGTTTAGCCTTACAGTTAGTGTTTAAGGTTCAGTTTTATTTTTAGGGTTATTGTTTAGCAATTAGGCTTAGGGTCAGCTTAGGGTTAGGAGAAGGGGTTAGGGTTTGGCCTGGTGTCAGGGTTTAGATTTAGTGTTACAGTGGGGTTAGGTTTAGGGTTAAATTTGGGATTGGGCTTATTGTATAGGATTATAGTTAGAGTTTAGGTTTCAGTGTTAGAGCTATGGTTGCAGTTGCATTTGAGGTTGTGGGTTAGAGTTAGGAGTAGTGTTAGTGTCAGGGTTTTAAGATTAGGGGTATGGTCAATGTATGGTTAGAATTAGGGTTAGGGTAGATTTGATTAGGGATATTGGTTAGGTGTTAGCTTACATTTTTAAGGTTCACATTTTAGTATTATGGTTACAGTCAAGGTTGCATTTAGGATGAGGTACGAAGTTAGCTTTAGGGATTAGAGTTAGAGTTAGGGGTTAGGGTTCATTGTCTAAAATTAGTGTTAGAGTTAGGTTTGGTTTAGTATTTAGGTTAGGGTTTTGGTGAGTGTTAGGGTTTAGGGTAGATTTAGGGTTAGGGGTAGGTTTAGGGTTAGGGGTTGGTGTAGGGATATGTACAGCGTTATGGGTTGGGGTAGGGTTACATTTATGGCTAGCGATATGTTTTGTTAATGGTTCAGGTTGGGTTTATATGAGGATTAGGGTTAGGGCTTCAGGGTTATTGTTAGTGTTTCAGCATTAGTATTAGGGGATATATTTAGGGTTAGATGTCTTTTTCACCCATCTCAACCCATGGAAGAATCAGCACACTCTTTCTGCCTTCTGAAGCTCATATGTACTCCATACGAATTTAGATTATTTATTTATTTATTTGTTTATTCATTTTATGTATTTATTTATTTATTTATTTGTTTTTGGAGACAGCGTTTCGCTCTTGTTGCCATGACTGGAGTACTATGGTGTGAACTCGCCTTACCACAACCTCCACTTCCCACTTTCAAGTGATTGTCTTGCCTCAGCTCCTGAGTAGCTGGGATTAAAGGCATACACCATCACACTTAACTAATTTTGTATTTTTATTAGAGATGGGGTTTCTCTATGTTTGTCAGGCTGGCCTTGAATTTGAACCTCAAGTGATTCATCGGCCTTGGCCTCCCGAAGTGCTGGGAACACACAAGTGAGCCACCATGCCCAGCATCAGATTTTGAAATAACTTGACTTAAAGTGGAGCTACCAACTATATGCCACTTCTCTGCTGTGGGTTGTACACTTCTTGGGATTGCATGGCTGCAAATAGATAAGTCTCCTCCAAACTTAAAGCTGCAGATACATCTCAACAAACTTCCTGCAGATAGAAGCTACCCACTCTGAAGCTTCTCTCCACTGAGGCCTTCAGAGATGTTTTAAAAACCTGCTTTTCCACTGAAACTGTTCACTCTCGCTCCTGTCTTCACTGAGTCTTGCACAGATGTAGATATGTCCTGTTTTTGAAATGCAGTTACCCATTTTCTCTCTTGAGAGCTGTACCTTCATCCAATAAAGCATCTATTTACCTTGATTATTCTCCTGTTGTCCAAATACCTCATTCTCCCTGGATATGCATCAAGAACTCACGACCCACTTAATGGTGCACAAGGCTGAAACACAGAAACCCACACTTACAATATTGTTGATTACAGGAAAAAAAAAGATAGAAGAGGTTCAGCCCTTAAAGAACCCAGGCTGAAACCTTTTCTAAGCCAGGTCTGTAACACAATCTTTGGGTCTTTGCAGTTTCTGGAATTTCTAAGCTTCTGGATGCCATGGCATTCCTGAGTGCCTCTGGAGGAAACAGGTTATGGTATGCCTGATCCAGCCAAAAATAAGTAGGGACCTGGCTCCTGATCTGGTACCTGGAACTTCTCACCTTATCACAGCTGACATGCTTGGAGGTGGCAAGTGGCTGGACTCAACAGTTGCTCATTCAAAGATCTCTCTCTACTCTGTGCCTGGCTCACCCATAGCAGGAATGCGTGATATTGTTTAGGGCTATTAAAATAAATTAATCAATCTTGCAGCTAATGATGTATTTTGCTCAGCTCAGTTTTTGTGTCCTGAGCAGACAGACTGACTATTAAAACTTATCAATTTTCCTTTGCATATACTTGAACATAGATTCTATTCCTTGTGCTCAGATTCAGATTTTTTTGGCACATCACTCTCTCTCATTGGCCTCTTTCAACTTCATCTTAATGTTACAGTAAATAAGGGCATTATTTTTCTCTAGCACAACTGAATTATATGAAGCAAATCCCTTAATTTGTATCATAACCACTTGGGGGAAAAGTTACAGTTCAAGACACCTGAGAGACCAGGTCTGTGGCACATGCCTCCCATGCTTTCAGCTTTCTCCCACCAATCAACATTACCTTGGCCGATGCTTCATCCATCATCTTGTGAAATTTAATGGTAAACAAGCCACCTGGGGTCGGTCCAAAAGTCACAGAAGGGGTTTAAAACCAAGCCTTTTAACCAAATCACAAAGAGGCAGTATGGATGCAGCTAGTCAAATGGCTGGGCTATTGGCTGATACAATTGGCTTCTCAAACTGAATGAAATTATTCACAGTGTTCTTTATGGTATCCACTATTTCAATGCTTGCTCTGTTTCTGTCATTTCTTAAATACACACAAAATCAAGACCTCAGCAAAGGACACAACCAGCTGGAGTGGGCAGCATAAACTTCCTGTCATCTGCAGCAGCCCTATGCAGAACATTCTTGATTTTTTTCATTACTTCTATATTTAGTGAGTTATTCTCTGTCAATCTTGTTGATAGTTTCTGGGTAAAGCCATCATTTTCCCTCACCGAAATGTCTCCGAGTCTACTGGCATTTTCTGTTAGCCTTATGGTAAAATACATGCTTTTGACAAAAGGCTGGTCTTTTTCATCATCAATAATCTTTCTTTGCCCCCCTCTCACACTTGGAACAAATATATGCAAGTTTTTTGTTCTGTTGGCTGTTCGTGGAATTGCTTATACCAATGTACCTTCTTTGCTGGCTAGGCCTGTAACCATGGAAGCAGTAACCAAGCCAGACCCCTGAGACATTAGTGGGTGTATCTTGCACCTGTTTTCTCCTCCAGTCTGTTCTGCACCAGGACATAATACAGCCCTGAAGGGGTTCTCAGCTGCCACCTTGAGCACCATGGTGTCCTGCTGATCCAGCAAAATAGGATCCAGTTTCCCGAGTTATTGAAATCCACTGTGTTCTTGCTGTTAAAAGTGCAAGTGTCTTGATAGTTTAATTTCTTAGCTCCATATTCCTTGGGTCGAAGAGAGGTGAAGCTGTGTTTCTCCTAGCGTTGTGGTTGGTAGCAAACAACTGGCAGTTTTTGGATGTGTGTTTGCAAGTCACTAGCGTTTTAGGAAGGTTCTTAAAAAAGTTGGAGTTGGTAGATCTGGAAGTTCCTTTTATGGCCTTGCTTGACAATGTTCTGCTTGTTTCCAGTCCGTGTCCTTCTTTTTCTGTTTTTTAATCTGTCATCTGTTAAAGTCATAAATACATTTTTCACAGTTTATGAAGTGCTGCTCCACTCCCCAAGTGTTATCCTGTTTGTCACAGCCTTTCCACTGAATGAAATACTCTGCCTTCCCATTTTTGTCTTGTCTTTCGTCAACAACAGTTTCAATCTCAAACTCCTGGGATGCCATGAAGGAAGAGATAGAATTGGAGCCATTATTGTGTCATTTTTCTTTCTGTTGAGTCTCCACATAGTCACTGCTTTCTGCCTCCATTTCTGCACCAGCCCTGGGTATGGATGAGCCTGTTCCGCTTTGTGGCCACTGGTGTAGTAAAAGTTGTGTGAAGAAGCAGCTATGCTATTTGCCTTAGTATCTCCTCACTTATTCCATGTTGGGACAGCTCAGGGTTCTGTTTATCATGCCAAGGTGTCTGACAAGGTAGCCTCAGGTACTCCTACTTTCTGGTGTAGTGCAGAGAGCTTTCTACCTGGCTATAACTCTTTGCTTTGTAGTTGCTCCAGTGATTATATTGAACATTCTAAAAGTAAAACACTGAAATCACATTAGTTTATTCTCAGTTAACATAAAAAACTCTTACTCCTTTATAGCATGGCCTGCTTTATTTCAATTACTGAGTTCTCAAAATGATAACAATATGCATTCTATCTCAAAAACACAAGCTAGTGAGTTTTTTAAAATAAAATAGTGTATTAAATTATGTGGAGAACATATTGTGAAGGTACACATTTTTTTTTATCTTTTGTAGTTGTTCATATATTTATCTGTACTTTATTCTTTGTTTATTAATATTTCTGTTCAGTGTCCTTTCATTTTACCCCGGAATAATCCATAAGGCATTTCTTAAATGGTTGTCTACTGGCAAAAGAATGTGGCTTTTATTTGGGAATTTCATAACTTCTCACTCACTTTTGATGGACACTTTGTTTAAACATAACATTTCTCTTTGAAAGTTTTTTCTTACTGCACTTGGAATATATGAGGCTACTCTGAATTTTTAGACATTCCCCTATTATTTATGAGGGTTTTTTGTACAATACTAGTCAAGATTTCTCTCGCTGCTTTCAAGATTCTCTTTGTCTTTGTTTTAGACCGTTTAACTATCATGTATGTTTGAGTGTGTTTCTTTGAGTTTATTTTACTTGGAGTTTGTGGAGTTTCTTAGATATTTATTACCTTAAATTTGTAACATTTTTGACCACTTTTTTTTAGTCTCCCTATTTCTTTGTCTCTTCTCCTTGAATTTCTAAGAGGCATAAGTAGGTCTGCTTGATGGTGTCACACTGGTTTCTAGATGTTTTCATATTTCTTTATTTTTTTCTCCTCTTGACTTAATAATTTCAATTGCCTCTTTTATTCAATTTGCTGACATTTTGTTCTATATGCTCAAGTCTCCTTTTAAATGTCTGTAGTAATTATTTATTTATTTATTTATTTGGGATGGAGTCTTGCTCTGTCATCAGGCTGGAGTGCAGTGGCACAAACTTGGCTCACTCCAACCTCTGCATCCTGGGTTCAAATGATTCTCCTGCCTCAGCCTCTTGAGTAGCTGGGACTACAGATATGTGTCACCACGCCCAGCTAATTTGTGTATTTTTAGTACAGATGGGGTTTCATCATGTTCCTCAGCATAGTCATGACTTCTTGACCTTATGATCTGCCACCTAGGCCTCCCGAAGTGCTGGGATTGCAGGCCTCTAGTGAATTTGTGTGTGTGTGTGTGTGTGTTTAGTAGAGTTGGGGTTTCACCATGTTAGCCAGGATGGTTTCAATCTCCTGACCTCTTGATTCACCCAACTCAGCCTCCAAAGTGCTGGGATTACAGGAGTGAGGCACCATGCCCGGCCATGAATTTTAATGTCAGTTGTTTTATTTTCATCTCCAAATTTTTTTTTTTCCTGAGAGACACTGAACCTGGCTCAGAATTTTTTTTCTAAGTTTGAAAATAATTTGTCATGCTTTCCCAAGAACCTGTATTATTTTAGTTTCAATCTCTGTTTCTTTGAACCTAAAGTAAGACGTGCATAGACATCACGTTTGTGAATTTTTCTTTTAAAGGTGCATTTGTGCCGGTCTGTGTGTTTTTATGTAAGAGCTCACATTTACAGTTATTACAAGCAAAAAAATTACTTACTGTGACATTTATTTACTTTTTTTATGTTATTTTTCTTATTTGATCCTCAATTAATCCTTTGTCCATTAAAAAAAGTTAACTTTTTAAACCTTTTTTATTATTTTCATGTCATTATTAGTTATATTTGGGATTTTAATTATATTCTAAACATAATATAATCTTCTTTGAATAATATTAACTTGTTTGAATAATCAAAATTTTAATTTCAACACTATAAATATATGCTGCTCCTGTACTTTTCTATCTTTCTCAATATAAATTGAGTCAGATTATATCTGTACACCCTGAGTGTCCATTAATGTAAATTTGTAAATTTTTATGTAATAGCTGCTTATGAGATCTGTAATAGTAATAGCTAACTTTGCCAGGATTGCAATAGTAATAGCATTTTTTTTTAGGGAATGGTTAATCACACATTCTTTTAGATTTTCTATATCTAGACATTTTTTGCTTGAGTATTATTTTTACAAGATATAGATTTTCTTGATTTCTCTAAGGTGTTTTTTTTTAGTTATTGATAGCTTAGAATGCATTCCATTAGCATTACGAATAACAGCAATATAAAAACTATTATTTTTTTAAAAACTTGATCTGTATTAACAAATCTGTTGTATTGTCTATTGTATGAAATAACTGTATTATTGCTTTCAACAACTTAACATTTTGTTTGTGACCAATTCCTGGTATTTTCAACCAAGAGTGACTTCTGAGTTTGACAAAACAGAAATAAATACGTTTCATCAATTCTTTATTTTTCTTCTAGAAAGACTACAACAAACGCAATAAATTAGCACACAAGTGCTTCTTCACTCCTCCCAGAATTAGGAACCAGGGCCTGAAATGGAAAATGCAGATTTCAATTTCGAAGCCTTCATCTGTGCCTGGGAGGTAGTATGGCAATCCAAAAAAATATTTACTACTTTAAAATTGTCTCTTTTGATGGTTTCTTGATTGATACAAACCACTGATTTACAGGGTTCAGACAGTTTTTGATTGGTTTGATGTTTCTTTGAATGGTTTGAATCTGCTGCCAGCCCTGCAGTTTTGCCCTCATTTTTATGTGGGAAGCACTGATTGTTTTGTAATGTCAGAGTTTATTTTTATTTAGGAGATCTATTATTTGTCCCATGAAAATATTGTTTAAAATGCTTAAATTGAATTTTACACTTCTAATTGGTGTTTCTAATTGTTAGGTTTTTGTTTTAGTGGTTACAGTATGAAGTTTGTTGTTTGCTTTTTATTAATTGATGTTATCAATTTCATATAAAAGGCAAGGACAATATTCAGTATTATGAATTACAACTTGGTTTTATGTAAAACATGTATACAATTATTTGTTTACAAAGTGACTTTCAAGTACCTATCTAAATAAAACAATAAGGGAATAATTATGTAGGCATGCAGCAAGATTTACAAGTGTGATGATCTCTGGCAGAAGCCTGCATAAATTGTTTGAAAAACAACCAGGTCACTGTGGATGGAACAGACTATGGAAGGAAAATGACTGTAGACAATGAGATTATAGGGGAAACACACAGTCGATGTGATTGTCTAGGATTTCCATAGGTCAGTAGATTTTACATTAGTTTTACTCTAAGCCAAGTTCATGACTGGAAGTGGAATTGGTAAGATTATTACTAGCCTCTAGTGCCAAGAGGCTAGAAATGCTGTTGAATATCTTAAAATCTAGTCTCAGGCACCTTTCAGCAATTAACAGTATTGAACTATCTCTCCAGAAAATTGTAAAAAGAAGCACACTTTTTAGAAAACATTGATTTTATATTTTCAAGGTTACTTAACTCAATCTTTGGTTTCTGTAAATCAGAAGGATTTTAAGAAGCTCTTGTAAAGTTCATTTGATTCAAGTTAGGGTAACTGTTAGTAAAGTGAAGTCAGTTCAGTTAATCAAGAATTAGAAAGTAAACTGTAGGCCAGGTGCGGTGGCTATAATCCCAGCACTTTAGGAAGCCAAGGTGGACCGATCACAAGGTCAGGACATCAAGACCATCCTGGCTAACACGGTGAAACCCCATCTCTACTAAAAATACAAAAAAAAAAAATTAGCTGGGCATGGTGGCGGGTGCCTGTAATCCCAGCTACTCAGGAGGCTGAGGCAGGAGAATGGCATGAATCCAGGAGGTGGTGCCACAGCGCTCCAGCCTGGGTGAGAGAGTGAGACTCCATCTCCAAAAAAAAAAAAAAAAAAAAAAAAAAAGAAAGTAAACTATCTATTTCCTTTTTTCTCCACCTTTCTTTCCCATTAATTTTAAATATTTCTGTAAAACACTAATATAGCCAAATAAAACCCTAGGCACACTCTGTTTTTGGGATATCATGGAGAACACTCAAAGGCTTTTGGGACAGAACTAATCTTGAATACAACTGGAAGTCATACAGAATACAGATACATATACGTGCATTAGTGCAATTCATTATGCATACACACTAGGCATAATGATTGTCATAAGACAAATATTAAATGTCTTATGACATAAACTTTGCTAAGATTTTACAATAACCAAGCCAAATGGAAACCAAGATTTCAAGGATTATAGCCAGGGTCAGAGAATTCTACGTGATGAGTAGAATGAAAACTCAAGCATCTTCTAGGAGAGGTCATGACTGTTGCCATAACCAGCACAGGGATTATCTCTACAGAAACAAGTGAAAGGGCTGATGGCAGCATGAACCACATTCTTCCTGGAAGCAGAAACATAATTTGAGATTATCTGAATGGCAGAGCTGAATGACCTGGAACACAAACAGGGATAAAAGTTTCCCCTTGCTTATCACATTGTGGTAAGACAAAAATAAAACAAGAGCTGTGGCCTTTCAGTGTTCACAGACCTAGGAGCTCTCAAAGCCAGGGAGAGCCATCACACCCTTTGGGGCTTTACTTTTTCCGGCATCTGCAAGATTCTGGGTATCACTACATTCCCCAGTATCAGCTGTGGAAGCTGCTTGCAGTAGGCCTGGTCCAGCTGCAGTTTTTCAATGATCTAGCAGTTATCTTGGCACCTAAAACTTCCTGGTCTGATACAGCTGGCATGACTGATCATGTTTAGCAGCTGGAGTCCACACTTGCTCATACACCACTCACCACTCATCCATGTTTGCCCTTGGCAGGTGATAACTCCTGGCTGTTAACACCAGCTGAGTGCAGCATGTCAGGTAGTGTGGGTAGAACAACTTTGCAGGCCTGATTAAAGCTCAGGGAAAGGCACCACTGGTCACAGAGGTTTTCATCTGGCAAAGTGACTCCCGTAAAATCCCATAGCAATAGAAGCATAGCTGGTTATGTTTAAATGGCTTACTTTTTTCGGTTCATGAAATAATGATTATTCAGCGTCCTATATTTTGGTATTTTTTAACCTCATTTGCAAATGATTATCTTTCAAAATTTTTACAGAATCAAATTTGAAAAATTATTATTTGTATTGAACAACGTGATTGGTCTTATGTACACTGCATTATTTTAGGATGGAGTTTCACTTTTGTCATCCAAGCTGGAGTGCAATGGCATTTTCTCAGCTCATTGTACCTCCTGCCTCTGCTTCCCACAGAGCTGGAATTACAGGAACCCACCATGATGTGCAGCATGGCATTGGAGTTCAGATCAGCATTCTCCTAGTAGATTATGAAGCTTACTTATGAAAGAGTATTTCTAATTCCTGGGCTTTGATGTTGTGTACTTAATATAATTTCTGTTTGAGACTCACTTTTGCTCGGGATTGTAATATGATGAGCAGCATTTCTGGCATTTTCTGCTACATGCAATACTAAAAACCATTTTCTGTGGTTGAAATACCCTAACATATTTGTGTCTCATGGAATCTAAATTGTTGGCATTTACTATTCTAGAGAGTTCTGAAGAAGAAATTAAAAGCCACTTTTTAAAATTTTGCAGAGGCCAGGAGAGGTGGTTCACACCTGTAATCCCAGAAACTTTGGAGACTGAGGTAGGAGGATCACCTGAGTTTAGGAGTTTTAGACCAACCTGGTCAATAGGGTAAAACCTCGTCTTCACTAAAATTACACACACACACACACACACACACAAAGAAAAATCAGCTGGGTGTGGTGGTGGACAGCTGTAATCCCAACTACTCAGGAGACTGAGGCAGGAAAATCACTTAAATCTGGGAGGTGGAAGTTGCAGTGAGCTGAGATCACACCATTGCACTCCAGCCTGTATGACAAGAGCAAACCTCCGTCTTAAAAAAATTTTGCATAAATTTTATATGAGATGTCATTTTTCTCTAATTTTTGACTATTCTAAAATCCTGATATTTTCTCTAACTTGCTGCTATCCTAACATTCTGTCATTTGTGAAATATACCAGGGTGTCCTGCAGGTACCGTGGAACTTAATATAAAACAATATTAAATTAATTAAATATAAATAAAAAGCTTTTTTTTTTCCAGATGTGAGGTTATAGTAGCTTTAAAACGTGTGCCACACATTATTTAAAACATTTTGTAATTACAAATCAGCACCGTCACAAACTGCATTGAAAAGCAAATAAATAGTATATCTCAATTTTTAGCTGATTGAATTTCTTTTCTTTTATTTTTAGAATGAAATCTCACACTATCTCTTTGGCTGGAGTGCAGTGGTGCAATCGTAGGACACTGCAACCCCCTGCCTCCCAGGTTCAAGTATTTATTCTTCCTCAGCTTCTTGAATAGCTGAGAATACAGATGCACACCACCACACCTGATGGATTTTTAGCATATTGGCCACACTTGTCTCAAGCTCCAGACCTCAAGTACTCTGCCTGCCTTGGCCTCCAAAAGTACTGGAATTACATGTGTGAATCACCATGCTTGGCCCCTGATTGAAATTCTAATTCAAAAAAATCCCTCTTGCAAAACCTTATTTTCTATATTATATTTTTGATGAGTTTCTTTATATGTCTCATAATTAAAGCAAATGGTATCATTTTAATGTATTTTCTTATACTTGAAAATGAATTTATTTTTATTAATCTGTAATTAAAATAGTAGGTATATTTAGAATGTTAATTTGCTGTGTGTAAACATGATTAGAAATTTCTTTAAAAAACTAATTTGGATAATTAATTACATTAGTTGATTGTACTTGTGTTATTTTCCTCAGGATTTTCTTTTCTTTTCTTTTATTATTATTATAATTTAAGCTTTAGGGTACATGTGCACATTGTGCAGGTTAGTTACATATATATACATGTGCCATGCTGGTATGCTGCACCTATTAACTCGTCATTTAACATTAGATATATCTCCTAATGCTATCCCTCCCCACTGCCCCCACCCCACAACATTCCCCAGAGTGTGATGTTCTCCTTCCTGTGTCCATGTGTTCTCATTGTTCAATTCCAACCTATGAGTGAGAACATGCAGTGTTTGCTTTTTTGTCCTTGCGATAGTTTACTGAGAATGCTGATTTCCCATTTCATTCATGTCCCTACAAAGGACATGAACTCATTATTTTTTATGACTGCATAGTATTCCATGGTGTATATGTGCCACATTTTCTTAATCCAGTCTATCGTTGTTGGACATTTGGGTTGGTTCCAAGTCTTTGCTATTGTGAATAGTGCCACAATAAACATACATGTGCATGTGTCTTTATAGCAGCATGATTTATATTCCTTTGGGTATATACCCAGTAATGGGATGGCTGGGTCAAATGGTATTTCTAGATCTAGATCCATGAGGAATCGCCACACTGACTTCCACAATGGTTGAACTAGTTTACAGTCCCACCAACAGTGTAAAAGTTTTCATATTTCTCCACATCCTCTCCAGCACCTGTTGTTTCCTGACTTTTTAATGATTGCCATTCTAACTGGTATGAGATGGTATCTCATGGTGGTTTTGATGTGCATTTCTCTGATGGCCAGTGATGGTGAGCATTTTCTCATGTGATTTTTGGCTGCATAAATGTCTTGTTTTGAGAAGTGTCTGTTCATGTCCTTCGCCCACTTTTTGATGGGGTTGTTTGTTTTTTTCTTGTAAATTTGTTTGAGTTCATTGTAGATTCTGGATATTAGCCATTTGTCAGATGAATAGGTTGTGAAAATTTTCTCTCATTTTGTAGGTTGCCTGTTCACTCTGATGGTAGTTTCTTTTGCTGTGCAGAAGCTATTTAGTTTAATTAGATCCCATTTGTCAGTTTTGGCTTTTGTTGCCATTGCTTTTGGTGTTTTAGACATGAAGTCCTTGCTCATGCCTATGTCCTGAATGGTAATGCCTAGGTTTTCTTCTAGGGTTTTTATGGTTTTAGGTGTAATGTTTAAGTCTTTATTCCATTTTGAATTAATTTTTGTATAAGGTGTAAGGAAGGGATCCAATTTCAGTTTTCTACATATGATAGCCAGTTTTCCCAGCACCATTTATTACTAGGGAATCCTCTCCCCATTGCTTGTTTTTCTCAGGTTTGTCAAAGATCAGATAGTTGTAGATATGCGGCATTATATCTGAGGGCTTTGTTCTGTTCCATTGATCTATATCTCTGTTTTGGTACCAGTACCGTGCTCTTTTGGTTACTGTAGCTTTGTCGTATAGTTCGAAGTCAGGTAGCGTGATGCCTCCAGCTTTGTTCTTTTGGCTTATGATTGACTTGGCGATGCAGGCTCTTCTTTGGTTCCAAATGAACTTTAAAGTAGTTTTTTCCAACTCTGTGAAGAAAGTCATTGGTAGTTCAATGGGAATGGCATTGAATCAATAAATTACCTTGGGCAGTATGGCCATTTTCACGATATTGATTCTTCCTACCCGTGACTATGGAATGTTTTTCCATTTCTTTGTATTCTATTATTTCATTGAGCAATGGTTTGTAGTTCTCCTTGAAGAGGTCCTTCACATCCCTTGTAAGTTGGATTCCTAGGTATTTTAATCTCTTTGAAGCAATTGTGAATGGGAGTTCATTCATGATTTGGCTCTCTGTTTGTCTGTTATTGGTGTATAAGAATGCTTGTGATTTTTGTACATTGATTTTGTATCCTGGGACTTTGCTGAAGTTGTTTATCTGATTAAGGAAATTTTGGGCTGAGACAATGGGGTTTTCTAGATATACAATCATGTCATGTGCAAACAGGGACAATTTGACTACCTCTTTTCCTAATTGAATACCCTTTACTTCCTTCTCCTGCCTAATTGCCCTGGCCAGAACTTCCAACGCTATGTTGAATAGGAGTGGTGAGAGAGGGCATTCCTGTCTTGTGCCAGTTTTCAAAGGGAATGCTTCCAGTTTTTGCCCATTCAGTATGATACTGGCTGTGGGTTTGTCATAGATAGCTCTTATTATTTTGAAATATGTCACATCAATACCTAATTTATTGAGAGTTTTTAGCATGAAACATTGTTGAATTTTTTCAAAGGCCTTTTCTGCAACTATTGAGATAATCATGTGGTTTTTGTCTTTGGTTCTGATTATATCTGGATTACATTTATTGATTTGTGTATATTGAACCAGTCTTGCATCCCAGGGATGAAGCCCACTTGATCATGATGGATAAGCTTTTTGACGTGCTGCTGGATTCACTTTGCCAGTATTTTATTGAGGATTTTTGCATCAATGTTCATCAAGGATATTGGTCTAAAATTCTCTTTTTTGGTTGTGTCTCTGCCTGGCTTTGGTACCAGGATGATGCTGGCCTCATAAAATGAGTTAGGGAGGATTCCCTCTTTTTCTATTGGTTGGAATATTTTCAGAAGGAATGATACCAGTTCCTCCTTGTACCTCTAGTAGAATTCGACTGTGAATCCATCTAGTCCTGGACTCTTTATGGTTGGTAAGCTATTGATTATTGCCACAATTTCAGAGCCTGTTGTTGGTCTATTCAGAGATTCAACTTCTTCCTGGTTTAGTCTTGTGAGGGTGTATGTGTCAAGGAATTTATCCATTTCTTCTAGATTTTCTAGTTTATTTGCATAGAGGTGTTTGTAGTATTCTCTGATGGTAGTTTGTATTTCTATGGGATCAGTGGTGATATAGCCTTTATCATTTTTTATTGTGTCTATTTGATTCTTCTGTCTTTTCTTCTTTATTAGTCTTGCTAATGGTCTATCAATTTTGTTGATCTTTTCAAAAAACCAGCTCCTGGATTCATTAATTTTTTGAAGGGTTTTTTGTGTCTCTATTTCCTTCAGTTCTGCTCTGATCTTAGTTATTTCTTGCCTTCTGCTAGCTTTTGAATGTGTTTGCTCTTGCTTTTCTAGTTCTTTTAATTGTGATGTTAGGGTGTCAATTTTGGATCTTTCCTGCTTTCTCTTGTGGGCATTTAGTGCTATAAATTTCCCTCTACACTCTGCTTTGAATGTGTCCCAGAGATTCTGGTATTTTGTGTCTTTGTTCTCGTTAGTTTCAAAGAACATCTTTATTTCTGCCTTCATTTCATTATGTACCCAGTAGTCATTCAGAAGCAGGTTGTTCTATTTCCATGTAGTTGAGCCGTTTTCAGTGAGTTTCTTAATCCTGAGTTCTAGTTTGATTGCACTGTGGTCTGAGAGACAGTTCGTTATAATTTTTGTTCTTTTACATTTGCTGAGGAGAGGTCTACTTCCAACTATTCAATTTTGGAATAGGTGTGGTGTGGTGCTGAAAAAATGTATATTCTGTTGACTTGGGGTGGAGACTTCTGTCGATATCTATTAGGTCCACTTGGTGCAGAGCTGAGTTCAATTCCTGGATATCCTTGTTAACTTTCTGTCTCATTGATCTGTCTAATGTTGACAGTGGGGTGTTAAAGTCTCCCATTATTATTGTGTGGGGGTCTCAGTCTCTTTGTAGGTCACTGAGGACTTGCTTTATGAATCTTGGTGCTCCTGTATTGGGAGCATATATATTTAGGATAGGCAGCTCTTCTTGTTGAATTGATCTCTTTACCATTATGTAATGGTGTTCTTTGTCTCTTTTGATCTTTGTTGGTTTAAAGTCTGTTTTATCAGAGACTAGGATTGCAACCCCTGCCTTGTTTTGTTTTCCATTTGCTTGATAGATCTTCCTCCATCCTTTTATTTTGAGCCTATGTGTATCTCTGCACGTGAGATGGGTTTCCTGAATACAGCACACTGATGGGTTTTGACTCTTTATCCAATTTGCCAGTCTGTGTCTTTTAATTGGATCATTTCGTCCACTTATGTTTAAAGTTAATATTGTTATGTGTGAATTTGATCCTGTCATTATGATGTGAGCTGGTTGTGTTGCTCATTAGTTGATGCAGTTTCTTCCTAGCCTAATGGTCTTTACAATTTGGCATGATTTTGCTGTGGCTGGTACCGGTTGTTCCTTTCCATGTTTAGTGCTTCCTTCAGGAGCCCTACAAGGCAGGCCTTGTGGTGACAAAATCTCTCAGCATTTGCTTGTCTGTAAAGTATTTTATTTCTCCTTCACTTATGAAACTTAGTTTGTCTGGTTATGAAATTCTGGGTTGAAAATTCTTTTCTTTAAGAATGTTGAATATTGGCCCCCACCCTCTTCTGGCTTGTAGAGTTTCTGCCGAGAGATCCGCTGTTAGTCTGATGAGCTTCCCTTTGTGGGTAATCTGACCTTTCTCTCTGGCTGCCCTTAATATTTTTTCCTTCATTTCAACTTTGATGAATCTGACAATTATGTGTCTTGGAGTTGCTCTTCTCGAGGAGTATCTTTGTGGTGTTCTCTGTATTTCCTGAATCTGAATGTTGGCCTGCCTTGCTAGATTGGGGAAGTTCTCCTGGATAATATCCTGCATAGTGTTTTCCAACTTGGTTCCATTCTCCCTGTCATTTTCAGGTACACCAATCAGTTGTAGATTTGGTCTTTTCACGTAGTCCCATATTTCTTGGAGGCTTTGTTCATTTCTTTTTATTATTTTTTCTCTAAACTTCCCTTCTCCCTTCATTTCATTCATTTCATCTTCCATCACTGATACCCTTTCTTCCAGTTGATCACATTGGCTCCTGAGGCTTCTGCATTCTTCATGTAGTTCTCAAGCCTTGGCTTTCAGCTTCATCAGCTCCTTTAAGCACTTCTCCATGTTGGTTATTCTAGTTATAGATTCGTCTAAATTTTTTTCAAAGTTTTTAACTTCTTTGCCTTTGGTTTGAATTTCCTCCTGTAGCTTGGAGTAGTTTGATTGTCTGAAGCCTTCTTCTCTCAACTCGTCAAAGTCATTCTCCATCCAGCTTTGTTCCATTGCTGGTGAGGAACTGCATTCCTTTGGAGGAGGAGAGGTGCTCTGCTTTTTAGAGTTTCCAGTTTTTCTGCTCTGTTTTTTCCCCATGTTTGTGGTTTTATCTACCTTTGGTCTTTGATGATGGTGATGTGCAGATGGGTTTTTGATGTGGATATCCTTTCTGTTTGTTAGTTTTCCTTCTAACAGACAGGACCCTCAGCTGCAGGTCTGTTGGAATTTGCTAGAGGTTCACTCCAGACCCTGTTTGCCTGGGTATCAGCAGCGGTGGCTGCAGAACAGCAGATTTTCGTGAACCGCGAATGCTGCTGTCTGATCGTTCCTCTAGAAGTTTTTTCTCAGAGGAGTACCTGGCCATGTGAGGTGTCAGTCTGCCCCTACTGAGGGGTGCCTCCCAGTTAGGCTGCTTGGGGATCAGGGGTCAGAGACCCACTTGAGGAGGCAGTCTGCCCATTCTCAGATCTCCAGCTGCGTGCTGGGAGAACCATTGCTCTCTTCAAAGCTGTCAGAAAGGGACATTTAAGTCTGCAGAGATTACTGCTGTCTTTATGTTTGTCTGTGCGCTGCCCCCAGAGGTGGAGCGTACAGAGGCAGGCAGGCCTCCTTGAGCTGTGGTGGGCTCCAACCAGTTTGAGCTTCCCAGCTGCTTTGTTTACCTAAGCAAGCTTCAGCAATGGCGGGCGCCCCTCCACCAGGCTTGCTGCAGCCTTGCAGTTTGATCTCAGACTGCTGTGCTAGCAATCAGCGAGACTCTGTGGGCGTAGGATCCTCTGAGCCAGGTGTGGGATATAATCTCCTGGTGTGCCATTTTTTAAGCCCACTGGAAAAGTGCAGTATTAGGGTGGCAGTAACCCGATTTTCCAGGTGCCGTCTGTCACCCCTTTCTTTGACTAGGAAAGGGAACTCCCTGACCCCTTGCAATTCCTGAGTGAGGCAATGCCTCGCCCTGCTTCAGCTCGTTCATGGTGCACTGTACCCACTGACGTGCGCCCACTATCTGGCACTCCCTAGTGAGATGAACTGGGTACCTCAGATGGAAATGCAGAAATCACCCGTCTTCTCCATGACTCATGCTGGGAGCTGTAGACCGGAGCTGTTCCTTTTCAGCCATCTTGGCTGCCCTCCAGGATTTTCTTTTGTAAGAAAACTCAAAATTGCTTCAAGATACATTGAGATGTTCAATTATGTGAAATGAACTTAAAGGTATTTTCTTTGAAAAGGAAGTTTTTATAACCTAACTTTTCTACTAATAATATGTGATTATTTTTTCTAACATATGAGAAATTAATTTTTTTCATCTTCCCTGCACCTAAAGTTCACCTGCAATATATGACAAGCAAAGAACTGCTAACAGAGAAGGCTGTTCTAGTCTGTAAGTCACCCATTACCATAAACTCTGGTTTTGAGCTACTTGCAGCAGCAGCTATTGGCTGTGTAAAAAATTTCACATTGATGCTACACTGTTTGACTGAAACATATTACGTAGACAAAGCAAAAACTGTGAGTATTTTAAATTATAAAGCAGTTTTGTTCATTAATCACACTTTTGTTTAAAATTCTATTATTTCCTTTAGAAAAATTAACTCATTTTTTTTGTTTGTTTGTTTTTGGTCAACTAGTTTACTATTTTGTAGTCATCAGGTATATAATTAAAGCCATTTAAGTAAGAGAACATTAATTTTTTAATAAGCATGTATTTCTTAACTTCTCTTCTATACTTGGTTTTGGTACTTTACCACAGTGGGTTTTATTTAGTCATATGTGAAAAAAAAAAATTAACCCTTTAGAATAACAAGAAACCAAATGTAATGCTACAAAAAGTTTATATTTAAAACGTATTCTTTAAAAAGATTTTCATAACCCAAACATTATAGTTGCTTAATTTATTTTACTTATATTCCGGGTGGTGTTTTTTTAAAAATCATAATGTGAGAAGAGAACATTTGAGTGCATTTTATTACTTTTAAATGTCCATATTAATTAAACAAAATGGGTAGCAATGTTGAAATCTTACACAAAACTGCAATTCAGAGTGGGAACCAATGTAAGTAAGTTAACAAACGATAACCTGAAATTTAGTTTATTTCAAGAGAAACCTGAGAGTTAAGAATATAATTAACAAAGCATTCTGTACAGATATTTCATTGGAAATGTGAAATTATATTTCTTTATATTTTTTCTCTGTGAGTATATTTTTTAATACATTGTAGGAGTTTCTAGCTAAACTCACTACTCAAAATTTCAGATGTTTATGTGTTCTGTAGGATCTACGTAGAGAGAAGAATTTCCTTTTTGAAAACACTTTTTTTTGTTTAACTATTGTATTGGAATAGTAAATATATATTTTCAAAAGAGTTTTTTAAACAAACAAAAAATAGTATTTGTTTAAACTATTTAGCCACTGTTTTCTTGTGATTAATATATATTTTCAAATATATAAGAGGACATGCAGTAAAAACTATGAACTTGTCACCAATAATATATTTCTGGTCCAGAGATTTTCTTTTAGGTATATGCGCATCTTCAAATGCTTAGCTATTTTTTTTTTATGGAAATGAGCATAAGCAATATACAATATGGTTAACCTTGTTTTGTACTTAGTCACACACCTGTCAATACATGAAGATCTGTTTAATTCTGTTTTGAAGCTACATAACTTGAAGTTCAATATGTTCTAATTTATGCAATCCACCTGTAAGATGGAGTGATGTGTAAGTTGTATTCTGTTTTACAAAAAGTAGCATTTACAATTTTCACAGGTATTTTAAAGACACCATCTAATTGACTTCTTCTCACAATAAAACTGTGAAGATATATAAAGCAATTATCACTATCAGCTGAGGAAGAAAGTGATATTTATGTGAAGGTTATAG
This sequence comes from Homo sapiens, assembly GCF_000001405.40. Lineage (NCBI taxonomy): Eukaryota > Metazoa > Chordata > Mammalia > Primates > Hominidae > Homo > Homo sapiens. The sequence continues at coordinate 18,199,407 of NC_000024.10, forward strand.
TTTTTATGAGTCAGAACAATAATTTAAATGAAGTGCTCCATTAAAACTGAGAAAACGCTAATGTTCTATTTATATAAAGTTCTGATGGAAGTGTATTGTATACACTTATTTTAAGTGCAAAAGTTTTTTAATATGTAAAGTCATAACGATTAATGCTAAGTCTCTGTTTAACACATGAGAATTTAATATTATATCATCGTGTATGACTCTTTCTAAGAAAATTGTTGCAAAAACAATGCCGTTAAAAATGTGGACTTAAAAAGTCTGCATGCAATAGTCTTTATGGTGGCTCACATTGCTGATGTAAAAGTTTAAAGTACTCTTTCAAAATGGCTGTGTTAGCCTCATAGAATAAATTTCACAGCCTGATTAAGAGAACAATGGGTAAAATCATTATTTTTGTTGCATAAGCATTATTTTTTCTTAGCTTGTGAAGCACTCAGTGAACAGGAATATCTGCCCTCTGTTGGATCCTGCCCACCAAAAAATTGGTGGGACTCAGAGAAGCTGGTGCTACTTTTCACATAAATTCTGTGATCCAGCAACTATATATAATCCTAGTCATCAGAAACAGTATTTCTACAATTGAAAAAACAGTTAGTGATAAAGATGATGATTGTTCAAAGATGAGGAACAAAATTGTGAGGTAAGTTTTAATTATAATTTTTTTAATGGTCTGATAGTAAATACTGTTATTCTTCCTGAAATTAGTGTACTTTCATGAGATTTTTATCAGGACTGCATTTTGATGATACGGGTAGAATATGTGAGATACTATGACTGGCATGTTTACTGTGCTTGCTATCTAGTAACTTGAAATTTTAGTTAATAATATTTACTACTTTTTGTTTGTTTGTTTTCAAACCATGGTAGATATAATCACATTTGTGTGACACGGAAATGCAATTCAGTCTTTGAATAATGAGAATTTTTTTTTTTTTTTTTTTTTTGAGATGGAGTCTCGTTCTGTCACCCAGGCTGGAGTGCAGTGATGTAGTCTCAACTAACTGCAAGCTCTGCCTCCTGGGTTCATGCCATTCTCCTGCCTCAGCTTCCTGAGTAGCTGGGACTACAGGTGCCCACCATCACACCCGGCTATTTTGTTTTTGTATTTTTAGTAGGGATGGGGTTTCACTATTAGCCAGGGTGATCTGCTGACCTCGTGATCCACCCATCTCAGCCTCCCAAAGCACTGGGATTGCAGGCATGAGCCACCATGCCAGGCCTTTTATTTTTAGTAATTATATTTCCATTTTGTTTTTTAAAGTAGGCTTTTTTTTTTTACTGTTGTTCTGTCTGTGTTATATAAGTTGTGCTTATTTTTATGATTCTCTGCATATTTTTCTCAAATTCAGGTTTTTTCTGCTAAGGAAAAAAATCTTTTAAAAGAATCTGTGTAGTAACATTTTGGAGCTCATTGAGGCCTATGGGGAAAAAAACAGAATAACCCTAGAGAAAAACTAGAAAGATGCTATCTATGAAACTGCTTTGTGATGTGTGGATTCAACTTACAGAGTTAAACTTTTCTTTTGATTCAGCAGGTTGGAAACACTCTTTTTGGAAAATCTGCAAAGGGACATTTTGCAGCTCATTGTTGCCTATGTGGCAAAAGAGAATCCCCAGATAAGAACTAGAAAGAAGCTATTTGTGAAACTGCTTTGAGGTATGTGGGCTCATCTCACAGAAGTAAACTTTTCTTTTGATTCAGCAGGTGGAAAACACTCTTTTTGGAGAATCTTCAAAGGGACATTTGGGAGTCCGTTAAGGCCAATGGAAACAAACAAACAAACAAACAAATATCTCCAGATAAAAACTAGAAAGAAGCTATGTGTGAAACTGCTTTTTGACGTGTGGATTCATCTTGCAGTGTTAAATCTATTTTTTTTATTCAGCAGGCTGTAAACACTTCTTAGACAGTCTGTGAAGTGACATTTGGAGGACCATTCAGGCCTATGGTGAAAAAAACAAGATAGCCCTGAATAAAAATTAGAAAGAAGCTATGTGTGAAACTGCTTTGTGATGTGTGGATTCACCTCATAGGTTTAAACCTTTCTTTTGATTCAGCAGGTTGGAAACACTTATTTTGGAGAAGCCTGCAAAGGACATTTGGGAGACATTGAGGTCTATTGGGAAGAACCAAATATCCCAAGATGAAAACTAGAAAGAAGCAGTCTGTGAAACTGCCTTGTGATGTATGGATTTATCTCATAGAGTTAAACATTTCTTTCGGTCTAGCAGGTTGGATAGACTCTAATTAAGAATCTGTTTAGGGACATTTGGAAGCCTATTGAGGCCTATGCAGAAAAACTGAATATACCCAAATAAAAAGTCAAAAGAAGCTATCTCTTAAACCTCTTTCTGATGTGTGGATTCCTCTCACAGACTTAAAGCTTTCCTTTGATTCATCAAAGTGTAAACACTGTTTTTAGAAAACCTGCAGAGAAACATTTGGGAGCCCATTGAGGCCTATTGAGAAAAAATGAATATACCCAAATAAAAATTAGACAAAAGCTATATATGAAACTGCTTTGTGATGTGTGGAGTCCTCTCAAAGAGAAAAAGCTTTCTTATGATTCAGCAGTTTGGAAACACTCTTTCTGTAGAATCTGCAAAGAGAAACCTGGGAGCCAATTGCAGCATAAGGGGAAAACCTGAATAAACCCAGATAAAAACTAGAATAAAGCTCTGTGAAGATGCTTTGTGATGTGCGGATTCATCTTACAGATTAAAAGCTTTGGTTTATTCAGTAGGTTGAAAACACTCCTTTTCCAGAATCTATGAATGGTCATTTTAACTCCCCTAGAAGCCTATGGGAAAAAAAATTGAATATCCTTAGATAAACTAGAAAGAAGCTATCTGTGAAACTGTTTGTGACATGTGGATTCATGTTACAGAAGGAAATTTTTCTTTTGATTCAGCAGTTTGGAATCATCTTTTTTTTTTTAAAATGTGCAAAAGGATGTTTGAGGGCTTGCTTATGCCTATGGAGAAAAAACTGGATATTCCCAGATAAAAACTTGAAGGAGGCTATCTGTGAAATTGCCTTTTGATGTGTGGATTCATCTCACAGAATTAATTATTTTCTTTCAGCAGGAGGGAAACACTCGTTTTGGAGAATCTGTGAATTTGGGAGCCCAGTGATGCTACCAGGGAAAAATCAAATACACACAGTTAAAAATTTACAAGAAGTTATCTGTGAAACTGCTTTGTGATCCATGGATTCTTCTCACCAACTTGAACCTTTCTTTTCATTCAGCAGGTTGGAAACACTGTTTTTGGAGAATCTGTGAAGGGACATTTGGAAGCCCATGGAGGCCTATGGAACAAAACTGAATATCCCCAGATAAAACCTAGAAGGAATCTACCTGTGAAACTTCTTTGTGATGTGTGGATTCATCTCACAGTGTTAAGCCATTCTTTTGATTCAGCTGGTTATAAACACTCATTTTGGAGAATATGTGATGGGACATTTCAGAGCACACTGGGGACTGTGGGGAAAAATGGAATATACGCAGATAAAAACTAGAAAAAATATATTCCTGAAACGGCTTCATGATGTGTGGATTCATCTCACAATACTCAATCTTTCTTTTGATTTGGCAAGTTGGAAACACTCTTTTTGAAAATCTATGAAGTGACAATTTGTAACCCATTGAGGCCTATGGGGAAATACTGAATATCCCCAGATAAAAACTAGAAAGAAACTCTGTGAAACAGCTTTGTGATGTTTGCATTCAGCTCACAGCATTAAAACTTTCCTTTGATTCAGCAGATTGTGAACAGTCTTTTTGGGTAATTGGCAAAGGGACATTTTGGAGCCCATTAAGGCCTACGGGTAAAACGGAAAATCCCCAGATAAGAAACTAGAAAGAAGGTATCAGAGTAACTGCTTTGATTAATCTCACAGAGTTAAATTTTTCTTCTTATTCAGCAGGTTGGAAACATTTTCTTTGTAGAATCTGCAAAGGGATATTTTGGAGCCCATTGAGGCCTATAGGGAAAAAAAGAATATACCCAGATAAAAACTACAAAGAAGCTCTGTGTGATACTTCTTTGTGATGTGGGGATACGTCTCACAGAGTTAACGTTTTCTTATTCAGCAGGTTGGAATTACTATTTTTGGAGAATCTGTGAAGGGATATTTGGAAGTCTTTTGATGTCTAAAGGCAGAAAGAGAATATCCCCAGATAAAGATTAAAAAGCAGCTATGTGTGAAACAGCTTTGTGATGTATCGATTCGTCTCACAGAGTTAAACCTTTCTTACAATTCAGCAGTTTGGAAACACTCTTTTTGCGGTATCTGCAAAGGGACATTTGGCACCCATTGACGATTATGTAGAAAGGCAGAATATCCCAGAAAAATACTAGAAAGAAGGTCTCTGTGAAAGTGCTTCATGATGTGTGGACTCACCTGACAGAGTTAAATATTTCTTTTGATTCAGCATGTTGAAAATACTCTTTTTGTATAGTCTATGAGGATAAATTTCAGAGCCCATTGAGGATCAATATAAAAAAACAGAATATCTTCAGATAAAAACTACAAAGAAGCCATCTGTGAAACTGCTTTGTGATGTGTGGATTCATTTCACAGATTTAAAACATTCTTTTGATTCAGCAGGTTGGAAACACTCTGTGTAGAGTCTGTGAACAGACATTTGGGAGCTCATTGAGGCCTGGGGGAGAAAGAGAATAGCCCCAGATAAAACCTAGAAATAAAGTATTTGTAAAACTGCTTTGTGATGTGTGGATTCATTGAACAGAGTTAAATCTTTCTTTTCATTTAGCTCGTTTACAACACTCTTTTTGGAGAATCTGCAAAGGGACATTTGAACACCCATTGAGGTCTATGGGGACAAATCGAATATCCCCAGGTAAAACTAGAAAGAACCTATCTGTGAAACTTTCAGACATGTAGATTCATCTTAAAACAGTATTTTTTTTCTTTTCCTTCAGCAGATTGGGAACACCCTTTTTGTAGGATCTGCAAAGGAACACTTTGGAGCCCATTGAGAATTACTGGGAAAGAACAAATATCCACAGATAAAAACTAGAAGAAAGCTATTTGTGCTTTTTGATGTATGGATTCATCTCACAGAATTAATTTTTTCTTTTGATTCAGCAGGTGGAAAACACTGCTTTTGGAGGATCTGCAAAGGCACATTTATGAGCCAATTGATGCAGTCGAGGAAAACCCAAATATATTCATATAAAAACTAAAAACAAACTATCTGTGAAAATGATTTGAGATGTGCGCATTCATCTCACAGAGTTGAACCTTTCTTTCAGTTCAGCAGGTTGGAAACAGTCTTTTTGTAGAATCTGCAAAGGGACATTTGGGAGCTCCTGGAGGTCTGTGGGGCAAAACTGAATATCGTCAGATAAAAACTAGAAAGAAGATAGTCTGTCAAACTTTTTTGTGATATGTGGATTCATCTTACAAAGGCAAACATTTCTTTTGATTCAGCAAGTTGAAAGCACTCTTTTCAGAAAATATGCGATTGAATATTTGGGAGCCCTTTCAGGCCAAAGGGGAATAACCACATATACCCAGATAAAAACAACAAAGAAGCTATCTGAGGAACTTTTTGTGATACATATTTTCATCTCTCAGTGTTAAACTTTTCTCCTGATTCCACAGGTTTTGAAACACTCTTTATGCATAATCTACAAAGGGACATTTTGGAGACCCTTGAGGTCTATGGGGTGAAACCAAATATCCCCAGATAAAACTAGAAAGAAGGTATCCGTGAAACTTCTTTGTGATATCTGGATTCATGTCACAGAGATAAACCTTTCTTTTTATTCAGGAGATTGAAAATACTCTTTTTGAAAAATCTACAAAATGACATTTGGGATCCCATGGACAATTATTGGAAAAGAACGAATATCCCAAGACAAAAACCAGACGGAAGCTATCTGTGAAAATGCTTTGTGATGGGTAGATTCTTCTCACAGAATTATACTTTTCTTTTTATTCATCAGGTGGAAACATTCTTTTTGGAGAATCTGTGAAGGGCCATTTCTGTGCTCCAACTGGACTATGCAGAAAAACCAAGTATTTTCAGTTAAAAACTAGAATGAAGCTATCTGTGAAATTACTTTGTGATGTGTGGATTCACCTCACAGAAGTAAATTTTTCTTTTGATACAGCAGGTTGCAACACTTTTTGTAGAATCTGCAAAGGGACATTTTGGAGCTCATTGATGACTGTGGGGAAAAACAGAGTATTCCCAGGTAAAAACAAGAAAGACTCTATCTGTGAAATGGATTTGTGATGTGTGGATTTATCTCACAAAGTTAAACCTTCCTTTTTATTCAACTGGTTGGAAACACTCTTTTGGGAGAATCTGTGAAGGGATATTTGGGAGCCCTTTGAGACTATGGGGAAAAACAGAATATGCCCTGATAAAAATTAAAAAGAAGCTATCTTTGAAATGGCTTTGTGAGTGTGAATTCATCTTGCAGGATTAAACATTTCTTTTGATTCAGCTGGTTGGAGACACTTCTTTTGGAGAATCTGTGAAGAGACATTTGGGAGCCCATTGAGACCTATAAGGAAAAAAACAGAATATCCCAAGGCAAAAACTATAAGGAAGACACCTGTGAAACAGCTTTGTGATGTGTGGATTCATCTAACAGAGTTAAATCTTTCTTTTGATTCAGCAGGTTGGAAACACTCTTTTTGGAGAATCTGCAAAGGCATATTTGGGAGCCTAGTGAGGTCCAAGGAAAAACAACTAATATCCCCAGATAAAAACTAGAAAGAATCTGTGAAACTTATTTGTGATGCATGGATTTATCTCACAGAGTTAAACCTTTTTTTTTTTTTTTTTTTTTTGATTCAAGCATTTGGAAACACTTTTTCTGGAATATCTGTGAAGGGGTATTTTGGATACCAATGAGGTCCATGGGGAAAAACCAAATATCCGTAGGTAAAAACTAGAAAGAAAGTATCTGTAAAACTGCTTTGTGATGTGTAGATTCATCTCACAGACAAAAACCTTTCTTTTAATTGATCATGTTGGAAACCTGTTTTTGTAGAATGTGTGAAGAGATATTTGGAAATGCAATGAGGCGCAGGGGAAAAAAACAAATATCCACAGATAAAGAAGTAAAGACTACCTATCGGTGAAACTGCTTTGGGATGTGTAGATTCATCTCAAAGTGTTAAAACTTTCTTTTGATTCAGCAGGTTGGGAACACTGTTTTTGGAGAATCTACAAAGGGACATTTCGGAGCCCATTGCATCATATGGCCATAAAATTGAATATCCCGAGGTAAAAAGTAGAAAGAAGCTATCTGTGGCACTGTCTTGTGATGTGTGGATTCATCTCACCAAGTTAAACCTTTCTCTGCATTCAGTAGGATGGAAATACTCTTTTTGGAGAATCAATGGGATAATTGGGAGACCATAGATCCCAAATTAAAATCAATGGAAAATTTCCAGATAAAAACTAGGAAGAAGCTATCTGTGAAACTGCTTTGTGATGTGCAGATTTAGCTCATGGAGTTAAACTTTCCTTTTGATTCAACAGTTTGAAAACTGTCTTTTTTGAGAATCTGTGAAAGGACATTTTAGAGTCCATTAAGGCCCATGGGGAAAAAAGTATCCCTATGTAAATAAGGGAAACAAAGTATCTGTGAAATTGCTTTGTGACATGTAAATTCATCTAACAGAGTTAAAGCTTTCTTTTGATCCCACAAGTTGGAATCGCTCTTTTTGGAGAATCTGTGAATGGACAATTTGGAATCCATTCAGGCCCATGGGGAAAACCTGAATATCCCATAATAAAAACTAGAATGAAGCTATCTGTGAAAATGCTTTTTGATGTGTGGATTCATTACACAGAATTAAACATTTCTTTTGATTCACCAGGTTGGAAACACTCTTTTTGGAGAATCTGCCAAGGGCAGTTGAGGGCCTTTGAGGCCCATGGGGAAAAACAAATACAGATAAAAACTAGAAAGACGCTATCTCTAAAACTGTTTTGGGATGTGTGGATTCATCCCACAGAGTTAAACCTTTCTTTGGTTTAGCAGGTTGGAAACACTATTTTAGATAATCTGTGAAGGGACATCAGAGAGCCCACTGAGGCCCATAAAAAACAAAAAAACGAATATAGCCAGGTAAAAACCAGAAAGAAGCTATCTGTGAAACTGCTTTTTATGTGTGGATTTATCTCAGAGTTAAACCTTTCTGTTATTCAGCAGGTTGAAAGCTCTTTCTTGACAATATTTGAAAGGACATTTGGAAGCTCATTGAGGCCTATGGGCAAAAACTGAGTATCACAGGGTAAAACAAAAAGCAAACTATCTGTGAAACTCCTTTGTCATCTGTAAATTCATCTCACAGAGATAAAGTTTTCTGTTGATTCAGCATATTGCAAGCACTATTTTTGGAGAATCTGCAAAAGGATATCTGGTAACACATTGAGGCCCATGGTGAAAACAGAATATTTCATGATAACAACTAGAAAAAAACTATCTGTGAAACTGCTTGGTGATGTGTGGATTCATCTCACAGAATTAAACCTCTCTTTTGACAGCCAGTTGGAAACACGTTTATTGGATAAACTGTGAAAGGCCATTTTGGATAAAATTGAGGCCCATGGGGGGGAAAAAAAAACTAATATCCCCAGTTAAAAACTAGATAATAGCTATCTGGGAAACTGCTTTGTGATACGGATTCATCTCACAGAGGTATACCTTTCTTTTGATTCGGCAGATTGGAAACACTCTTTTGGAGATTCTGCCTGGGGACATTTTTGACCCCATTGAAGCCCATGAAAGAAAACCGAATATCCCCAAGTAAGAACTAGAGAGAAGCTATCTATGAAACTGCTTTGTCATGTGTGGATTCATGTCACCAAGTTAAAACTTTTTTTTTTGATTCAGGAGGTTGGAAACACTCTTTTTTGGAGAATGTGCAAAGGAATATTTTGGATCCCACTGAGGCCCATGGGGAAAAACTGAATAGCCTTAGGTAAAAACTAGAAAGAAGCTATCTCTGAATCTGCTTTGTGATGTATAGATTCATCTCACAGATTTAAACATTTATTTTGATTCAACAGATCGTAAACACCCTATTAGGAGAATCTGCAAAGGGACATTTGGGAGCCCATTGCAGCCTATGGGGATAAACAGAATAACCCCAGGTAAAAACCAGAAAGAAGACATCTGTGGCACTGCCTTGTCATGTGTGGATTCATCTCACTGAGTTAAATCTTTCTTTTGATACAGCAGGTTGGAAACACTCTTTTTGGAGAACATGTGAAGGGATATTTGGGAGCCCATTGAGGCCCATGAAAAAAAAAATTCTAGATAAAAACTAGGAAGAGGCTGTCTGTGAAACTGCTTTGTGATGTGTGGAATAATCTCACAGAGTTAAACATTTCCTTTGATTCAGCAGTATCTGCAAAGAGACATTTTGGGTCCCATTAAGGCCTTTCAGGAAAATTCTAATATCCTCAGTTAAAAACTAGAAAGACGATATCTGGGAAACTGCTTTGTGATTTGTGTTTTCGTCTCACTGAGTTAAGCCTTTCTTTTGATTCAATAGGTTGGAAACACTCTTTTTGGAGAATCTGCAAAGGGACATTTTGGACCCCCATTGAGACCTATTGGGAAAATCCTAATATCCACAGGTAAAAACTAGAAAGATGATATCTGGGAAACTACTTTGGGATTTGCGCTTTCATCTCACTGAGTTAAGCCTTTCTTTTGATTCAGCAGGTTGGAAACGCGGTTTTTGGAAAATCTGACAGTGGACATTTGAGAGACCGTTGAGAACCATGGAGAACAACGTAATAGCCCCAGGTAAAAGCTAGAAAGAAGCTATTTGTCAAACTGCTCAATGATTTCTGGATTCATCTCAAAGGTTTACACCATTCTTTTGAGTCAGCAGGTTAAAAACAATCTTTTTGGATAATCTGTGAAGGGACATTTGGGAGCCCCTTTGAGGCCCAATGGAAAAAAAAATATGCCCAGATAAAAACTAGAAAGAAGCTGTCTATGTAACTCCTGGCTGATGAAGACGAATATGCCCAGGTAAAAACTAGAAAGTAGGTATCTGGGAAAGTGCTCTATGATGTGTGGATTCATCTCAGAGGTAAATCCTTCCTTTGATTCAGCAGGTTGGAAACATTCTATTTGTAGAATCAGCAAAGGGACTTTTGGGAGCCCATTCAGGCCTAAAGGAAAAATTGAATACCCCTACATAAAAACTGAAAGAAGCTGTCTGTGTAACTGCTTTGTGATGTAAAGATTAATGAAAGAGTTAAACCTTTCATTTGATTCATCAGGTTGACAGAACTCTTTTTGGAAAATCTGTGAAGGTACATTCAGGGCCCATTGTGGCCTATGAGGAGAAAGCAAATATCCCCTGATGAAAATAAGAAAGAGGGGTGCAGCCAAGATGGCCAAATAGGAACAGCTCCACTCTACAGCTTCCACCATGACCAATGCAGAAGATGGGTGATTTCTGCATTTCTAACTGAGGTACTGGGTTCATCTCACTGTGGAGTGCCAGACAGTGGGTGCAGGACAGTGGGTGGAGCACACTGTGCATGAGCTGAAGCAGGGTGAGGCATCACCTCACCCAGGAAGCTCAAGAGGTCAGGGAATTCCCTTTCCTAGTCAAAGAAATGGGCAACAGACGGCACCTCGAAAATCAGGTCACTCCCACATTAATACTGTGCTTTTCCAATGGGCTTCAGAAATGGCACGCCAGGAGATTATGTCCCACACATGGCTCAGAGGGTTCTATGCCCACTGAGCCTCACTCATTGCTAGAACAGCAGTCTGAGATCAAAATGCAAGGTGGCAGTGAGGCTGGGGGAGGGACACCCGCCATTGCTCAGGCTTGAGTAGGTAAACAAAGTGGCTGGGAAGCTTGAACTGGGTGGAGCCCACCACAGCTCAAGGAGGCCTGCCTGCTTCTGTAGGCTCCACCTCTGGGGGCAGGGCACAGACAAACAAAAGACAGCAATAACCTCTGCAGACTTAAATGTCCCTGTCTGAGAGTTTGGAAGACTAGTGGTTCTCCCAGCACACAGCTGGAGATATGAGAATGGGCAAACTGCCTCCTCAAGTGGGTCACTGACTCCTGAGTAGCCTAACTGGGAGGCACCCATCAGTACAGGCAGACTGACACCTTACCGGGCCGGGTACGCCTCTGAGCCAAAACATCCAGAGGAATGATTAGGCAGCAGCATTTGCGGTTCACCAATATCCACTGTTTTGCAGCCACCACTGCTGACACCCAGGCAAACAGGGTCTGGAGTGGACCTTGAGTAAACTCCAACAGACCTGCAGCTGAGGGTCCTGATGGCTAGAATGAAAACTAACAAACAGAAAGGACATCCACACCAGAAACCCATCTGTACGTCACCATCATCAAAGACTAAAGGTAGATAAAACCACAAAGATGGGGAAAAAACAGAGCAGAAAAACGGGAAACTCTAAAAATCAGAGCACCTCTCGTCCTTCAAAGGAATGCAGCTCCTCACCAGCAATGGAACAAAGATGGACAGAGAATGACTTTCACGAATTGTGAGAGGAAGACTTCAGAAGGTCAAACTACCCTGAGCTAAAGGAGGAAGTTTGAACCAATGGCAAAGAAGTTAAAAACTTTGAAAAAAAATTAGATCAATGGATAACTAGAATAACCAATGAAGAAAGTCCTTAGAGAACCTGATGGAGTTGAAAAACATGGCGCGAGAACAACGTGCTGAATGCACAAACCTCAGTAACTGATGCAATCAACTGGAAGAAAGGGTATCAGCAATGGAAGATGAAATGAAGTGTGAAGATCAGTTTAGAGAAAAAAGAATAAAAAGAAATGAACAAAATTTCCAAAAATATGGGACTATGTGAAAAGACCAAATCTATGTCTAATTGGTGTACCTGAAAGTGACAGGGAGAATGGAACCAAGTTGGAAAACATTCTGCAGGATATTATCCTGGACAACTTCCCCAATCTAACAATTCAGGCCAACATTCAAATTCAGGAAATACAGAGAATGCCACAAAGATACTCATCAAGAAGAGCAACTCCAAGACATATAATTGTCAGATTCACCAAAGTTGAAAAGAAGGAAAAAATGTAAAGGGCAGCCAGAGAGAAAGGTCGGGTTACCCACAAACGGAAACCCATCAGACTAACAGCTCATCTCTCAGCAGAAACTCTACAAGCCAGAAGAGAGTGGGGGCCAATATTCAATATTCTTAAAGAAAAGAATTTTCTACCCAGAATTTCATATCAAGCCAAACTATGCTTCATAAGTGAAGAAGAAATAAAGTACTTTACAGACAAGCAAATGCTGAGAGATTTTGTCACCACCATGTCTGCCCTAAAAGAGGTCCTGAAGGAAGCATTAAATGTGGAAAGGAACGACCAGTAGCAGCCACTGCAAAAACATGCAAATTATAAAGACCATCAAGGTTAGGAAGAAACTCCATCAACTAACTAGTTAATATCATAATGACAGGATAAAATTCACACATAACAATACTAACCTAAAATGCAAATGGGTTAAATGCTCAAATTAAAAGGCACAGACTGGTAAATTGGATAAAGAATCAAGACCCATCAGTGTGCTGTATTCAGGAAACCCATCTCACAGGCAGAGACACACATAGGCTCAAAACAAAGGGATGGAGGAAGATCTACCAAGCAAATGGAAAACAAAAAAAGCAGGGGTTGCAATCCTAGTCTCTGATAAAACAGACTTTAAATGAAACAACATCAAAAGAGGCAAAGAAGGCCATTACATAATGCTAAAGGGATCAATTCAACAAGAAGACCTAACTACCCTAAATGTATATGCACCCAATATGGGAGCACCCAGATTCATAAAGCAAGTCCTTAGTGACCTATAATGAGACTTAGACTTCCACACAACAATAATGGGAGATGTTAACACTCCACTTCAACATTAGACAGATCAACAAGACAGAAAGCTAAAAAGGATATCCAGGAATTGAACTCAGCTCTGCACACAGTGAACCTAATAGACATCTACAGAACTCTCCACCCCAAATCAACAGAATGCACATTCTTTTTAGCACCACACCACTCTTTTTCCAAAATTGACCACATACTTGGAAGTAAAGCACTCCTCAGCAAATGTAAAAGAATAGAAATTATAACAAATTGTCTCTCAGACCACAGTGCAATCAAACTAGAACTCAGGATTAAGAAACTCACTCAAATCCGCTCATTTACATGGAAACTGAACAACCTGCTCTGGAATGACTACTGGGTACATAACGAAGTGAAGGCAGAAATAAAGATGTTATTTGAAACCAATGAGAACAAAGAAACAACATACCAGAATCTCTGGGACACATTCAGAGCAGTGCGTAGCGGGAAATTTGTAACACTAAATGCCCACAGGAGAAAGCAGGAAAGATATAAAATTGATATCCTAACATCACAATTAAAAGAACCAGAGAAGCAAGAGCAAACATATTCAAAGGCTAGCAGAAGGCAAGAAAAAACTAAGATCACAGCAGAACTGAAGGAAATAGAGACACAAAAAACTCTACAAAAAATCAATGAATCCAGGAGCTGGTTTTCTGAAAAGATCAACAAAATTGACAGACCACTAGCAAGACAAATAAAGAAGAAAAGAGAGAAGAATATAATAGAAACAATAAAAAATGACAAAGAGGATATCACCACCGATCCCACAGAAATACAAACTACCATCAGAGAATACTATAAACACCTCTAATGCTAATGAACTGGAAAATCTAGAAGAAATGGATAAATTCCTCGACACATCCACTCTCCCAAGACTAAACCAGGAAAAAATTGAATCTCTGAATAGATCAATAACAGACTCTGAAATTGTGGCAATAATAAATAGCTTACCAACAAAAAAGAAGCCCAGGACCAGATGGATTCACAGACGAATTCTACAGAGGTACAAGGAGGAGCTGGTACCATTCCTTCTGAAACTATTCCAATCAATAGAAAAAGAAGGAATCCTCCCTAACTCATTTTATGAGGCCAGCATCATCCTGATACCAAAGCCTGGCAGAGACACAACAAAAAAAGAGAATTTTAGACCCATATCCTTGATGAACATTGTTGCAAAAATCCTCAATAAAATATGGCAAACTGGATCCAGCAATACATCAAAAAGCTTATCCACCATGATGAAGTGGGCTTCATCTCTCGGATGCAAGGCTGGTTCATCATATGAAAATCAATAAACATAATCCAGCATGTAAACAGAACCAAAGACAAACAACACATGATTATCTTAATAGATGCAGAGAAGGCCTTTGACAAAATTCAACAACGCTTCTTGTTAAAAACTCTCAATATCATTGTTCAATTCCCACCTATGAGTGAGAATATGCGGTGTTTGGTTTTTTGTTCTTGCGATAGTTTACTGAGAATGATGATTTCCAATTTCATCCATGTCCCTACAAAGGACATGAACTCATCACTTTTTATGGCTGCATAGTATTCCATGGTGTATATGTGCCACATTTTCTTAATCCAGTGTATCATTGTTGGACATTTGGGTTGGTTCCAAGTCTTTGCTATTGTGAATAATGTTGCAATAAACATACGTGTGCCTGTGTCTTTATAGCAGCATGATTTATATTCCTTTGGGTATATACCCAGTAATGGGATGGCTGGGTCAAATGGTATTTCTAGATCTAGATCCATGAGGAATCGCCACACTGACTTCCACAATGGTTGAATTAGTTTACAGTCCCACCAACAGTGTAAAAGTGTTCCTATTTCTCCACATCCTCTCCAGCACCTGTTGTTTCCTGACTTTTTAATGATTGCCATTCTAACTGGTGTGAGATGGTATCTCATAGTGGTTTTGATTTGCAGGAAGGGGAATATCACACTCTGGGGACTGTGGTGGGGTGGGGGGAGGGGGGAGGGATAGCATTGGGAGGTATAACTAATGCTAGAAGACGAGTTAGTGGGTGCAGCGCACCAGCATGGCACATGTATACATATGTAACTAACCTGCACAATGTGCACATGTACCCTAAAACTTAAAGTATAATAATAATAAAAAAAACTCTCAATAAATTAGGTATTGATGGGATGTCTTTCAAAATAATAAAAGCTATCTATGACAAACTGACAGCCAAAATCATACTGAATGGACAAAAATTGGAAACAATCCCTTTGAAAGCTGGCAAAAGATAGAGATGACCTCTCTCACCAATCCTATTCCACATAGTGTTGGAAGTTCTGGCCAGGAAAATCAGGTAGGAGAAGAAGGCAAAGGGTATTCAATTAGGAAAAGAGGAAGTCAAATTCTCCCTTTTAGCAGATGGCATGATTGTATATTTAGAAAACCCCATCGTCTCAGCCCAAAGTCTCCTTAAGCTGATAGGCAGCTTCCGCAACGTATCATGATACAAAATCAATGAGCAAATATCACAAGAATTATTATACACCAATAACAGAAAAACAGAGAGCCAACCATGAATGAACTCCCATTCACAATTTCTTCAAAGATAATAAAATACCTAGGAATCCAACTTACAAGGGATGTGAAGAACCTCTTCAAGGAGAAATACAAACCACTGCTCAATGAAATAAAAGAGGATACAAACAAATGGAAGAACATTCCATGCTCATGGGTAGGAAGAATCAATATCATGAAAATGGCCATACTGCCCAAGGTAATTTATAGATTCAATGCCATCCCCATCAAGCTACCAGTGACTTTCTTCACAGAATTGGAAAAAACTACTTTAAATTTCATACAGAACCAAAAAGGAGCCCACATTGCGAAGACAATCCTCAGTGAAAAGAACAAAGCTGGAGGCATCACACTACCTGACTTCAAACTATACTACAAGGCTACAGTAACCAAAACAGCTTGGTACTGGTACAAAACAGAGATATAGACCAATGCAACAGAACAGAGCTTTCAGTAATAATGCCACATATCTACAACTATCTGATCTTTGACAAACCTGACAAAAAGAAGCCATGGGGAAAGGATTCCCTATTTAATAAATGGTGCTGTGAAAACTGGCTAGCCATATGTAGAAAGCTGAAACTGGATCCCTTCTTTACACCTTATACAAAAATTAATTCAAGATGGATTAAAGACTTACATGTTAGACTTAAAACCATAAAAACCCTAGAAGAAAACCTAGGCATTATCTTTCAGGATATAGGCATGGACAAGGACTTCATGTCTAAAACACCAAAAGTAATGGAAACAAAAGCCAAAATTGACAAATGGGATCTAATGAAACTAAAGAACTTCTGCACAGCAAAAGACACTACCATCAGAGTGAACAGGCAACATACAGAATACGAGAAAATTTTTGCAACCTACTCATCTCACAAAGGGCTAATATCCAGAATCTACAATGAAATCAAACAAATTTACAAGAAAAAAAAAAAAACAACCCCATCCAAAAGTGGGCAGAGGATATGAACAGACAGTTCTCAAAAGAAGACATTTAGGCAGCCAAGAAAACACATGAAAATATGCTCATCATCACTGGCCATCCAAGAAATGCAAATCAAAACCACAATGAGATACCATCTTACACCAGTTAGAATGGTGATTATTAAAAAGTCGGGAAACAACAGGTGCTGGAGAGGATGTGGAGAAATAGAAACACTTTTAGATTGTTTGTGGCACTGTAAACTAGTTCAACCATTGTGGAAGTCAGTGTGGCGATTCCTCAGGGATCTAGATCTAGAAATACCATTTGCCCAGCCATCCCATTACTCATTCTCAGCAATCTATTGCAAGGACAAAAAACCCAACAGCACATGTTCTCACTCATAAGTAGGAATTGAACAATGAGAACACATGGACACAGGAAGGGGAACATCACACACTGGGGACTGTTGTGCGGTAGGGGGAGGGGGGAGGGATAGCATTAGGAGATATACCTAATGCTAAATGATGAGTTAATGGGTACAGCACACCAACATGACACATGTATACATATGTAACAAACCTGCACATTGTACACATGTACCTTAAAACTTAAAGTATAATAACAATAATAATAATAATAAAATTGTGATGGGGTTAGACATTTAAAAAAAAAGAAAATAAGTAAGAAGCTATCTGTGAAACTACTTTGTGATGCCTGGATTCCTCTCATAGGGTTGAACACTTTTGGAGAATGTGTGATAGGACAATGGGGAGCCCACCAATGGCAATGAGGAAAATTCGAATAACCCCAGATAAAAACTAGAAAGAAGCTATCTGTGAAACTGTTCTGTGGTATGTAGATTCACCTCAAATAATTAAACCTTTCTTTTGATACTGCAGGTTGGAAACACATTTTCTGAGAATCTGCAAGGGGACATTTTGGAGCCCATTGAGGCCTGTGGGGAAAAATATGGTATACCTAGGTAAAAACTAGAAAGAACATATCTGTGAAACTGCTTTGTGTTGTGTGGATTCATCTCACAGAGTTAACCCTTTCTTTTATTCAGCAGGTTTGAAATACTCTTTTTAAAGGATCTATGAAGAAATATTTTGAAGTTAATTGAGGCCCATGGAAAAAATAAACGAATATCTTCAGGTAAAATCTAGAAAGAAGCTATCTGTGAAATTGCTTTGTGATGTATGGATTTGTCTCACAGAGTTAAATCTTTCTTTGGATTCAGCAGATTGGAAAAACTCTTTTTGGAGAATTTGTGAAGGGACTTTTTGGAGTCCACTGAGCTGTTGAATAACTGAATATCCCCAGAAAAACAGTGGAATCTATCTGTGAAACTGCTTTGTGATGTGTGGATTCATCTCACAGAGTTAATCCTTTCGTTTGATTCCGCACGTTTGGAGCACTCCTTTTGGACAATCTGGAACAATATATTTTGGTCCATTGAAGCCAATGAAGGAAAAAAAGGAGTATCCCTAGGCAAAACCTAAAAAGAAGCTATCTGTGAAAATGCTTTGTGATGTTTGGATTCATGTCCCAGAGTTAAACTTTTCTTTTTATTCAGCAGGTTGGAAACACTCTTTTTGAACAATCTGCAAAGGGAAACTGGGGAGGCCATGGAAACCCATAAGGAAAAACAGAATATTACCAGATAAAAATCAATAAAAACTATCTGTGAAACTGCTTTATGATGTGTGAATTCAACTGACAGAGTCAAACCTTTCTTTTGATTCAGCAGGTTGGAAAATCTCTCCTTGGAGAATCTGTGAAGGGATATTTGGGAGCACATTGAAGCCCACATGGGAAAACAGAATATACCCGAATAAAAAGTAGAAAGAAACTATTTTTTGAAACTGTTTTTGTGTTGTATGAATTCACTTTACATAGTTAAACCATTCTTTTATACAGACGGTTGGAAAAATCTTTTTGAAGAATTTGCAAAGTGACATTTGGGAGCCAATTGAGGTCCATGTGGAAAAACCTGATAGCCCAAGATAAAAACAAGATGGAAGCTATCTATTATAAGGGGAAACCAGCCCCCAATGTTTCAATGTAGATTTTTTTCTATTTTCCCCAAGTGTAGTCTGGCCTGAGAAATAAAGGGAAAGAGTACAGAAGAGAGAAATTTTAAAGATGGGTGTCCGGGGGAGACATCATATGTCAGCAGGTTCTGTGATGTACCCCAAGCCACAAAACCTGCAAGTTTTATTAGTGATTTTCAAAGGGGAGAGAGAGCATGAAAGGGTTTGGGTCATAGATATCACATACTTCACAAGGAAATAAAATATGGCAAGGCAAATGGGGGCAGAGTGAGATCACAGGACTGTGGTGAAATCAAAATTGCTAATGGAGTTTCATGTCCCACTAAGCATACATTGTCATTGATAACATCTTATCAGGAGACAGTGTTTGAGAGCAGACAACCAGTCTGACTAAAATTTACTAGGCAGTAACTTCCTCATTTTAATAGGCCTGGGAGCACAATGGGAGGCCAGGGCTTATTTCATCCATTACCTGCAATCCTATAAGACAGAAACTCCCAGACCGGCCATTTTAGAGACATATCCCTGGGAATGCATTCCCTTTCTCAGGGCTGTTGCTTGCTGAGAAAAATAACTCAGCAATATTTCTCCTATTCACTTTTGTAAGAGGAGAAATATGGCTGTTCCACCCAGCTCCCAGTCCGTCAGACCTAATGGTTTTCTCCCTTGTTCCCTGAACATCACTGTTATCCTGTTCTTTTTACAAAGTGCCCAGATTTCATATTGTTTAAACACACATGCTCTACAAACAATTTGTGCAGTTAATGCAATCATCACAGTGTCCTGAGGCAATGTACCTCCTCAGCTTAGAAAGATGACAGGGTTAAAAGATTAAAGTAAAGACAGGCATAGGAAATCACAAGAGTATTGATTGGGGAAGTGATAAATGTCCATGAAATCTTCACAATTTATGTTCAGAGGTTGCCCTAAAGACAGACATAAGAAATTATAAAAGTATTAATTTGGGGAAATAATAAATGTCCATGAAATCTTCACAATTTATGTTCTTCTGCCATGGTTTCAGCCGGTCCCTCCAACTGGGGTCCCTGACTTCCCGCAGCATCTCTCCCTTTCTTTTATATAAATGTGCCATGGTGTTAAAGGCTTGTTTGTTCTCTCAATTTTGAGGCAGGAGTCTTTGACTGTTCCAGCACACTAAAGACAAGCTTATTAAACAGAAAAACATAATTCCAAAATTTACTACAGTGAAGCCCCCACAGACTTAATTCAAGTTGTGAGGTTTAGCCCGGAAAGATTTTCTGCCACCTGATCTAATGCCCCAGCTGCAGGCACAATGGACAAATGAGATTGAGAGATTTCAAAAATTTGTTTCTTTAATTTACTTATGTCCAGTGATAAATTATCTTCCTGACCTAGAAGGTGTCCTTTGACCACTTCTCATGAATGATCTATCTCATTGTAGGAATACAGAGTAGTACAGAAATCAGAACTGTTCCAATTGCACTGCAATTGCGTGTGATGTTCGAGACTCACTACCTGATCTCCAAGCAAATAACAGACTGTCTTAAATCATTAATTTGATTAGCCAATTTTTGATCAATGCCTTGTTGAGAATTCCACATTTGGGTGGAATTGGCTTGCCAATCATTAAAAAAATCAGCTGTTTGAATAGATTGATGTAACACCATTCCGGCAGTGGTCACCAGTGCAGTGACTAATTAGGCCCATGATTACTGTGATTAACGTGAAAACAAATCTCTTAGATCTTTTTAGAATTCGTTGTAACAATTCATTAATTAAATGTATTGAGGGGGAAGATTCCCAAGGTCTGGGCAAAATTATTGGAATACAGATTCCTTCTTGAGTTCTAACCACAATACACTTTTCGTGGAGTGAAAATGGGGGTTAATGCAAGTGTATAATGACAGATGATGCATTGAACAGTTTGATTGTTCGTTCAAATTTTGATATTTCCCACTAACAGCATGTAAGGAGGCTTAACATATCTCTGTATGGGAACAGTCGGGTTAGAGGTAAGTAAAACATACTGTCTGGATCTAAGTCAATACTGAGAGAGAGGGATGGTAGTGGGGACAACAGACAGAATAGTTTCCCCTTTCCATGCTCACAGTCCAGACATGGCAATCGCCAATTTTCAAAGTTCTGGGTATTCTGAGCTCAGGATGGGGAATATTATATGCTGCCTCAATGGGGTGGGGTAATGCTTTCATCTTCCCATTTCAAGGGAAAGAATGAGCTCAACCTCCTATGTAAAGTAAAATGATGATTCTCGTTCTCCAGATAAGAAATAAAATAAGCAGCCTCCAGGCATTCCCTTCCACCAGAGGAGCAACAGATTTTAAATAACCCTTTGGTGCCCAGTCTATTACTAAACCATATGAGTCATTTTAAATGTTACTGCATGCGAGTTAACACTGTCTTCCAAAATTAAGGTTTTACATGAGCCATCAAAATTTTTAGGGCATGGTTTTCCTGCAGGTTTATATTGAAAGTATGGGGTATCTCCCATTACTCCCTCTTTCATTTCCTTTAAAGAAGAAAGGGAGAGGCCAGAGACCAAATGTCCCAGTTCCTCTGTGGCTGATCTCTCTGGAAGACAAGTAGCCCAGAATTGAGTTTCTAGATGGATACAATCAGGTGCATGTTGGAGGCACAGAGGTGGGTATTTATAACCCATGATAACATTAAATACAGTGCCTTCTTCCCCTGGTTGAGTGGAGCAATTGTCATCTGTAGCTGCAGT
The DNA here is from genome assembly GCF_000001405.40 of Homo sapiens. Classification (NCBI taxonomy): domain Eukaryota; kingdom Metazoa; phylum Chordata; class Mammalia; order Primates; family Hominidae; genus Homo; species Homo sapiens. Next base: position 18,220,581 of record NC_000024.10, read on the forward strand.
CATCCACACACTATCATTAGTGTAGATTTCTGCAGGAGCATCCGTCCAGGTGAGAGGTCAAACAAGTGGAGGAAAAGGCACATAAGCCCAGTAAGAATAATTTTGTGTAGCAGGTAAATCAGTGTGTGAGGAAACTAGTGAGACAGAAAGTATAAGGGGGAGAATGATTCAGTAAAACCTACTGTAAGCAAGATTTAGTGCTGAAGGAGGAAGAAAAGAACAGAGGGATGTTATTTTTAGGCCAACAGAAATGGTAAGATTTTTAGGTTTGTAAGGAGAAAAATAAAGGTAATTCGAAGTGTAATTAGTTAGATGGGTCTCCGTTGTCATTGGGGGGATTGAATCAGACCCATTGTGATTTAGTGTGCCAGCTTCTAAGGAGTTGACACAGATCTTACCACATCTAAGTGTGGTCTCTGACATTGACGTCTTTTCCCTGTGGTTTTCGTTTGATGATCTCCTGGTGAAACACAAGCATATCCTCTTTCCCACGTTAAATGGAATCAGAGACAATATTTAAAGGCTTGGGGAAATCCTATAAGACAACAATTACAGCAATTAACTCTGCCTCTCGAGTAGTGGTATAAGGGGTAGAAATAAGCTTGTCTGTAGGACCTATATAACCAGCATTTGCATTGCTGGAGCCATTAGTGAACACTGTGATGGCCCCAGGAATGGGCTGATTTTTGCTTAATCAAGGGACCACTGAAGACGTAAGTTTTATAAAATCAAACAATTTGTTCTTTGGATAATGATTGTCAATAATACCAATGAAATCAACCAAGTGAATTTTCCACAGAATGGAATGTTGAAAGGTGGCTTGAACTTTAAACCAGTTTAAAGGAACTACAATTAAATTTGGATCAAATCTGGAAATTTTAAGTATTTTATACCATGTCTATCCAATTGGATTGGCCAACTGATTTGTGATGTATCGATTAATCTCACAGAGCTAAATCTTTGTTTTGATTCAGTAGGTTGGAAACACTCCTTTTGGAGAATCTGTGAATTTATATTTGGGACCCCATTGAGGCCTTTGGGGGAAAACCAAATATTCCCAGGTAAAAATCAGAAAAAAAAGTATATGTGAAACTGATTTCTGATGTGTGGATTCATCTTACAGAGATAAAACTTTCCTTTAATACAGCAAGTTGGAAACAATCTTTTTTGAGCATCTGCAAAGGACATTTTGATGCCCCTTGAGGCACATGGAGAAAAACTGAATATCTCCAGGCAAAAACTAGAAACAATATATCGGTTAAACTGCTTTGTGATGTGTGGGTTCATCTCACAGTGTTGAATATTTCTTTTGTTTCAGCAGGTTGCAAACACTCTTTTTGGACAATCTACCAACAAACATTTGGTAGCCCATTGTGGCCCATGGGAAAAAAGAAATATCCCCATGTACAAATAAGAAGCTATCTGTGAAACTGCTTTGTGCTGGGTGGATTCATCTCACAGAGTTATATTTTTCTTTTGATTCAGCAGGCTTCAATACTCTTTGGAAAATCTGGAAGGGACATTTGAGAGTTCATTGAGGCCCACTGGGAAAAAAACAAAAATCTCAAGTAAAAACTAGAAAGAAGCTATCTGTGAAACTGCTTTGCAATGTATGGATTCATCTCAGAGAATTAAACCTTTCTTTTGATTCAGCAGGTTGGAAAAACTCTTTTTGGAGAATCTGTGAAGGGACTGTTGGGAACCCATTGAGGCCCACAGGGAAAAACCCAGTAAACTTGTGTAAAAAACAGAAAAAAATCTGTGAAATTGCTTTTTGAAGTGAGGATTAAACTCACAGAGTTAAACATTACTTTTGATTCATCAGGTTGGAAACACTTTTTTTTGGAGAATCTGCAAAGGGACATTTTGGATCCCATTGAGGCCCATGGGAAAAAAAACGGAATACATTTAGATCAAAACTAGAAACAAGCTATCCGGAAAAATGCTTTGCAATGTGTGGATTCATCTAAAAGCTTTGAACCTTGTTTTGATGCAGCAGGTTAGAAACACTCTTTTTGGTGAATCTGCAACTGGACATTTGGTAGCCCATTGAGGCCCATGAGGAAAAACTGAATAACTGCATGTAAAACCTAGAAAGTAGCTATCTGTGAAACAGCTTTGGGAAGTCCCGATTTATCTCACAGAGTTCAATGTTTTTTTTTTTTTTTTGATTTACCAGGTGGGAAAGACTCTTCTTTAAGAATGCCTGAAGAGACATTTATTTGGCAGTTCATCAAGGCCCAGGGGGGAAAATTCAATATCCCCAGAAAAATACTAGAAAGAAGCTATATGTGAAACTGCTTTGTGAGCTGTGGATTCATCTCATAGTGTTATATTTCTCTTTTGATACAGCACTTTGGAAACACTTTTTTTGGAGAATCTGTGAAGGGAAATTTGGGAGCCCATTGAGGCCTATGGGGAAAAATTAAATATTTCACAGTAAAAACTAGAAAGATGCTCTCTGTGAAACTGCTTTGTGATGTGTAGATTCATCTCACAGTGTTAACCCTTTCTTTTGATTCAGTAGATTGGAAACACCCTTTTTGGAGAAACTGCAAAGGGACATTTGGAAGCCCAGTGGGACCCATGCAAAAAAACTGAATATTTCCTGTAAAACCCACAAATAAGCTATCTGTAAAACTGGTTTGTGATGTATGGATTTATCTCACAGAGTTAAATCTTTCTTTTGATTCAGCAGGTTCAAGACACTTTTTTTGGAGAATCTCCAAAGGGACATTCAAGAACCCATTGAGGCCCATGGAAAATTTCAAATATTCTTAGATTAAAACTAGAAACAGGCTATGTGTAAAACTTCTTTGCAATTTGTGGATTCATCTCAAAGGTTTGAACGTTTTTTTCCTATTCAGCAGGTTAGAAACACTCTTTTTGATGAATATGCAAAGGGACATTTGGGAGCCAAGTGAGGCCCATGAGGAAAAACAGAATATCCACAGACAAAAACTAGGAAGAAGGTTACTGTAAAACTGCTTTGTGATTGCGGATTCATCTCAAATGAATAAACCTTTCCTTTTATTCAGCATGTAGAATCTGAGAAGGGACATTTTGAAACCTATTGATGCTCTATCAAAGAAACTGAATATTTCCAGACAAAAACTAGAAAGATGCTATCTGTGAAATGCCTTTGAGATGTATGGATTCATCTCACAGAGTTAAACCTTTCTTTTGATTCAGCAGGTTGGAAACACTCCTCTTGGAAAATTTACAAAGATAAATTTTGGAAACCATTGAGGCCCATGGGGAAAAAACTAAATATCTCAGGGTAAAAACTAGAATATATCCGTGAAACTGCTTTGTGATGCATGGATTCACCTCACAAAGTGAAATCTTTCTTTTGATTCAGTATCTTGGAAATACTCTTTTTGGAGAATCTGCCAGGGCATATTTGTGAGCCCATTGAGGCATATCAGAAAAAAACGAATATCCCCAAGTAAAATTAGAAAGAAGCTCTCTGTGAAACTGCTTTGTGATGTGTGGATTCATCTGACAAACTTAAACCTTCCTTTTGTTACAACAGGTTGAAACACTCTTTTTGGAGAATAGGTGAAGGGACATTTTGGACCTCATTGTGGGCTATGGGGAAAAAACAGAATGTCCCCAGGAAAAAACTATATAGAAACTATGTGTGAAACTGCTCAGTGTCATATGCATTCATCTCACAGAGTTAAACGTTTCTTTTAATTCAGCAGTTGAAAAAACTCTTTAGGAAGAATCTTCAAGGTGATATTTGGGAGCCCATTGAGGCCCATGGGGAAAAACAGAATATCTCTTGATAAAAACTAGAAAAATGCTGTCCATAAAACTGCTTTGTGATGTGTGGGTTCATCTCACGGAGTTTAACCCTTTTTTTATTTCTGCTGGATGGAAACACTGTTTTTGTAGAATCTGCTAAGGCATAATTGGGAGTCCATTGATGCTCATGAAAAAAATTATCCCCAAATAAAACTAGAAAAAAGCTACCTGTGATACTGCTTTGTGATGTGTGGATTCATCTCACAGAGTTAAATATTTCTTTATATTCAGTAGGTTGAAAACACTCTTTAGAAGAATCAGTGAAAGGACATTTGGGAGCCCACTGTGGCCCATGGGAAAATATGGAATATCCCCAGATAAAAAATAGAAAGAAGCTAGCTGTCTGTGAAACACTTTGTGTTGTCTGGATTCATCTCATAGAGGTAAACTTTTCTTTTTATTCAGCCAGTTGGAACAACTCTTTTTGGAGAATCTGCCAGGGGACTTTTGACAGCCAGTTGTGGCCCATGCAAAAAAACTGAATATCCCCAGAAAAAAAAAAAAAAACTAGAAAGAAGCTATCTGTGAAACTGCTTTGTGATGCCTGTATTCATCTCACAGAGTTAAACATTGCTTTTGATTCAGCAGGTTGGAAACTCCCTTTTTGGAGAATCTGCCAAAAAATATTTGGGATCTCGGTGAAGCCCATGGGAGTGGAATGTTCCTTGGTGAAAACTAGAAAGAAAATGTCCATGAAACAGCTATGTGATTTATGGATTCATCTCACAGAGTTAACCCTTTCTTTAGTTTCAGCAGTTTGGAAACACTTCTTTTGGAGGATTTGTGAAGTGACATTCAGGAGCCCATTGAGGACAATGAGAAAAAAAAAAAGAAAAGGAATATCCCCTAGTAACATCTAGAAAGATGCTATCTGTATAACAGCCTTGTATTTTGTGGATTCATCTCACAGAGGCAAACGTTTCCTTTGATTCAGCAGGTTAAAGACACTCTCCTTGGAGAATCTCTGAAGGGACATTTGGGAGCCCATTGAGGTCTGTAAGAAAAAAAAAAAAATCTCCAGGTAAAAACTAGAAGGAAGCTATCTGTGAAATTGCTTTGTGATGTGTGGATTCATCTAAGAGAGGTAAACGTTTCCTTTGATTCAGCAGGTTGGAAACTGTCTTTCTGGAAGATCTGCAAAGGAAATTTGTGATCTCAGTGAGTCCCAAGGGGAAAAAATACATATCCCCAGATAAAAACTAGAAAGAAGCTATCTGTGAAACTGCCTTGTGACTTGTGGATTCATCTCACAGAGTTAAACCTTTCTTTTGATTCAACAGCTTGGAAACATTCTTATTGGAGAATCTACAAAGGGACATTTGGGAGTTCATTGAGGTCTATGGGGAAAAAACAAATAATCCCAGGTAAAAACTAGAAAGAAGCTATCTGTGAAACTGCTTTGTGATGTGTGGATTCATCTCACAGAGTTTAAATATTCTTTTGATTCAGCAGGTTGAAAACTCTCTTTCTGGAGTATGTGTGAAGGGTCATTTGGGATCTCTTTGAGGCATAGGCAGAAAAAAACAAATATCCTTAGATAAAAACTGGAAAGGAGCTATCTGTGAGACTGCTTTGTGATGTTTGGATTCAACTCACAGTGGTAAACCTTTCTTATGATGCAGCAGGTTGGAAACACTCTTTTTAGAGAATCTGCTAAGGGACATTTGGGAGCCTATTGAGGCCTAGGGAAAAAATCAAATACCCAGAATAAATACTGGGAAGAAGCTGCATGTGAAACTGCTTTCTGATGTGTGGATTCTTCTCACAGGGTTAAACTTTCTTAGATTCAGCAGGTTCAAAACATTCTTTTTGGACAATCTGCAAAGGGACTCTAGGAAGCCTTTTGAGGTCCATGGAGATACACCAAATATCTCCTGATAAAAACTCGAAATAGGCTATCTGTGAAACTGCTTTGTGATATGTGGGTTCAACTTACAGAGTTAAACGATTCTTTTGATTCAACAGGATGGAAACACTCTTCCTGGAGACCTACAAAGGGATATTTGGGAGTCCATTGATGCCAAAGGGTTAAAAACAAAATATCCACAGGCAAAAACTAGAAAGAAGCTATTTGTGCAACTGCTTGGTGATGTGTGGTTTCATCTCACAGAGTTAAACGTTTTGTTTTGATTCAGCAGGTTGGAAACACATTTTGGGAGAATCTACAAAGGGACATTTGGGAGACCACTGTGGCCTAGGGGAATAACAGAATATCCCCAGGTAAAAACTAGAAAGAAGCTATCTGGGGAACTGTTTTGTGTTGTGTGCATTCATCTCACAAAGGTAAACTTTTCTTTTGATTCAGCGGGTTGCAATCACTCTTTCTGGTGAATCTGCAAAGGGACATTTGTGATCCCCTTCATGCATATGAAGAGAAAGGAATATTTCCAGACAAAAATTAGGAAGAAGATATCTGTGAAAATGCTCTGTGTTGCAAGGATTCATCTCACAGGGTTAAACCTTTCTTTTGATTCAGCAGGTTGAAAACACTCTTTTTGGAGAATCTGCAGGAGACATTTGGGAGCCCATGGAGGCTCCTGTGGAAAACCTGAATATTTCCAGGTAAAAACTAGAGAGAGGCTTTCTGTGTAACTGCTTTGTGATATGTGGATTCATATCACAGATTCAAACGTTTCTTTTGATTCCACCGGTTGGAAAAACTGTTTTTGTAGAATGTCTGAACCAACATTTGGGAGCCCATTTTAGCCCAAGGGAACAAATCAAATATTCCCAGATAAAAAATATAAAGAAGCTATCCGTGAAACTGCTTTGTGATGTGTGGATTCATCTTACAGTGATAAACCTTCCTTTGATTCAGCACGTTGGAAACTTTTTTTTAAGAATCTGTGAGAGGATATTTGTAAACCCATTGAGGTCTATGCAGAATAACTGAATATCCCCAGGTAAAAAGTAGAAAGAAGCTATCTGTGAAACTACTTTGTGATGTCTCAATTAATCTCACTGAGATAAACCTTTCTTTTGATTTTAAAGGTTGGAAACACTCATTTTGGAAAATTTGCCAAGAGACATTTGAGATCCTATTGAGACCAATGTGGAAAAACAGAATACCTCCAGGGAAAAACTAGAAAGAAGCTATCTGTGAAACTGCTTTGTGATGTGTGGATTGATCTCACAGTGATGAAACTTTCTTTTGACTCAGCAGTTTGGAAACATTCTTTTTGGAGAATCTGCATAGGGACATTTGGGAGCCAATTGTGGACTAAGGGAAAAAACAAATATCCCTAGGGGAAAACTGGAAAGAAGCTATCTGGGAAACTGCTTTTGGATGTGTGCATTCATCTCCCATAGTTAAACCTTTTTTTTTTTTTTTCATTTCACAGGTTGCAATCAGTCTTTTTGTAAAATCTGTGAAGGGACATTTTGGATCCCATTCAGGCCTATGAAGAAAATGGAATACATCCAGATGAAAACTAGAAAGAATCTATCTGTGAAACTACTCTGTGATGCATGAGTTAGTATTGCAGAGACAAACTTTTCTTTTGAATCAGCAGGTTGGAAATACCCTTTTTCTAGAAGCTGCAAAGGGACATTTGGGAGACCACTGCAGCCATGTTAAATAAATGAATATGGCCAAGTAAAAACTAAAAAGAAGCAATGTGTGAAACTGCTTTTTGATATGTGCGTTCATCTCAAAGAGTTAAACCTTTCTTTTGATTCAGCAGATTGGAAACACTCTTTTTGGGCAGTCTGTGAAAGGTCATTTGGAAGGCCCTTGAGGCCTATGAAGAAAAACCTAATATCCTCAGGTAAAAACTAGAAATAAACTATCTGTGAAACTGCTTTGTGATGTGTGGATTCATCTCACAGAGCTAAACTTTCCTTTTGATTCAGCAGGTTGGAAACACTCCTTTTGGAGAATCTGCAGAGGGACATTTGGGAGCCCAATGAAGCACATAGGAAAAAATATCCACAGGTAAAATTAAAGAGAAGCTATCTGTGTAACTGCTTTATGATGTGTGGATTCATCTCACAGAGATAGGCCATTCTTTTCATTCAGCAATTGGAAAGAGTCTCTTTGTTGAATATGCAAAGGGACATTTGGGATCTCATTGAGGACTATGGTGAAAAAGCAAATATCACCAGATAAAAACTAGAAAGAAGCAATCTGTGAAACTGCTTTGTGAAATGTGCATTCACCTCACTGAGTTAAACCTTTTGTTTGTTTGTTTTTGATTAAGCAGGTTGGAAATGCTCTTTTGGGGGTTCTGCAAAGAAACTTTTGGGAGCCCATTGAGGCCAATGTGAAAAGTACAACATCTCAATGTAAAACCTAGAAAGAAGCTATATGTATAACAGCTTTGTAGTTTTTGGATTCACCTCACAGAGTTAAACGTTTCCCTTTATTCAGCAGGTTGGAAACACTTTTTTGGTAGAATCTCAAAAGGACGTTTTGGAGCCAATTGAGACCAATAAAAAAACATTCCCAGTTAAAAACTAGAAAGAAGCTATCTATGAAACTGCTTTGTGATATGTGGATTCATCTCACAGAGTTAAACCTTTATTTTGATTCAGTAGGTTGGAAACTCTCTTTGTGAAGAATGTGCTGGGGGACATTTGGGAGCCCTTTGGGGCCTATGGAAAGTAACTGAATATTGCCAGAAAAAGAAAGAATCTATCTGTGAAATTTCTTTTTGATGTGTGGGTTCATCTCACAGAGTTAAAACTTTCTTTTGATTCAGCAGTTGAAAGCAGTCTTTCTGGAGAATCAGTGAAGGGACGTTTTGGAGCCCATTGCTTCCCATGTGGAAATAAGGAGTACCCCCAGTAAAATACTAGAAGGAGTACCCCCAGTAAAATACTAGAAAGAAACTATCTGTGAAACTGCTTTTTGATGTGTGGATTATCTCACAGAGTTAAACTTTTCTTTTGATTCAGCAGGTTGAAATCACTGTTTTTGAAGAATATACAAAGAGAGAGTTGGGAGCCCATTGAGGCTCAAGAATAAAACTGAATGTATCCAGGTAAAAACTGGAAAGAAGCTATCTGTATAACAGCTTTGTAGTTTGTTGATTCATCTCGCAGTGTTAAATGTTTCCTTTGATTCAGGAAGTTGGAAACACTCTGGAGGATCTGTGAAGGGATATTTGGGAGCCGTTTCAGACCTATAAGGAGAAAAAAAAAAAACAGTATTTCCAGGTAAAATTTGAAAGAAACTTCCTGTGAAGATTTTTTTTTTGTGACATTAGGATTCATTGCACAGAATTAAACACTTCTGATCCAGCAGGTTGGAAAAACTCTTTTGGGAGAATCTGCAAAAGGACATTTGGGAGACCATTGTGGCCCATGGGGATAAATTGAATGTCACCATGTAAAAACTAAAAAGAAGCTATCTGTGTACTGCTTTGTAATATGTGGTTTCATCTCACAGAATTAAATATTTCTTTTGATTGAGCAGGTTGGAAACACTCTTTTTGGGGAATGTGCAATGGAACACTTGGAAGCTCATCTAGGCCTGTGGGGTCCAAATGAATATGTCCCATTAGAGGACTAGAAAGTAGCTGTCTGTGAAACTGCTTTGTGATGTGCAGACTCATCTCACAGTGTTAAACCTTACTTTGATACAGCAGGTTGGAAACATTCTTTTTGGAGAATCAGTGAAGGGACATTTTGGAGTCCTTTGAGGCCTATGGGGAAAAACTGAATATCTTCAGAAAAAAAAAAACTGGAAAGAAGCTATCTGTGAAACTGCTTTGTGATGTGTGGATTCATCTAAATAGTTAAATCTTCCTTTTGATTCATAGGATTGGAAACAATCTTTTTGGAGGATCTGTGAAGCAACATTTGGTAGCCCATTGAGGCCTAGGTGAAAAACTACGTATCCCCAGATAAAAATTGGAAAAGAAATGTAGGTGAAACTGCTTTGTGATGTACAGATTGATCTCACAGAGTTAAACCTTTCTTTTGATTCAGCAGTTAAAAAACACTGTATTTGGAGAATCTGTGATGGGATATTTGAAAGCCCATTGAAGCCTAGAGTAAAAGCAAAATATCCCCATATCAAAATTGGAAAGAAGCTATATATGAAACTGTGTTGTGATGTGTGGATTCATCTCACAGAGGTAAACCTTTCTTTAACTCTGCAAGTTGAAAACACTCTTTCGGGAGACCTGTGAGGGGACATTTGGGAACGCTTTGAGGCTTAAGATAAATAATCGAATATCCGCAGATATAAGCTAGAAAGAATCTACCTGTGAAATTGCTTTATGTTGTGTGGATTCATCTCACAGTGTTAAATTTTGCTTTGATTCAGTAGGTGGGAAACATTATTTTTGGAGAATCTGCAAAGGAACATTTTGGAGACTTTTGAGGCCAATGGGGAAAAACAGAATATCCCCAGGAAAAAACTAGAAAGAAGCTGTCTGTGAAACTGCTTTGTGATGTCTGGATTCATCTCACAGAATTAAATATTTCTTTTGATTCAGCAGGTTGGACACCCATTTTTTGGAAAATTCCCAAAGGGACATTTGGAAGACCATTGAGGCCAACAGGGAAAAACTGAATATCTGTAGGTAAAAACTAGAAAGAAGTTATCTGTGAAACTGCTTTATGATGTGTGGATTCATCTCACAGAGTGAAACATTTCTTTTGATTCAAAAGATTGGAAATGCTCTTTTTGAGCAATCTGTGAAGGGAAAAACTGCATATCCTTAGGTAAAAACTAGAAAGAAAGTATCTGTGAAACTGCCTTATTTGATGTGGATTCATTTCACAGAGTTAAACATTTCTTTTGATTCAGGATGTTGGAATCATGCTTTCCGGAGAATCTGTGAAAAGACATTTGGGAGCCCATAGAGGCCTATAAGGAAAACCCCAATGCCTCCCCAAACCTAGAAATAATATATCTGTGAAACTGCTTTGTGATGTGTGGAGTCATCTTGCAGAGTTAGACGTTTCTTCTGATTCAGCAGGTTGGAAGCAGTTTTTTTTGGAGAATGTGTAAAAGAAAATTTGGAAGCACAGTGAGACCCATGGGGAAAAACAAAATATACCCAGGTAACAACTAGAAAGAAGCTATCAGTATGACTGCTTTGTGATGTGTGCTTCATTTCTCAGTGTTAAACGTTTCTTTCAATTCAGCAATTTGGAAACACTCTTTTTGAGAATCTGAGAAGAGACTTTGGGAACCCATTGAAGATTATGGGGAAAAACACAATATCCCCAGGTAAAAAATAGAAAAAAGCTATCAAAGAACCTGCTTTGTGATGTGTGGATTCATCTCACAGAGATAAACATTTCTTTTGAGTCAGCAGGTAAAAGACACTCTTTCTGGAGAATCTACAATGGAACATTCGGGAGCCCATTGAATCTTATGGGGAAAAACTGAATATCCCTAGGTAAATACTAGGAAGAATATCTGTAAAACTACTTTGTGATGTGTGGATTCATTTAACAGAGGTAAAACGTCCTTTCTATTCAGCAGGTTGGAAACACTCTTTTTGGGAAATCTGTTTAGGGACATTTGGAACCCCATTGAAGCCTAGAGGAAAAACTGAATATCACAGATAAAAATTGGAAATAAGATGTATGAGAAACGGCTTCATGAGGTGTGGATCATCTCACAGAGTTAAATCTTTCTTTTGATTCAGCAGGTTGGAAACATGTTTTTTGGAGAATCTACGAAGGGATATTTGGGAGCTCATTCAGGCCCATGGAGAAAAACAAAATATCCCCAGGCAAAAACTCGAAGGAAGGTATCTATGAAACTGCTTTGTGATGTGTGGATTCATCTAACAGAGTTAAAACTTTCTTTTGATTCAGCAGGATGGAAACACTCTTTTTGGGGAATCCACAAAGGGACACTTAGGAGCCCTAGGGGCCCATGTGGAAAAACAGAATGTACCCAGGTAGAAACAAAACAAGCTGTCTGTCAAACAACCTTGTGATATGTGGATTCATCTCACAGAGTTAAAACTTTCTTTGGATTCAGCAGGTTGGAAACACTCTTTTTGGAGTATCTGTGAAGGGACATTTGGAAGTCCATTGAGGCCAATGGGGAAAAATGGAATATCCAATGATAAAAACTAGAAAGAAGCTGTCTGTGAAACTGCTTTGTGATTTGCAGATTCAGCAAACAGAGTTAATCCTTTCTTTTGATTGGACAGGTTGAAAACACTTTTTTTTTTTTTTTTTTTTTTTTTTGGAGAATCTGTGAAGCGACATTTTAGATCCCATTAAAGATCATGGGGAAAGTCAGAATGTTCTCAGGTAAAAACTTGAAAGAAGCTATGTGTGAAACTGCTTTGTGATTTGTGGATTCATCTCAGAATTAAACCTTTCTTTTGATTCAGCAAGTTAGAAAATCTCAGCCAGGTGGGGTGGCTCATGCCTCTAATCCCAGGACTTTGGGAGGCTGAGGCAGGTGGATCACAAGGTCAGGAGATCGACACAGTCCTGGATAACATGGTGACACCCCATCTCTAATAAAAATACAAAAATTTTAGCCAGAAATAGTGGTGGGTGCCTGTAGTCCCAGCTACTTGGGAGTCTGAGGCAGGAGAATGGCATGTAACCAGGAGGTGGAGCTTGCAGTGAGTGGGAAATTGCACCACTGCACTCCAGCCTGGGTGACAGAGCAAGACTCCACCTCCAAAAAAAAAAAAAAAAGAAAAGAAAATGTCTTGTTGGAGTATATGCAAAGGGATATTTAGGAGCCCATTGAGGCCCATGTGGAAAAACTGAATATTCCCAGGTAAAAACAAGAAAAAAGCTGTCTGTGAAACTCATTTGTGATGTGTAGATTCATCTCACAGGGTTAAAAGTTTCCTTTGATTCAGCAGTTTGGAAACACTCTTTTTTAGAGATTCTGCTAAGGGATATTTGTGAGCCCATTGAAGCCTATGGGGAAAATCCAAAAATCCCTAGGTAAAAAACTAGAAAGAAGGTATCTGTGAAACTGCTTTGCCATGTGTGGATTCATCTCATAGAGATAAACCTGTTTTTTGACTCAGCAGGTTGAAACACTCTTTATGGAGGATCTGCAAAGGGACGTTTGGAAGCCCATTGAGGCCAATGTGAAAAACCAAATATTGTCAGGTAAAAACCAGAAAGAAGCTATCTGTAAAACTACTTTGTGGTTTGTCGATTCTTCTCACAGAGTTAGGCGTTTTCTTTGATTCAACAGGTTGGAAAAAATCTTTTTGGAAAATTTGCAAAGGGACATTTGGAGCCCATTGAGGCATACAGGGAAAAACCCAATATCCCCAGGTAAAAACTAGAAAAAACTTTCTATGAAACTTCTTTATGATGTGTGGATTCATCTTACTGAATTAAACGTTTCTTTAGATTTAGCAAGTTGGAAACCCTCTTTTTGGAGAATCTGCAAAGGGATTTTTGGGAGCCCATTGAGGCCCATGAGAAGAAACTGAATTTCCACAGGAAAAACTAGAAAGAATCTGTGCAACAGCTTTGTGATGTGTGGATTCATCTCATAGAGTCAAATCTTTCTTTCGATTCAGCAGGTTAAAAACACTGTTTTTGGAGAATCTATGAAGGGATTTTTGGCAGCCCATTAAGGTCTACTGAGAAAAAAACAAATATCCTCAGGTAAAAACTAGAAAGAAGCTATCTGTGAAACTGCTTTTGTTCATGTGTGGATTTATCTCACAGAGTTAAACCTTTCTTTGGATTCAGCAGATTAAAAACACTCTTTTTGGAGAATCTGCATAGGGACATTTGGGAGTCCATTCAGGCCTATGTGGAAAAACCCAACATCCCCAGCAAAAAATTAGAAAGAAACTGTCTGTGAAATTGCTTTCTGATGTGTGGATTTGTCTCACAAAGTTAAAACTTTCTTTTGATTTATCTGGTTGGAAATGTGGGAAAGAGAGTTTCTGGGGTGCCAGTTGTGTTGGTCTTCCCTGTGTGAGACACCCATGGAAAGCCATGGGTGGCCTCTGAGGAAAAACGTCTCCTTATTACCTTCAGGTTTTTATGCCTCTAGAGCATAACCACTCAGCAGCATTCCACAGTTTTCTCAGGGAGATAATACTCCCTTGAAGCAGTGGAGTATAGTCAAACATCTGGGCTTCTCCTAAAACCTGCTCCCACCTGTTTCAGTCCCAATAAGTTAAAGATCTTAAGTAGTTTAGACACACTCCTCTCCACAAGGAAATACATAGAAATCACCACTGCTGTAGTCTTATCAAATGACTCACAAGATCTCCTTCACTGATTAATCCTTTTCTTCATTCCTTGCTCCCCCTCTCATCTGCTGTAAGAACAGCCTGTATATCAATAGATTGTGTGGAGCCTGAGAGCTCTGGGCTGTGAGCAAACCTTCAATGCTCCAGTCCCCTAGACCCACATTTTAAACACTTATTCTGTCTAACTCTTTTTTCTCCACCAGAGTCAGTGTACCCACTGGGTAGTGCGGGGCTGGTTTCCCCAATATCTGGCACCCAACGCAGGTATCCCTGTAATATCTACAAATAATCCAGTGAAGAAATGCCAGAGCATGGAAAGTGGAGCGTGACTGACAAAGGACACCCACGTACGTTTTTACTTCAGGATCTATGGAGAATTCCATGGTAACCTCAGGAAAATATGGATCAGGCTGAAAGTAAGTTTACTAATTACTTAAGCCTGGTGCCACAGTTATTGTGTCACAGTGGGACAATTGTGAGTACCTGAAATCTCACATCTTTGTTCCATCTCATAGAAGAGTATTCTCCTTGGTTCCCAGAATATGGCACCAGGAATATAAAAGATTGGTATAAGGTTGGTTCAGACTTAAAACCAGCACAGCAAGAGAGCCACAACATTCCTTTCTCCACTTGGTCTGTGTGGTTGGCAACTAAAACAGCACTGAAGTGCTTCCTCACTGAGGAGGAAGGAGTAGGAGTTTCAGGATGACGTAGAAAAGTTTAATAATCAGAAGTCTGATGATCAGCAAAGTGAACCATCACAGTCTAGGTTTAAAAAGGGGGAGAAATGGGAAGCTATATATGCTAACCTCCAAAAAATTAAGAAAGGAACAGTTCCAACTACTGCAGAAACAGTACCACCTACTGTGCCTTTAAGGGAAGGCCTGGAATGGCCACCCCTGCCTCAGCCTTATGAATTTTTGGAAAGGGAGCCTGAGATGTGGCTTACTACTCTAAATGTTGCATGTCCCACCATTAACTATGGTGAAGGGAAGCTTCAGGCTTGCCCAACAGCCAATTACAGTGAGAGAATGATCGCGGCTTGTCCACCAGTTAATTATGGTAAAGGAATGCTCCAAGCCAACCCAAATACAAATTATGATTCAGGGAGGAGGCCAGAGAACATGCTCAAGCACACTGGGAGCTGTTTCCTCTTAAAATATTAAAAGACTTAAAGCAATCAATTGGACAATATGGACCAAATTCTCCTATGTTCATTCCTTATTACAATCTGTGGCTTATAACCAACATTTAATATGGATTAGAAGTCATTAGCCTGATCAACCCTGTCCCTCTCTCAATTTCTGTAATTTAAAACCTGGTGGATGGATGAAGCAACAAATCAGGCATGCAGAAATGCTCAAGCCTAACCTCCCATTAATATCACATCTGATCAATTGCTTGGAATTGGACAGGCATGAGGTACTGGAAATCAACCAATGGTAATGGGTGTTGAAGCTGTTGATCATCTCAGAAATATATGCCTAAGAGCCTCGAAAAAGTTCATGACCCTGGTACTACTTACCCTTCTTCTAACTCAGTTCAACAGGCTCCAAGAGAGCTTTATCCAGATTTTGTCACCCTTTTGCAAGACACAGCTCAAAAGGCCACTTTGGATTATCAAGTCAAGAAAGTGATCCGTGAAGGAAAATTTTGGAGTCTGCTGAAACCTATGGGGAAAAACATTATATTCATAGGTAAAAACTAGAAAGAAGCTATCCGTGGAACTGTTTTATGATGTGTGGATTCACCTCACAGAGATAAAACTTTCTTTTGATTCAGCAGGTTTGAAACACTCTTTTTGGAGAATCTGCAATGAAACATTTGAGAGTGCACTGAGGCCTATGAGGAAAAACTGAATATCTCCAGAAAAAAACTAGAAAGTAGCTATCTGTGAAACTGCCTTGTGATATCGGGGTTTATCTCACAGGGTTAAAGCTGCCTTTTGATTCAGAAGTTAGAAACACTGTTTTTGGAAAATCTGCAAAAAGACATTTGGAAGGCCATTGAAGCCTCTGGGAAAAAAAACAAATATCTTCAGAAAAAAACTAGAATCTCTCTGTAAAACTACTTTCTGATGTGTAGATTCATCTAACAGAGTTAAACCTTTCTTTTCATTCAGCAGGTTGTAAACACTCTTTTTGTGGAATCTGCAAAGGCACATATTGGAGCTCACTGAAGCATAAGTGAAAAACAAAGTATCCTCAGATAGAAACTAGAAAGAAGCTATCTGTGAAACTGCTTTGTAATATTTGGATTGATCTCAAAGAGTTAAACCTTCCTTTTGATTCAGTAAGTTGTAAACACTCTTTTTAATGAATCTCCAAAGGGACTTTTTGAGCCCATTGAGTCCTTGGGGAGAAACTGAATATCCCCAGGTGAAAATTATAAAGAAGCTATCTGTGAAACTGCTTTCTGATATTTGGATTCATGTCACAGAATTAAAATTTCCTTTTTATTCAGCAGGTTGGGAACACTGTTTTTGGAGAATCTGTGAAGGCATATTTGGGAGACCTTTGAGTTTTATGCAGAAAAACATAATTTCAAGAGATAAAAACTAGAAAGAAGCTATTTGTGAAACTGTTTTGTGACTTGTGGATTCATTCCACAGAGTTAAAGCTTTCTGTTGATTCAGCAGGTTGAAAACCCTCTTTTAGGAGAATGTGCAATAAAACATTTGGGAGCCCTTTGAGGCATATGGGGAGAAACGAAACATCTCCATTTAAAAACTAGAAAGAAGTGAGGGAGTGATCCAAGATGGCCGAATAGGAACAGGTCCAGTCTACAGTTCCCAGAGTGACACAGAAGACAGGTAATATCTACATTTCCATCTGAGGTACTGGGTTCATCTCTCTGGGGCCTTTTGGACAGTGGGTGCAGCCCATGGAGTGTGAGCTGAAGAAGGGTGGGACATTGCCTCACCTGGGAAGCACAGGGGGTCGCAAAATTCCCTTTCCTAGCCAAGGGAAGACATGACAGATGGTACTGAAAAATCAGGACACTCCCATCCTAATACTGCACTTTTCCAACAGTCTTAGCAAATGGCACAACAGGAAATTACATTCCATTCCTGGCTCAGAGGGTCTGACACCCACAGAGCTTTGCTCACTGCTAACACAGCAGTCCAAGATCAAGCTGCAAGGCAACTGCAAGGCTGAGGGAGTGGTATACACCATTGCTGAGGCTTCAGTAGGTAAACAAAGCAGCTGGGAACTTCAAACTGGGTGGGGCCCATCACAGCTCAATGAGGCCTGCCTGCTACTGTGGACTCCACCACTGGGGGCAGGATATAGCTGAACAAAAGGCAGCAGAAACTTCTGCAGACATAAGTCCCTGTGTGACAGCCTTGAAGAGAGTAGTGGTTCTTCCAGCATGAAGTTTGGGATCTGAGAATGGACAGACTACCTCCTCAAGTCATTCCCTGACCCCCAAGTAGCCTAACTGAGAGACAACTCCCAGTAGGGGCTGACTGACACCTCATACAGCTGGGTGCCCCTCTAAGACGAAGCTTCCAGAGGAAAGATCAGGCAGCAACATTTCTTTTTGTGCAGTATTTGCTCTTCTACAGCCACCACTGGTGATACCCAGACAAAGAGGACCTGGAGTAGACTTCCAGCAAAGGCCAACAGAGCTGAAGCTGAGGGCCCTGGCTTTTAGAAGGAAAACTAACAAACAGAAAGGAATAGCATCAACATCAACAAAAAGAACATCCATGCCAAAGCCCCATCTGAAGTTCACCATCATCAAAAACCAAAGGTAGATAAAACCACAAAGATGGGCAGAAACCAGAGCAAAGAAGCTGAAAATTCTAAAAATCAGTGTCTTTTCTCCTCCAAAGGAAAACAAGCTCCTCCTCAGCAACAGAACAAAGCTGGAGGGAGAATGACTTTGATGAGTTGACAGAAGTAGGCTTCAGAAGATTGGTAATAACAAATTTTCCGAGCTAAAGAAGGATGTTTGAACACATTGCAATGAAGTTAAAACTTAGAATAAAGATTAGACGATTGGCTAACTAGAATAAACAGCATAGAGAAGACCTTAAATGACCTGATGGAGCTGAAAACCATGGCACGAGAACTATGTGATTCGTGCACAAGCTTCAAAAGCTGATTCAATCAAATGGAAGAAAGCATATCAGTGATAGAAGATAAAATTAATGAAACAATGCAAGAACAGAAGTTTAGAAAATAAAGAGTAAAAAGAAACAAATAAAGCCTCCAAGAAATACGGGACTATGAAAAAAGACCAAATCTACATCTGATTAGTGTACCTGAAAGTGACAGGGAGAATGGAACCAAGTTTGAAAACACTAGGCAGGATATTTTCTGGGACAACTTCCCCAATCTAGCAAGGCAGACCAACATTCAAATTCAGGAAATAGGGAGAATGCTGTAAAGATATTCCTCAAGAAGAGCAAACACAAGACACATAATTGTCAGATTCACCAAGGCTGAAATGAAGGAAAAAATGTTAAGGGAAGCCAGAGAGAAAAGTTGGGTTTCCCACAAAGGGAAGTCCATCAGACCAACAGCTGATCTCTTGGCAGAAACTCTACAAGCCAAAGAGAATGGGGGCCTATATTCAACATTCTTAAAGGAAAGAATTTTCAATCCAGAATTTCATATCCAGCCAAACTAAGCTTCATAAGTGAAGGAGAAATAAAATCCTTTACAGACAAGCAAATGCTAAGAGATTTTGTCACCACCAGGCCTGCCCTACAAGAGCTCCTGAAGGAAGCACTAATAATGAAAAGGAACAAACAGTAACAGCCACTGCAAAAACATGCTAAACTGTAGACCATCAATACTAGGAAGAGACTGCATCAACTAACGAGCAAAAATAACCAGCTAACATACTAATGACAGTATCAAATTCAGACATAACAATATTAACCATCAATATAAATGGGCTAAATGCCCCAATTAAAAGACAGACTGGCAAATTGAATAGTGTCAAGACCCATCAGTGTGTTGTATTCAGGAGATCCATCTCATATGCAGAGACACACATTGGCTCAAAATAACCGGACGGAGGAAGACCTACCAAGCAAATGGAAAACAAACAAACAAAAAGCAGGGTTTTCAATCCTAGTCTCTGATAAAACAGACTTTAAACCAACAAAGATCAAAAGAGACAAAGAAGGCCATTACATAATGGTAAAGTGATCAATTCATCAAGAAGAGCTAACTATCCTAAATACATATGCATCCAATACAGAAGCAACCAGATTCATAAGGCAAGTTCTTAGAGACTACAAAGAGACTTAGAATCCCACACAATAATAACGGGAGACAGTAACACCCCACTGTCAAAAATAGACAGAGCAACAAGACAGAAACTTAACAAGGATAACCAGGACTTCAACTCAGCTGTGGACCAAGTGGACCTAGTAGACATCTACAGAACTCTCCACCCCAAATCAAAACAATATACATTCTTCTCAGCACCACATCACACTTATTCCAAAATTGACCACATAGTTGGAAGTAAAGCACTCCTAAGCAAATGTAAAAGAACAGATATTATAACAATCTCTCTCTCTGATGAAAATGCAATCAAATTAGAACTCAGGATTAAGAAACACACTCAAAACCACACAACTACATGGATATTGAACAACCTGCTCCTGAATGACTGCTGGGTAAATAATGAAATGAAGGCAGAGATAAAGATGTTCTTTGAAACCAAACAGAACAAAGACTAAACATACTAGAACCTCTGGGACACATTTAAAGCAGTGTGCAGAGGGAAATTTATAGCACCAAATCCCACAAGAGAAAGCAGGAAAGACCTAAAATTGACAGCCTAACATCACAATTAAAAGAACTAGAGAATCAAGAACAAACACATTCAAAAGCTAGCAGAAGTTGAGAAATAACTAAGATCAGAACACAACTGAAGGAGATAGAGACGTTAAAAAAAACCCCTTCAAAAATAAATGAATCCAGGAGCTGGTTTTTTTGGAAAGATCAACAAAATTGATAGACCACTAGCAAGACTAATACAGAAGAAAAGAGAAGAATCGAATATAGGCAATAAACCTTCCCAAGACTAAACCAGGGAGACGTTGAATCCCTGAATAGACCAATAAGAGGCTCTGAAATGGAGACGATAATTAGTAGCCTACTAACAAAAAAAGTGCAGGACCAGACGGATTCACAGCTGAATTCTACCAAAGGTACAAAGAGGAGCTGATACCATTCTTTCTGAAACTATTCCAATCAATACGAAAAGAGGGAATCCTCCCTAACTCATTTTATGAAGCCAGCATCATCCTGATACCAAAGCCTGGCAGAGACATAACAAAAAAAGAGAATTTTAGACCAATATCCCTGATGAATATTGAAGCAATAATCCTCAATAAAATACTGCCAAACCGAATCCAGCGGCACATCAAAAAGCTTATCCTGCACAATCCAGTTGGCTTCATCCCTGGGAGGCAAGGCTGTTCATCATATGGGAATCAATAAACGTAATCCATCATATAAAGAGAACCAAAGACAAAAACCACATTATTGTCTCAATATATGCAGAATAGACTTTTCACAAATTTCAACAGCCCTTCATGCTAAAAATTCTCAATAAACTAGGTATTGATGGGACATATCTCAAAATAATAAGAGCTATTTATGACAAACCCACAGCTAATATCCTATTGAGTGGGCAAAAACTGGAAGCATTCACTTTGAAAACTGGCCCAAGGCAGGGATACCCTCTTACCACTCCTATTCAATATAGTGTTGGAAGTTCTGGCTAGAACAATCAGGCAGGGGAAAGAAATAAAGGGTATTCAATTAGGAAATGAGGAAGTCAAATTGTCCCTCTTTGCAGATCACATGATTTTATACTTAGAAATCTCCACTGTCCCAACCCAAAATCTCCTTAAGCAGATAAGCAACTTCAGCAAAGTCTCAGGATACAAAATCAAAGGGCAAAAATCACAAGCATTCCTATACACCAATAACAGACAAACAGAGAGGCAAAACATGAGTGAACCCCCATTCACAATTGCTTCAAGGAGGATAAAATACCTAGGAATCCAACTTCCAGGGGACATGAAGGACCTCTTCAAGGAGAACAACAAAGCACTGCTCAAAGAAATGAAAGAGGACACAAACAAATGGAGGAACATTTCATGCTCATGGTTCAGCAAGTTGGAAACAATCTCCTTGGAGAATCTGCAAAGGAACTTTTGTAAGTCCACTGAGGCCTTTTGGGAAAAACTCAATATCCCCAGATAAAAACAAGAAAGAAGCTGCCTGTGTAACTACTTTGTGATGTGTGTATTCAACTCACAAAGTTAAAACTTTATGTGGATTCAGCAGGTTGGAAATGCTCTTTGTGGAGAATCTGCAAATGGACATTAGGCAGTCCATTGAGGCCTAAGGGGAAAATCAGAATATCCCCAGAAAAACTAGAAAGTAGCTTTCTGTGAAACTGCTGTGTGATGTTTTAATTAATCTCACAGGGTTAAAAATTTATTTTGATTCGGCAGTTTGAAAACACTCGGTTTGAGGAATCTGCTAAGGGGCATTTGGGATTCCATTCAGGCCTATCGGGAAAAGTCAAATATCCCGGGGTAAAAACTGGAAAGGATCTCTCTGTGAAACTGCTTTGTGATGTGTAAATTTATCTCACAGAGGTAAAACTTTCTTTTGTTTCAGCAGGTTGGAGACAACTCTTTTTGAAGAAATTGCAAAAGGGCATTTGGAAGCCCACTGTGGCTCATGGGGAAAAACTGAATATCCTGAGACAAAAACTAGAGAGAAGCTATCCTTGAAACTGCTATGTGATGTATGGATTCATCTCACAGAGTTAAACCTTTTTCTGATTCAGCAGGTTGGAAACACTCTGGGACATTTGAGAGCCACTGAGGCCTAAGGGGAAAAACAGCTACTTGGGAGACTGGGGGAGGAGAATGGCATGAACCTGTGAAGCAGAGCTTGTGGTGAGCCGAGATTGCACCACTGCACTCCAGCCTGGGTGACAGAGCAATAATCCATCTCAAAAAAAAAAAAAAAAAAAAAAAAAAAAAGACTTTCTATTGATTCAGCAGATGGAAAAACTCTTTTTGTAGATTATGCAAAGAGATACTTTAGAGCACAGTTAAGACGTATGGTGGTAACAGAATATCCCACAATAAAAACAACAGAAAATAGCTGTCAGTGTAACTTATTTGTATTGTGTGGATTTAGCTCACAGAGTTAAACCTTTCTTTTGATTCAGCAGTTTGGAATTACTCTTTTTGTGGATTGTATGAAGGGATATTTCAGAGCCTGCTATGCCCTATAGTGAAAAACAAAATATCTTGTGACAAAGTCCAGAAAGAAGCTATCTGTGAAACTGCTTTGTGGTGTCTGCATTCAGCTCACAGAGTTAAACCTTTCTTTTTATTCCACAGTAGGGAAACACTCTTTTATAGAATCTAGAACAGACATTTCAGAGCCCACCATGCAAATAGGAAAAATTTTGACTATCTTGTGATAAAATCTAGAAAGTAGCTATCTGTGAAACTGAATTATGAAGTGTCGATTCAGCTCACAAAATTAAACTGTTTTTTTGACTCAGCAGTTTTGAAACACTCTTTTTGTAGAATCAGTGAAGGGACATTTCAGTGCACAGTAAGTCCTATAGTGAAAAGCTGAATATTCTGTGATAAAAACTACGAAGAAGAAATCTGTGTAATTGTTTTGTGATATGTGCATTCAACTCACAGAGTTAAACCTATCTTTTGATTCTGCAGGTTGGAAACACTCTTTTTGTAGAATCTGTGAGGGGCAATTCAGAGAACAGCAAGGCCTATAATGAAACACCAAATATGCCCAGACAAAAACTGGAAAGAAGTTATCTGTAAAACTGCTTTGTGATGTATGCATTCAGCTCAGAGTTAAACCTTCCCATTGATTCAGCTGTTTGGAAACACTCTTTTGTAGAATCTGCAAAGGTACATTTCAAAGTGCATTAAGGCCTATAGCAAAAAAACGAATATCCCTAAACAAAAAGTAGAGAGAAGTTGTCATAGAACTTCTTTCTGATATGTGCATTCAGCTCACAGGGTTAAACCTTACCATTGATTCAGCAGTTTGGAAACACTCCTTTTGTAGATTCAGCAAAGGGACATTTGGGAGGGCATTGAAGTCTATAGTGAAGCATCAAATATTCCTTGATAAACAATTGAAAGAAACTCTCTGTAAAACTGCTTTGTGAGGTATGGATTCAGTTTACAGATTTAAACCTTTTTTTTTCATTCAGCAGTTTGGAAACACTCTTTTTGTAGAATCTGCAGGAGACATTTCAGAGTGCAGTAAAGCCTATAGTGAAAAACCAATTATCTCACAATAAAAACTATAAAGAAGTTATCTCTGAATCTGATTTGTGATGTGTGCATTCAGCTCACAGAGCTAAACCATTGTTTTCATTCAGCAGTTTGGAAACACTGATTTTTAAACTCTACCAAGAGACACTTTGGAGTATATTGAGATCCACAGTGAAAAACCGAAAAGCCCGGGATAAAAACTAGTAACAAGCTATCTGTGAAACTGCTTTGTGATGTGTGCATTCAGCTCACAGAATTAAGCCTTTGTTTTGATTCAGCAGATTGGAAACATCCTTTTTGTAGAATCTACAAAGTGATATTTTGGGGTGCAGTAAGGCCTACAGTGAAAAACAGAATATCTCAAAATAAAAACTAGTAAGAAGTTACTTGTGAAATTGCTTTGTGATGTGTGCATCCAGCTCACAGAGTTAAATTTAACTTTTGATTCAAAAGTTTGGGAACACTCTTTGTCTAGAATCGGTGAAGGGATATTTCAAAGGGCATTGAGGTCTATACTGAAAAAATGAATATGCCACTATTAAAACTAGAAAAATAATTGACTGCGCATCGTGGCTTATGCCCCTAGTCCTAGCATTGTGGGATGCTGTGTGGGTGGATCACGAGGTCAGGAGTACAAGACAAGCCTGGCCAAGATGGTGAAACCCCGTCACTAGTATAAAAACAAAAATTAGCTGGGCACAGTGACAGGAGCCTAAATCTCAGCTACTTGGTACGTTGAGGCTGGAGAATCACTTGAACCAGGGTGGCAGAAGTTGCAGTGTGCCAAGATCCAGCCTCTGCACCCCAGCCTGGTTGACAGAGTGAGACTCCATCTCATAAAAAAAATCTAGAAAGAATCTATCTGTGAAGCTCCTTTGTGATGTGTGCGTTCAGCTCACAGAGTGAAACCTTTATTTTGATTCAGCAGATTGGAAACCCTCTTTTTACAGTACCTATAAAATGACATTTTGAGGCATAGTAAGGCCTACAGTGAAAAACAGAATATCCCAAAATAACTAGTAAGAAGCTACTTGTGAAACTGCTTTGTGATGTATAAATTCTGCTCAGATAATTAAACCTTACTTCTGATTCAGCAGTTTGGAAACACTCTTTTGGTAGAATCTGTGAAGCGACACTTAGGAGCCCACTGAGGCAAATAGTGAGAAATGGAATATCCCAAAATAAAAATTTGAAAGATACTATCTGCGAAACTCCTTTGTGTTGTGTGCTTTCAGTTCGTGGTGTACAGCATTACATTTGATTCAACAATTTGAAAACACACTTTTTGTAGGATCTGTGAAAGGATATTTCAAGGCCCAGAAGGCCTGTACTGAAAAACACTATATCCCATGATAAAAACTAGAAAGAAGCTGTCAATGAAACTGTTTTGTGATTTGTGCATTAAACTCGTAGAGTGAAACCTTTCTCTTTTTTTAATTCAGAAGTTTGGAAGCACTCTTTTTGTAGAATCTGAGAAGGCACATTTATGAGGGTATTGAGGCCTATAGTGAAAAACCAAAAATCTTCTGATAAAAACTAGAAAGAAGCTTTCTGTGAAACTGCTTTGTGATGTGTGGATTCAGCTCATAGAGTTAAACCTTTCTTTTAATTCAGCAGTTTGGAAACCCTCATTGTGTAGAATCTGCAAAGGGACATTTGGGAATGCACTGAGGCATATAGTGAAAAACTGAATATCCCACGACAAAAACTACAGAAAAACCTATCCATGAAACTACCTTGTGACGTGCGAATTCAGATCACAGAGGTAATCCTGTCCTTTGATTCAGCAAGTTGGAAACACTCTTTTTTGTAGTATTTGCAAAGGGACAATTTGGAGGGCATTGAGGCCTATAGTGAAAAACCGAATATACCACAATGAAAACCTAGAAGAAGCTATCTTTGAAACTTCTTTGTGATGCATGCATTCAGCTCGTAGAGTGAAATCTTTTGTTTGATTCAGCAGGTTGGAAACACACTTTTTGTAGAATCTGCAAAGGGTTTTGGAGCTCTTTGGGGCATATAGTGAAAACCTGAATATCTCTGGATAAAACCTAGAAAGAAGATATTTGTGAAACTGCTTTTGATGTGTGCATTCAGTTCACAAAGTTGAATCTTCCTTTTGAATCAGATGTTTTTAAACAGCTTCTTTATAGAGTCTGTGAAGAAACAATTTAGAGACCACAGAGCCCTGTAGTGAAAAACCAAGTATCCTGAAATAAAAACAAGAAAGAAGATATTTGTGAACGTGTTTTGTGACATGTGCATGCAGTTCACAGAGTTAAACCTTACTTTTGATTCAGTAGTTTTGAAACACTCTTTTTGTAGAATCTGCAAAGGGACATTTCAGAGCCCACTGAGTCCTAAAAGTGAAAAACTGAATATCACAAAATAAAATATCCTAGAAAGAATCTACCCACCAAACTTCTTTGTGATGTGTGCATTCAGTTCACAGAGTGAAACCTTTCTTTTGATTCAGCAGACTGGAAACACTTTTTCTAGAATCTACAAAGCGACATTTTGGGGTACAGTAAGTCCTACAGTGAAAAACAGATCACAAAATAAAAACTGGGAAGAAGCTATTTGTGAAACTGCTTTGTGATGTGTACATTAATGTCAAAGATTTCAACCTTAATTTTGATTCAGCAGTTTGGAAACACTCTTTTTGTAGAATCTGCAAAGTGACACTGCAGACCTCACTGAGGCCTATAGTGAAAAACTGAATATCCCAAAATAACATCTAGAAAGAAGCTATCTGTGAAACTGCTTTGTGACATACACATTCAGTTCGCATTTTTCAATGTAACGTTTGACTCAACAGTTTCAAAATATTCCTCTTATAGTATCTGCAAAGAAACATTTTGGTGCCCACTGAGGCACCAAATATATGAAAAAAATATATATCCTAAAATGAAAATGAGAAACTGTGGAACTGTGAAACTGTAAATCTGTGAAACTGCTTTCTCATGTGTGGATTCAGCTTTCAGGGTTGAACCTTTCTTTTGATTAAGCAGTTTGGAAACACCCTTATTGCGGAATCAGCCAGGGGACATTTCAGTCCACTGAGACCTGTAGTGAAAAACAGAATATCCCATGATAAAACTAGAAAGAAGCTATCTGTGAAACTGCTTTCTGATGTGTACCTTCAGCTCACAGAGTTAAAACTTACTTTTGATTCAGCAGATTGGAATGGCTCTTTTTGTAGAATATGCAAATGGAAATTTTGGAGGGGATTGAGGCTTACAGTAAAAAACCGAATATCTCATGATAAAAACTAGAAAGAAAGTATCTGTGAAACTGCTATGTGATGTGTGGATTCAGCTCACAGAATGAAACCTTTCTTTTGATTCATCAGTTTGGAAATATCCCATGACAAAAACTCAAAAGAAGCTATCTGTGAAACTGCTTTGTGATGTCTGCATTTGGCTTACAGAGTTAATCCTTTCTTTTGATTCAACAGTTTAAAAACACCCTTTTTGCAGAATCTCTGAAGGGAGAATTTAAAGGGCACTGAGGGCTTAAGTGAAAAACAAAATATCCTGAAATAAAAACAAGAAAGGAGCTAGCTGTGAACCTGTTTTGTGACGTCTGTATGCACTTCACAGAGTTAAACCTTACTTTGGATTCAGCAGTTTGGAAACACTCTTTTTGTAGAATCTGTGAAGGGACATTTCTGAGCCCACTGAGGCCTGTAGTGAAAAACTGAATATCTTGAAATAAAAACTAGAAAGAAGCTGTTTGTGAAACTGTTTTGTGATGTATGCATTCAGCTTACAGAGTTAAGCCTTACTTTTGATTCAGCAGTTTGGAAACGTTCTTTTTGTAGATTGTGTGTCAGAACATTTCAAAAGGCATTGAGGCCTATAGTGAAAAACTGAATATCCTTTGATAAAGACTAGAAAGAAGCTATATAGAAAACTGATTTGTGATGTGTGGATTCAGCTCAGAGACTGAAACCTTTCTTTTGATTAGGCATGTTGTAAACACTATTTTTGTAGAATCTATTAAGGAATTTTCTCAGCCCGCTGAGGCCTATAGTGAAACACAGAATATCAAGCCATAAAAATGGGAAAGATACTGTCTGTGAATTTGCTTTTTGAGTTGTGAATTCAGCTGACAAAGTTAAACCTGTCTTTGATTCAGTAGGCTAGAAACAGTTTTTTGTGGAATCAACCAAGGGACATATCACACCTCACTGAGACCTATAGTAAATGTCAAATATCTCACAATACAATTTAGAAAGAAGCTATCTGTGAAACTGCTTTGTGATTTGTGGATTCACCTCACACACTTAAGCTTTTTTATTTGATTCAATAGTTTTGAAGCACTCTTTATGTAGAATATGTGAAGAAACGTTTCAGAAGCCCCTGAGGTCTTTATTGAATAACCTAATATCCTGTGATAAAAACTAGAAAAAAGCTATCTGGGAAACTGCTTTATGGTGTGTACATTCAGCTCACAGATTTAAACTTTTCTTTTACTAAGAAGTTTGGAAACACACTTTTTGTACAATCAGCAAAGGGAGATTTTGCAGTTCAGTGAGGCCTATGGTGAAAAAAATGCATATCCCATGATAAATCTACAAAAATCTATCTGTGAAACTGCTTTGTGATGAGTCCATTCAGCTTTCTTTTGATTCAGCTTTTTTTGATTCCATAGGATGGAAACTCTTTTTGTAGAATCTGTAAAGAGACAGTACAAAGTTAACTGAGTTCTCTAGGGAAAAACTAATTATCCTGTAATAAAAACTAGAAAGAAGCTATCTGTGAAGCTTCTTTGCTCTGTGTGTATTCAGCTTACAGTGCTAACCTTACTTTTATTCAGCTATTTGGAAACAGTCTGAAGAATCTACAAAGGGACATTTTGGAACACAGTGAGGTCTACAGTGAAAATCAGAATATCCCACAATAAAAACTGGAAAAAAGGTATCTGTAGAACTGCTTTGTGATGTGTGGTTTCATCTTGCAGGATGAAACCTTTCTTTTGATTAAGCAGATTGGAAAGACTGTTTTTGTAGAATTGGCAAAGCATCATTTTGAAGGTCATTAAGACCCACAGTGAAAAACAGAATATCCCTTGATAAAAACTAGCAAGAAACATCTGTGAAACTGCCTTGTGATGTGGGCATTCAGCTCACAGGGTTAAAACTTTCTTTTGATTTGGGAGTTTGAAAACACTCTTTTGTAGGATCCATGAAGCTACATTTCAGAGATCATTTTGACCTATAGTGAAAAACCGAATATTTCTTGATTAAAGACTAGAAAGAAACTATATGTGAAACTGCTTTGTGATGTGTGGATTCATCTCACAGATTCAAACGTTTCTTCTGATTCAGCAGTTTGGAAACACTCTTTTTGTAGAATCTGCAAAGGGACATTTCCTGGCACAGTAAGGCCTATAGTGAAACATGGAATTTTAATAGATAAAAATTAGAAAGAAGCTATCTGTGAAAATGCTTTGTCATATGTGCAAACAGCTCACAGAGTTAAGCTTTACTTTTGAATCAGCAGTTTGCAAGTTCTCTTTTTTGTAGAATCTGTGAAGGGACATTTTGAGTACAGTGAGACTTACAATGAGAAAAAAATTTCCAGCAATAAAAAAGAGAAAGAAGCTCTCTGTCAAACTGCTTTCCTATTTCTCTATTCAGCTCAGAGTTTAAACTTACTTTTTAATTAACCATGTTTGAAACATTTGGTTTGTAGAATCTGTGAAGGGAAAATTTGAAGCCCACTGAGGCTTATTGTGCAAAACCCAATATTCAGTCACAAAAACTAGAAAGAAGTATCTGAAATTGTTTTGTGATTTGTGGATTCAGCTCACATAATTAAACCTTTCTTTTGTTTCAGCAGGTTGGAACACTATTTTTGTAGAATCTGCAATGGGACATTTCTCAGCCCACTGAAACTTATAGTAAAACCTCAAATGTCCAGCCATAATAATGGGAAAGATACTATGTGTGAATCCGCTTTGTGAGATGTGGGTTCAGCTGACAAAGTTAAACTTATCTTTTGATTCAGCAGGTTAGAAACTCCTTTTTTTGTAGAATCTGTGAAGGGATATTTCACACCTCTCTGAGGCCTATAGTAAAAAATCTAATATCCCACCATAAAACCTAGAAAGAAGCTATCTGTGATAATGCTTTGTGACGTGTGTATTCTGCTCACAGAATTAAACCTTACTTTTCGTTCAGCAGTTTTTGAAACACTTGTTTTGTACAGTCTCCAAAGGGACATTTCGGAGGGCCTTGACACTTACAGTGAAAAACTGAATATCATGCTATAAAAACTAGAAAAAATAACTATCTGTGAAACTGCTTTGTAATGTGTGGTTTCAGCTCAGAGAGTTAAACCTTTCTTTTGAATCAGCAGTTTGTAAACACTCTTTTCATAGAATCTGCCAAGACATATTTCAAGGTGCAGTAAGGCCTCTAGTGAAAAACTGAATATCCCACAATACAAACTAGAAAGAAGCTATCTGTGAAACTGCTTTGCAATCTGTGAGTTCATCTCCAAGAGTGAAATCCTGCTTTTGATTCAGCAGCTTGGTAACATTCTTTTTCCAGAGCCTATGAGAGCCATTTTGCAGCCCACTAAGGCCTATATTAAAAAACCGAATATACTGCAATGAAAACTAGAAAGTTATTATCTGTTAAACCACTTTGGAAGGGGTGGCTTCAAAAAATTAAACTTTTCTTTTGATTCAGCAGGTGGAAAAGACTCTTTTTCTAGAATCTTCTAAGGAACATTTCAGAGCCCACTGATGCCTATATTGAGATATCCCACGATAAAAACTAGAAAGAAGCTCTCTGCTTTCTGATGTGTCAATTCATTTTAAAGAGCTAAAACTTTCCTTTGATTCAGCATATTGGAAACCCTCTTTTTGAAGAATCTACAAAGGGACATTTCGTATCCCATTGAGGCCTATAGAGAAAAATGGAATATCCTTCGAAAAAAACTAGAAAGAATCCAACTGTAAAACCACTTTGCGATGTGCAGATTCATTTCACTGAGATAAACATTTATTTTGCTTCAGCAGGTTGAAACCACTCTATGTATGGAATTTATGAACGGACATTTCAGAGCTTTATGAGGCCTATAGTGAAACACCGAATATCCTGTGGTACAAACTACAAAGAAGTCATTTGTGAAACTGCCTTGTGTGTGTGTATTTGGCTCATGGAGTTGAACTTTCTTCTGATTCAGCTGGGTGGAAAAAATCTTTTCGCAGAATCTTTGAAAGAAAATATTGGAGCCCATAAGGCCTACAGTGAAAAACCGAATATCCCACAATAAAAACTAGAAAGAAGCTATCTGTGAAACCACTTTGTGGTGTGTAGATTCAGCTCACAGAGTTAAAGCTTTCTTTTGATTCGTCTGGTTGGAAACCCTCATTGTGTAGAATCTGCAAAGGGGCATTTCAATTCCCAGTGAGGCCTATAGTGAAAAAACAAATATTCTGTGACAAAAACATGAAACAAACTTTCTGTTGAATTGTTTTATGTTGTATGCTATTATTGCACAGAGTTAAAACTTACTTTTGATTCAACATGTTGGAAACACTCTCTTTCTAGAATCTACAATGGGACATTTTGGAGCCCATTGAGGCATATAGTGAAAAACTAAATGATAAAAACTGGAAACAAGGTGTCTCTAAAACTGCTTTGCTATGTGTGGATTCACGTTATGGAGTTAAAAATTTATTTTGATTCTGCAAGCACTCCTCTTGTGGAATGTACAAAGGACATTTCTGGGCCCATCAAGGAATATAGTGAAAAACAGAATATCACGTGATAAAAACTAGAAACAACTTATCTGGGAAACCACTTGGCATTGTGTGAGTTCATCTAACAGAGTTAAGCCTTTCTTTGATTCAGCAGGTTGGAAACCCTCCTTTTTTTACAATCTATTAAGGGACAGCTAGGCATGCTCTCACCTGTAACTACAGCACTTTGGGATGCTGAGGAAACTGGATCATGAGGTCAGGATCTTGAGACCATCCTGGCTAACATGGGGAAACCTCATCTCTACTAAAAATTAAAAAAAAAAAAGCCAGGCATGGTGGTGGGCATTTGTAGTCCCAGCTACTCGGGAGGCTGAAGCAGGAGAATGGTGTGAACCTGGGAGCTGGAGTGTGCAGTGAGCCGAGATCATGCGACTGCACTCCAACCTGGGTGACAGAGTGAGACTCCATCTCAAAAAAAAAAAAAAAAAAAAAAGCATCTACTAAGAGACATTTTGGAGCCCATTGAAGCCTACAGTGAAAAATTGAATATCCCACAATAAAGACTAGCAAGCAGATATCTGTGAAACCGCTTTATGATGTGTGACATGTATGATTCATGTCACACAGTTAAGCCTTTCTTTTGATTCAGCCAGTTCAAAACACTCTTTTTGTAGAATCTGCAAAGGGACATCTCAGAGCCAATTAAGACCTACAGTGAAAAACTGAATATCCTGCTATGAAAACTAGATCAAGCTATCTGTGAAATACCTATATCATATTTGGATTGATATCACAGAGTTAAACTTCTCTCTTGATTCCACAGGTTGGAAAAACCCTTTAAGTAGAATCTCTGAAGGGACATATTGAAACCCACTGAGACCTATTATGAAAAACTGAATATCTCACAATAAAAACTAGAAGCAAGGGCAGGTACTGTGGCTAAAACCTGTAATCCCAGCACTTTATGAGGGTAACTCACCTGAGGTCTGGAATTTGAGACCAGCCTGACCAACATGAAGAAAGCTTGTCTCTGCTAAAGATACAAATTGCTCTGGGCATTGTGGTGCATATTTCTAATCCCAGCTATTCGGGAGGCTGAGGCAGGAGAATTGCTTAAACCTCCTGTAGGTGAAGGTTTCAGTGAGCAGAGATCGCACCATTACACTTTAACCTAGTCAATAAGAGCAAAACTACGTCTCAAAAAAGAATCTAGAAACAAGCTATCTGTGAAACCTTTGTGTGATGTGTGCATTCATCTCACAGAGATGGACCTTTCTTTTGATTCAGCAGGTTGGAAACCTCTTTTAGTAGAGCCTAAGAAAGGACATTTTAGAGCCCATGAAGTCTATTGAAAAAAAATGAATATCCCTCAATAAAAATGAGAAACAATCTACCTGTGAAGCCTCATTGTGATATGTGGATTCATTTAACAGAGATAAACCTTTCTTTAGATTTAGCACACTGGAAACACCCTTTTTGTAGAATATATAATGGGACATTTCAGAGCCCATTAAGGCCTATTGTGAAAAAACTGAATATCTGGAGATAAAAAACAGATACAAGCTATCTGTGAAGCATCTTTGGGATGTATGGATTTATTTCACAGAGTTGAACTTTTCTTTTGATTCAGCAGGTTGGAAACACATCTTTTTTAGAATCTATGAAGGGGACATTTTGGTAACCATTGAGGCTTATAATGAAAAATCGAATATTCCATGACAGTAACTAGAAACAAGGTATCTGCGAAATTGTTTTATGAAGTGTCCATTCATCTCACAGAGGTAAGCCTTCCTTTTGATTCAGCAGGTTGGAAACACTATTTCTTTGTAGAATCCATGAAGGGACATTTTGGAGCCCATTAGAGCCTATAGGGAAAAACTGAGTATCCCGCAATAAAAACAAGAAACAAGCTGTCTGTGAAAGCACTTAACAATGTGTGGATTCATCTCACAGAGGTAAACCTTTCCTTTGATTCAGTACGTTTGAAAAATTCTTCTGGTAGTATCTACAATGGGACATTCCAGAGCCCATCAAGGCCTATAGGGAAAAACAGAATTTCCCATGATAAAAAATATAAACAAAGTATCTGGGAAACGGCTTTGTGATGCATGGATTCATATCACAGAGTTAAACTTTTCTGTTGATTCAGCAGGTTGGAAACACTCTTATTGTAGAATCTATGAGGGAACATTTCGGAGCCCATTGCCGCCTGTAGTGAAAAACCGAATATCCCACGATATTAGTCTGATGGGCTTCCCTTTGTGGGTGACCCGACTTTTCTCTCTGGTTGTCTTTAACATTTTTTTCTTCATTTTACCTTTGGTGACTCTGATAATTATGTATATTTTTCGGGATTCTTCTTCTCAAGGAGTATCTCTCTGTTGTTCTCTGTATTTCCTGAATTTGAATATTGGCCTGTCTTGCTAGGTTGGGGAAGTTCTCCTGGATAATATCCTGAGCAGTGTTTTCCAGCTTGGTCCCATTGTCCTTGTCACTTTTAGATTACCAATCAAGTGTAGATTTGGTGTTTTCACATAGTCCTATATTTCCTGGAGGCTTTGTTCTTTCCTTTTTAGTCTTCTTTCTATAATCTTGCCTTCTCGCTTTATTTCATTAAGTTGATTTTTAATCTCTGATTTTTCTCTGCTTAATTTATTCAGCTATTGATTCTTGTGTATGCTTCACAAAATTATTGTGCTTTGTTTTTCAGCTCCATCGGGTCATTTATGTTCTTCTTTAAATGGGTTATTCTATTTATCCATTTCTCTAACCTTTTTCAAGTTTCTTAGATTCCTTAGATTGGGTTAGAACAAACTTTTTTAGCTCAGAGGAATTTCTCATTCTGCACCTTCTGAAGCCTATTTCTGTCAATTCATCAAACTCATCCTCCATCCAGTTTTGTTGCCTTCCTGGCGAGGTGTGATTTTTTTTTTTTTTTCCCTGAAATGTAGTCTCACTGTATCACACAGGCTGAAGTGCAGTGGTGTGATCTCGGCTCACTGCAACCTCTGCTGCCTGGGTTCAAGCAATGTTCCTATCTCAGCTTCCCAAGTAGCTGGGATTACAGATGTACACCACCATGCCCAGGTAATTTATTGTATTTTTAGTAGAAACAGGGTTTCACCATGCTGTCCAGGCTGGTCTTGAAGGACCTGACCTCATGTTCCACCCACATCAGGCTCCCAAAGTGCTGGGATCACAGGCATGGACCACAATGTCTGGCCTATATTTTTTATATGTGAATAAAGAACAATCAGTCCCAGTCGTCAGTGTGGCAAATTGCTAGGCAACAATGGAGGGAGGAACTTGGAAGTGGGGGCATGCCAGGGGCAATGAAGAAGACATAGTTGCCTCAGGCTGTGTGCAGGCAGCCTGAGCGGCCCTCCTCCTTGAGGCCTCAGTTTTCAGAGTAAGTGTCTGCTAGGTGATATCCAATAGCAGTAATCTCCTAGGTGGTCCCCACAACAAATCAGCCAGTGTCCCTGGAAGACATAGCTTAAGTCCCTAACCATCAGATCATCTGGAATTTCCAATCAGAAATGAGAGACCAACTGGAAATTCTCAGTCAAGGTCCAAACTAAAAGAATCACTGGCACACCCACCAAGGCTAAGACAATTTTTAAAAGAATCATTTGGGTGCAACCGTGTATTTCTGTAAAACAAAATTACCTATTGTAAATGTTACTGTTTTTACTCATTATGTGTACGGTCCTATGATAGACAGCCCAAGGGGATTGTCACCTCAGAGTCCAAAACACCAGATGCTGATATCTTCAATTTCTATTTAGATTGAATTTAAACAAGCCAGCCAAACACTCTGCGGTGAAACTCTCATGAAGACAAGTGATTGAAAAAGGGAAAAAACAAAACAAAACAAACAAACAAACAAAACAGTGTGTTCAGGGGAACTGGTTCATGCCTGTCATCCCTGCACTTTGGGATCCTGAGGGCACATGGATCCCTTGATCCCAGGCAATCCAGAACAGCCTTAGCAATACGATGAAACCTCCTCTGTAGAAAAATACAAAAATAGCTGGTTTCATAACCTTGACTCAAAATTAATAAATAAATAGATTAAAATTTAAAATAAAAACTTAAATGCTGTATTATCTTATTTTTGCTTCCTACCCTGAGAAGAACATAATACAGCTGGTCTCCGTCCGACTGTCTGTTTGTGACAGAGTCTCACTCTGTCACCCAGGCTGCAGTGCAGTGACACCATTATGGCTGACTGCAGCACCAACCTCCCCAGGCTTAAGTGAGTCTTCCACTTTGGCCTCCTGAGTAGCTGGGACCACACAGGAATGCACTTCGGGTTTTGGCTGTGTTTTCCAAGACTTGACTCGATCTCCTGCGCTAAAGCATGCCTACCTCCTCAGCCTCCCAAAGTGCTAAGGTTGCAGGTGTTACCCACTGCATCCGGCCTGACTTAATACATCTGGTCTCATTACAACTTGACCACATGCCCACAAAGAACTCAAATCAAGGGAGAATCAACAAGAGACTTTCAGCATTCTTTCCCTAAAGCGGGGAGGTGGATGGTGGCCGAATGTCCTGCACTTCTGTGGTTTTAGGTGGCCACGTTTAGAGGATAGATTTCAAATGTTTCTGTTAGAGGCACAAGCCACAGTCATTTGGAGCAATGTTTCTGACAGTGTCTTAAGGGCCAGGAAGGGCCAGGATCTGCCAAGGCCTGTGTTCCAGGGTGGGGTCGATGGAATCCAGGGTAGAAGGAGCCATCGGTCCTCACTGAGTTCTAGCCCTAGGCTCCACTGTGCAGACCAAGTCAGAAGGAACAATCCCTCGTCCTACATGCCACATGCATCTACTGAACTTGAAAGTGGATCCATTTTCCAAACATGAGGTGACTCTTTGTTGGAAATGGATGACAAGGGGCCGGCCTTTCCGGAGTCGGTATGATAAAGAACTCATTCTGTGGCATAGAATGAGGTGTGGCTTGAATCTTGAATCTCCATTTAAAACCAATGAAGGTGGCCATGGACTGTGGCTCATGCCTGTCATCCCAGCACTTTGGGAGGCTAAGGCAGGCAGATCACGAGGTCAGGATTGTGAGACCCGCCTAGCCAACATGGTGAAACCCCATCTCTACTAAAATTACAAAAATTAGTTGGGTGTGGTGGTGCATGCCTGTAATCCTAGCTACTCAGGAGGCTGAGGCAGGAGAATCACTTGAACCTGAAAGGCGGAGCCACTGTAACTCCAGCCTGGGGGACAGAGTGAGACTCCATCTCAGAAACAAACAAACAAACAAAGCCAATGAATGTGTTTAACTCAAAGCGTCATGCCCAGGTCTATTGACAGGATATATTGAGCACGCAGGGAAATGTTGTGGGGTGGGGTTGAAAATATTTTATGGCCTCAAGGAAGGGTTTGAGAGGTAGTCACACAAACCTGACAGCCTAAGGAATCCCCTGCACTTAAGAAGCGATATGCACTTCTAGCCTGTAGCCACGCATGCGGGATAATTAGGCTCTCTGCAGAACTCCTCCTGAAATGGGCTCTCGCTCCATTCAATAAAAATGGGAGAATCTGTTTCCTAGCATGCAGCCGCAGATGAACGATGATCCAGACACTCACATAAGGAGCGTGTCAGGCTCTACTCATACCGTGTGGTTTTGTAACCTCCAGCGTGTATGCTGGTGGGGGGTACTGTGGACAGAGGAGGGGAGAGAATGGCGGTGTCCGGCATGTGCTGGAGACATGGGACGTGGTTGGGTTGGTCAAAGTCTAGGGAACTCATCACCTGCCAGGACGTCTCACCTCCTGCTGTCCTCTCTACCCTACTCTCCACATCTTCACAGTGCAGTGGAGATGATGTAAGTGGAGTTTGCCATCACGTTGGACTTAAGCAGAGGAAGGCCGCCCTCCCAGGGGTTTCCCTGGAGTGGGTGCCTTGGGCAAGCTCACAAGGATGCCGATGGTGACAGTGAGAGGGATGTATGGTGGAGGCAGCAGGCCAATGTAGAGGTATGTATTTGACCTATTTGGGGGTGGTCAGCTTTGTGGAGTCCCATGCATCCTTCCAGAGAATCATTCAGCACTAGCAAGCATGGTCTCCAGGATCACAGTTCCCAGCAGAGGCACTTTTGTTCACACAGAATCCTGGGAAGGAAAGTTCTCAGCAGGCTTACACCTCCTATCCGAGAAGCTGAAACCACTTCTGGGAGGTTTTCCAAAGAGCCAGTGGTTCCACAAGGGGCCGTGGGACTTCTGGAAATTGAGAGAAGTATTTGGAGATATATATTTTAGAAAGAATGGACAGAGCTTGGTCACGAGTTGTTTAGGACACAGGGGATACAGATTGAGAAAACCCTCCTAGCATCCTAGGTGAACAGAGGTACGATTTATTGAGACAGTAAGTCTGGGTCACAGCCGAGGCAAGGGAAAAGCAAACCCAGATTTTAAGGTTGCCTTTTTATTAGTGTGTAATATCCATGAGATATCCAAGCCCAGAAATGAACTCTCCAGTTCTGTAGTTTTCTGTATGGAAATCAGATCTGGGAGTTCTACAGTTAATAATTCAGCCTTGGTAATAGATTAGATCTACCCGAGCCTATAGTAGAAAAAAGACAGGGAGGGAAGAATAGGACAGAGAAAGAAAGTTACAGAGAGAGAGAGAAAGTGAGAGAGGCAGACAGAGACAGACAGAGAGAGACAGAGACACAAAGAAAGGAAAGAGAAAAAGGAAAGACATAGAGAAAGAAAGAGAGAGACAGATGGACAGACAGGGAAAGAGACTGACAGAGAGAGACACAGACAGAAAGAGAGACAGAGAGAGAGACATGGATAAAGAAAGAATGACAGAGGACAGAGAGACAGACTGAGAGAAACAGAGACAGGAAGAGAGAGACAGAAACAGAGAGAGACGGAGAGATAGATGGAGAGAAAGATAGACAAGGAAAGAGACAGAGTGAGAGAGACAGAGAGAGAGACAGAGACAGAGAGGGAGAGAGAGAGGAAGAGGAATGGGGTACTCAAGAAATAATTACATGTATTGTATAATGCTCTGATGCCATAAACAGTGGCCAGAATATGATTGAAAACAAGAACATCAAAAAGAACAGCGGCAGCAGCAACACTCACTTGCAGATTTTTAGAAAGTAAGATGTTATGAACTATAGTTTACATCAACTGGCTCTCACTATACGTTGAGAGATTCACAAAAGTGCTAGTTAACAACAGAAGAAAACAGCGGCTAATATGTCCTTGGGAAAATATACATCTTCCTAAAAATTGGTGAATTCTACTTCAGCGGAAAATAAATAAATACGAAAAAGAAAAAAAACACAAACAAAACAAAACAAGCAAGCAAACAAGGGCCAAAGCATTGTCTCTGGAAATCTTAAACCAGCAAAATGCTTTGTAGAAAGCGGTTCTATTTTGGGCACATACTAATAAGGCCCAGGGTAGAGCGGTGACGCCCTTCCCATTTTGAAAATATGCTGGCCTGAGGGAGGAGAAAATTAAAAAAAAAAAAAAAAATCTTGATAAAAGGTGATTAAGACCCAGCCAGGATGGAACTTTCCTAGGGAGAGAGGCCTGAGGAACAATGGGGGAAAAAACTCATAACTGCAGTCGGTCCCGCCTGCCTGTCCGCTTGTCCACACGGGTCAAGCTCTATCCCATCGGCCCAAGCTGCCTCTCGGGAAGTGGGACAGTGCCGCCCCCATCTTTAAAAACTGTGGCCAATGAGTGAGGCCTGACGACCACCAATGCAAATGTCAGCCTGGTGGGAATGAGATCACCAGCGAGCGGTGGGGGAAGGGGAGAGAAGAGGGAGGCACACCCTGGTGACTCTCGAACGTTTCCAAGCACAGTGGTAGGAGATGAGGGGGTTGGGGAAAACCCACCTAACTAACACTAAATTAAGGTAAAAGGGCTTGGGGGTCCGGGCGGCGACTTAAAAATTAAAGTGACCGTACATAAAGCCAAAATGGAAGAGCCTATGAGCATTAAAGAAACCAACAGGTGAAGCAAAATAATATGCTGAGAAAAGAACAACAGGGACCCCGCCAGGTCGGAGGTTCCCTAGGAAGAAGGGAGAGAGTGACGGGCCTCCAGAAGAGAGGGAGAGAAGCCAGTGGCCCCAGGCTCTGTGAAGTCGGCCAGACGTCCCTCCGTGCCACCTCGACTTTCAATAACAGTGGCCGCTAGGTGATGCCCGAAGACAACCGATGCTTGCAAGTGTCAGTCGGCACGGAAAAGAAACGAATAATGAGTCTTTCTGTGTCAGGGTGGAGGTTGGGGATGGAGTGCGGAAGAGGCACACCCCAGTCACTGGCCTCTTCCAGATCCCTCTCACATCAGGTCGTTTCCGGGCCCAGGGAGAACTCCCAGGCAATTCCCACGACTAGCGACCAGAGCCCCACAGAGGACACAGCCTACGTTTCTGCCCATGGGATCTTCTGGAACTTCCATTCCCCCAGAGAGAAAAGAGGACCACGGGGGCACGGGTGTGCGGATGGAGGCTAGGGCTGGAGGTGGGACCTATCTAAGGCAGAAGTCCAGTCCATAGCGTTTCAGGGTATACTCCAGACCCACGACCTCAGAGTGGCAAATACCTGTCACAATGGAACAAAGTCCGTGAAATCCACGCTACCAGACACAGCATGGATTTCCCAGAGAGGACAGCTTACACCAAATTCCCTCCTGTCCTCAGGCCAGTTTTCACTCCTGAAGTACCCATTTCTCAGTCGTGTTCCGCAAAGTCCTCTCTGTCGTGAATCATTCAAAAATTTAGTTCAGTGAATCCCAGAGCATCCACATACGACCTCTAAGATCGGAGTCCGCACACTACACATCACTCCCCACAGTGTCTCTCCACGAGAACATCACCGCCGTATTAGCCTGGCGGCGATACAGTGCCATTTACTAGAAATCACTCAAGAGTTTCGCTCTTGTTGCCCAGGCTACAGTGTAGTGGCACAACCTGGGCTCACTGCAACCTCTGCCTCCCAGGTTCAACCGATTTTCCTGCCTCAGCCTCCTGAGTTCCTGGGATTATAGGCATATGCCACCACGCGCCGTTAATTTTTTATTTTTAGTACAAGCACGTTTTCTCCATGTGGGTCTGGCTGGTTTCGAACTCCGACCTCAGGTGATCCGCCCACCTCGGCCTCCCGACGTGCTAGGATTACAGGCATCAGCCACCGTGCCCCACCATGTGTATAGAGTTTTATGCCACAATAATGAGCTTTCTTTCTCATTGCCTTCACAGGTGGTTTCACTAGGTCAGATTTTGTTTCACCGTTAATTTTTAAATTGAGGAGTTTGTCAGGGAAATACGAGATGTAGACTCCACAAGAGACAGGGGGAAAAGCCTGAACATGCCCCTTCCATCCAAGTGCAGACCTGGCCTCTACCTCCCAAAATCATACACCGAGTGGGGAAGCCCAGCAATGCCTGTCTGTCTAGATTTCTCTCATCCTCTCTAAACATGGCACTCCTTCCTTTCGTGGAAGGTGCAGGGCCCTCCCCAGAACGGGAGTCTCAGGACCTACAGTCGAACAAAACACACCCTGTGGAATTCAAGCATATACACGGACAATTTCCCCATCCTCTTGGGGCCTTCGTTCTGTAGACTCCCATGAAGACAGGTCCCAGAAACATATCTGCCTATTCTTTTATTCTTCTGCCTCTGACGAGTTGAGGTTTCAGATGAAACTTCAGAGGGTGGAAGGCAAAGCACTCTCCCTGCTCCCATGTTTTTGTGAGCGGTGAAAAATGACAGTCTCCCAAGGCAAAAGTCTCCAGATACCCCTATCCTTTTCTCCCCTCCCAGTGGGATTCCGTGCATCTGACTTGGGATGACACACGGTCTGCTAGCCACCGACAACAGCTGTGGTGACAGCACCGTCTAAAAGCCAAGAAGACAAAAAACAAAACTAACTTACTTAACTGAGTAATAACGGGGAGAGGGGACTAAGGGAGTCAACCTATAGCAGAAATGACACACCATTCAGAACATAAGGGCTGCAGTGAAAGGCGGCAGAACATACACTTTTAAAGGCTGAAATCTCGGTGGCTCACGCCTGTCATGCCAGCACTCTGGGAGGGCCAGGAGACTTGAAGTTAGGAGTTCGAGACCAGCTTAGCCACCATGGCAAAACCCCGTCTCTACTAAAAATACAAAAATTAGCCTGTCGTGGCTGTGTGCATCTGTAATCCCAGCTACTGAAGGCTGAAGCATGGGAATTGCTGGAACCCAGGAGGCAGAGGTTGCAGTGAGCCAAGATAGTGCCAATGCACCCCAGACTGGGCAGCAGAGCAAGAGACTCAGTCTCAGAAAAAAAGACTGAAATAATCCCCTGCCTTCCTTCCCTTTTCCCCTTTAGAACCTACAGTTGTTTGCAGTTTCTGATCCCTTAAGTGGCAGAATATATTCCATGGGGCTAACTGTGGCTTTCTTGCATTGCCACTGAATGTCCCCTATAAGGCCGGTACCCCCTGCCTCAGGTCAAGGAGGTGGTGTTTCGTTTTGTTTCTCTCTCTCTCTTTCTCAAATTTTATTTCTTGTTGAAGCATACATGTGCAAGATTGTCATATAGGTAACTTCTGACTGGGGGGTTCAGAGTGCAGATTATTTCATCACCTGGGTACTCAGCGCAATACCGGACAGTTTTTGTGTTTTAATCTGAAACTATCTCTCCTACCATTCCTCCTCCCTCAAGTAAGGTCCCGTGTCTCTGGTCGCCCTCTTTCTGCCCACATGTTCTCATTATGTAGTTCCCACTTACAGATGAGAACACACCGTGTTTAGTTTATTGTTGGTTTCATCTACGGTGATGGTGATAAAAGAAGCATGAGAGTAAATCGACCCTTAGGACACTCCCCTATGTCCTCATCACACACATCCCTCCCCGCACACACTCTCACCTCTACACCCCCTACTCAAGCCCAAGAAAGGAAGAAAGACATAAAGTAAAGTAAGAGGTCAGCCTCCAAGGTGATGGAGGCCGGGGATCTCAAAGGGTGAGCAAGCGGTGGGGGACAGAGGATGTTGTGGCCAAGCTAGAAAAGGTGGGAGACTGACTTTCTAGCTCCATCCCACACCCCAGGCTTTGGGTGGGGTGGCTCCTGCAAAAGCTTCTGAATGGAGAGAAGCCTGAAGCCATAGAAGTCACCAGCTAGGAATTCAGGAAGGGAATAAAGCTTTGTGCATGTGAATGGGGCTTTGTAATGCGGTGCTGTGGCTTCCAAGGTGATGCTCCTCGCCTCACACAGAGCAAGACTCCATCAAAAAAAGAAGAAAGAGAAGAAAGAAAGAAAGAAAGAAAGAAAGAGAGGAAGAAATGAAGGAAGGAAGGAAGGAAGGAAGGAAGGAAGGAAGGAAGGAAGGAAGGAAGGAAGGAAAGAAAGAAAGAGAGAGAAAGAAAAGAAAAGAAAGAAAAAAAATCAGAACACATGTCGTGGTTGTGAGTGATTACCAGGAGGCCAGGCAAAGTGGCTCATGCCCATCATTCCAGCACTCTGAGACTCTGGGACAGGAGGATTGCAATGAAGTGATGAGACTCTGTCTGTAGAACAAATTTAAAAATAATCTGGGCACAGTGGCGCGTGCCTGTGGTCCCAGTTACTCTACTCTGGAGTCTGAGGAGGAAGGATCACTTGAAATAAGGTGTGTCCAGGCTGCAGTGCATGAGCTTTGATGGCACCACTGCACTCCAGCCAGGGTGACAGAATGAGACACTGTCTCTGAATCAATCAATAAATCACATGACTGAAAGGACCTCTCTATTTCTTACTTTCAATGGATATGTCTTTAGGACAGATGGGCATGGTGGCTCACCCCAGTAATCCCAGCACTTAGGGAGGCCAAGGCAGGAGGATTAAAATAAAGAAAGAAACAAATAAAAGAAAAAGGTGGGGGAAGGTGTATCTCCTTGACTGGTGACCAAAATTACACAAACCCAACAAGGAAGGAACGTGTGTAGGATTCGGTAAGTGCACCCTGTTTTCTGAAACTACTGTACAGTATTGTCATCTTAAAGATGAGTGGGGCTGGTGGTGGGGGTGGCTCATGCCTTTAATCCCAGAACTTTGGGAGGCTGAAGTGGGTGGATCATGAGGCTAGGAGTTCAAGACCAGCCTGTCTTGAACAGGTGGTGAAACCTTGAAAGATGGTGAAACCATGTCTTTATTTTACTTAAAATACAAAATTAGGAGGGTGTGGTGGTGGGAGCCTGTAATCCCTGCTATTGGGGAGGCTGAGGCAGGAGAATCACTTGAACCTGGGAGGTGGAGGTTGCAGTGTGCCAAGATCAGGACACTGCCCTCTTGCTCCGGGTGACAGAGCAAGAATCCATCTCAAAAAAAAAAAAAAATGAATTTAAAAAAAAGAAAACAGGATGAGTGGACAAGCCTGGCCAACATGGCTAAACCCCATTCATCTCTACTAAAAATGCAAATATCAGCCGGAAATGGTGGCATGCATCTGTGATCCCAGACACTCAGAGAAGCTGAGGCACAAGAATCACTTGAGCCTGGGATGTGGAGGTAGCAGCGAGCCTAATTCGAACCACAGCACTCTGGCCTGGATGACAGAGTGATACCCTGTCTCAAAAAAAAAAAAAAAAAAAAAAAAAAGATGAGGCCAGGCATGGTGGCTCACTCCTCTAATCCCAGCACTTTTGGAGGCCGAGGCATGTGGATCTTATAGTCAGGTGTTTGAGACTAGCCTGACCAATATGGTGAAACCTCGTCTTTACCAAAAATACAAAATTAGCTAGGCTTGGTGGCGCACTCCTGTAGTCCCACATGCTCAGGTGGTTGAAGCAGGAAAATCACTTGAACTTGTGAGGCAGAGGAGCTTGCACCAATGCACTCCAGCCTGGGTGACACAGGGAGACTCAATCTCAAAAAAAAAAAAAAAAAAAGATGGAAAATATAGATCTCGGAGTTGACAAATGGGCAGATCCAATATGAGATGCACATGGGATGGTGGCCAAGCTTGAAGTGCAGTTTTCTTTTTTTTTATTTTTTATTTCTATTTCTATTTTATTTTATTTTATTTTTAGCCCTGTCACCAGGCTGGAGTGCTGTGGTATGATGTCAGCTCACTGCAATCTTCGTATCCCTGGTTCAAGTGATTTTCCTACCTCAGCCCCCCGAGTAGCTGAATTTACAGGCACGCGCCACCACACCCAGCTAATTTTGTATTTTTAGTAGAGACAGAATTTCACTATGTTGTTCTGGATGATCCTGATGTCCTGACGTCGTGATCTGCCCGCAT
Source organism: Homo sapiens (assembly GCF_000001405.40). Taxonomy (NCBI): domain Eukaryota; kingdom Metazoa; phylum Chordata; class Mammalia; order Primates; family Hominidae; genus Homo; species Homo sapiens. The sequence continues at coordinate 18,264,841 of NC_000024.10, forward strand.
TTGTTTCTTTCTTTCTTTCTCTCTTTCTCTCTTCTTTCTTTCTTTCTTTCTCTTTCCTTCTTTCCTTCTTTCTTTTCTCTCTTTCTCACAGGATTGCCCAGGTTAGAGTGGGTCATGACTGACTGCTGCCTCAATTTTTCAGGCTTCAAGTGATCTTCTCCTTATCTCAGACTCCTGAGTAGCTGGGAGTACTGGCATGCACCACCACACCTAGCTAATCTTTTTATCATGCTTATTATTATTGTTATTTTGAGACAGGATCTTGCTCTATCACCTAGGCTGGAGTGCTGTGGCACATTCTCGGCTTACTGCAACCTCTGCCTCTCTGGTTGAAGCGACTCACTGACCCCAGCCTCCTGAATTTTTGCCATGTTTGCCAAGGCTTGTCTCGAACTCTTGGCCTTAAGTCGATCCACCTGCCTTGGCCTCCTAATGTGCTGGGATTACAGGCATGAGCCACTGCACCTAACTGAATTTTATTCACTCTACCTCCTATATATTCAAAGAAATTGCTTGGAAGCCGATGCTAGCAGAATCCCCAATGTGCATATATTTCAGGGCTGGGGAGACTTGAAACACAGTGGTTTTTTTATGATCACAGAAATGAGAAGAAAAAGAATGTTCTAATCCAGCTCTTTTCCCTCAAACCTGGGGCCCTGGCTGTATTTAGATGTTTTCATGGGGTAAGGGGCTTGTGTTTGCATAACTGTGTACAGATGAAGAGTTGACACGGGATAGGAAGGTGAGTAATCAGCAGCTGTGCAGAGACTTTGCATACATTTATAGAAGAAAAGGGCTCAGGGGATGATGGAACCTTGAAGAACTAACACACTCCTCTTGTGACAGAACCTGATAGAATTTAGAACTTTGAAAACTAGACATCCACACTCTAGAGACAGCCCTGTACCTAGCTCATTTCATGGGATATGCTTAAGAGAACACTATGTTCTTATTTCGTGGTGATATTCCTAAGCTGTTACCTTAGAAAGGTCCAAAGTTGAGAGCCTTTTCAAATAATACAGATGTTGGCTGAGCCCACATCCTTGATACCTGTGCCCATTTGGCAAGAGGCACCCACAGGAACTGCAGTGTAGTCCAGGGCAGGTCTGTCCATGCCAGGCCTCTCTTGTCATCTAATCTGGGAAACCCCATCTGGCCCACCATAACCATGTGTTTCAGGGGGAACAGGAAAGGAGGTGGCTTTTCCTGACAGGTGCAGGTTGTCAGGCTTTGGAACTCTGGTGAGTCCGTCATGTTCAAACCCAGGTCATGGCTGGTTGAATAAATAGTTGAGTGTTGGAGAGCAAGTGTGTCTACTCAGATGTGAATCTCAAGGTCTTCAGCTGTCCTCTGGTTTCTTCATGCACTGGGGATCTATGAAGATGCTCCTATGTGTCTGATCTGGGGAGCATAATTTTTTTTTTTTTTTTTGAGACAGAATCTCACTCTGTCACCCAGGCTGGAGTGCAGTGGCTCAATCTCTGCTCACTGCAAACTCTCTTCCTGGGTTCACGTTGTTCCCCTGCCTCAGCCTCCCGAGTAGCTGGGACTACAGTCTCCTGCCACCAAATTCAGCTAATTTTTTTTTTTCAGTAGAGACGGGGTTTCACCATGTTAGCCAGGATGGTCTCGATCTCCTGACCTCATGATCCACCTGCCTCAGCCTCCCAAGCTGCTGGAATTACAGGCATAAGGCACCGCACCCAGGCGGGAGCAGAATTTCTAATGGGGATGTCACCTTGTGGTAAAAACAAGGGAGACCATTAACATTTTTTTTTTTTTTTGGCTTGGCTTGGCTGCTGGGCATTCTCTTTACAGAGCTGTATCAAAATCAATGAGCAGCTGTTTGATGAGTTCAAGTCCCCATCTCCTTGGACAAGGGGCAGGTTCACCATACCACCAAGCAGGGCCCAGTGAGCTATGGTGAGAGCAGGCACATGGCAGTCTCTACAGACTGGGGCCTGACAATGCCAGGATGGGTCCAAAACCCAGACCCAAATATGGACTGTCTCTGGGCTCTGTCTTAGAGCTTTTTTCTCAGAGTGACCCAAAGTTCTGCAGCCAAAAATCTGGCTTTCATTAGTCCCAATGGCAACTTGGTTAGGTGTAAAGTCCCTGTTCACGTACTTGTAGAAATACCAGAGGAGGCCTTTGTGTTGTTTTTACTTTACACTGGACTGTATTTATTCATGTTGCTATAGTTTGTATTGTATTAACTATTTAGCCCAGGTATCTTCTGTAGCAGGCAGCTTCACTGTATTGCCAGACTTTCTCCAATACTTAAAAGCCACCACTATTACTAAGAAGGTTTTCACACAAAAATAGGGAAGAGGTTACGTGAAAAAGAGGTTACTTTGTTCCCTTCATTTGCCTGCAATGTGGCACCTCAGAGAACTCATCCCTGTAGCCCATCAGGGTAGAAGCTGTGCCTTCACATGTCTTCGTAATGTTCTATACAAGAAGGTAATTTCGCAGAGTGGCTTAGCCTTTCAATGCTGGTGGAGCCTGCCATGATAACATTCTATTTTCATTTTAGCTGTAATGAAGAAAATTTATCTGTGTGTCATGATTGGCTGGAACAGTTTGCTTGGGCTTCCATAATCTAGTACCGTGTACTGAAGATCTCAATGGAAACTGAGTTTCTCATAATTCTGGAGGCTAGAAATTGAACAACAAGCTATTGGCTGAAGTGGTTTCTCTAATGCATATTTCTACTTGAGATTAATCGACCACCTTCTATTTCTGTTTTCAGAGTGTCTTCTCTTGAGCCTCTGCGTCTTTACTCTTTTTGAAAGGACTCCAGTCATGTTAGGTTAGGGTTCACTTTACTGAACTTACTTAATCATAGTCACCTCTTTAAAAGCGATATGTCCAAACACACACTCACTCACAATTTGAGGCTAATTATATTATATATGCCTTAGAATGTCAACATATAAATTTTAGAATAGCAACATATAAATTTGGGAGAAGGGACACAATTTGGAACATGATATGTATTAATGGTAGATTGCCAGGAAAGTGATTACTGGGTAAAATGATATACATATGTAAAATTTCCAAAGCTACAGGCAGATGACTTTCCACAAGGTCTGTGGCAAGTACATTGTCATCAACAGTCCCTGAATAAAGCTGCTTCTCTGAACCCAGCCTCCCCTGGATATTAACATTCTTTTAATTTTCTGACAATCTCATGTCTGTGGGCACAATAAAAACATATTTTTCCTTTTATTTCCATTTTTCCAACTGATGTGTTTAAGTCACTTGGTAGTTGTTATTTTAAATATAGATATGGGTTTTCTGTTCCTCAATTTATCTCCTCAGATCTTTGACTCTGTCATTAATCCTGGAGTCTCCCAGCATTTATCTTCTTACCAGGTCTGGAAATGTTGTGTCTCTTTCTCAAGACTTTCCTTAATATTAAAGAAAGAAGGGCCGGTCACAGTGGCTCACACCTGTAACCCCAGCACTTTTGGAGGCCGAAGTGGGTGAATCATGAGGTCAGGAGATCGAGACCATCCTTGCTAACACGGTGAAACCCCATCTCTAATAAAAACACAAAAAAATTACCCGGATGTGGTGGCACGCACATGTAGTCCCAGCTACTCAGGAAGCTGAGGCAGAAAAATGGCGTGAACCCAGGAGGCTGAGCTTGCAGTGAGCCGAGATCCTGCCACTGCACTCCACTCCTGGGTGACTGTGTGAGACTCTGTCTCAAAAAAAAAAAAAAAAAAAAAAGGAAGAAAAAAATGTTGCTTTAATTCTTTCTAAGCTGTCTTGCCCTGTTCACTGTCTCCAAAATGCAGAGGAAATATGGCTTCTCCAGGTTCTTGCACTCAGTGTCAGAAGCTGCTGTGTTTCAGGTAATTTAGAGGAAATTTCATGCAGCCCTCTCTGGAAGGTTCTTAGTTCTGACCCATGTGCTGTTCAGCAGCCATTTGAAATTGCGAAGCCTGTGTTTTCCTATCTCTACACTGAGGACTTTTTTGGAGAACTCAGTGGGAAAATGCACTTCATACAGGCTATTAATACTGATGGATGCTGTTGCTTCACAGTTGACAAAATTACACGAGGATTTCTTGTAGCTATAGTAGTGGTTAGATTACCCCCAAACCCATATCAAATTTTTTAAAAACTCTAAAGCTTTTTTTGTCAGGGGCATGCATGTCCTCCACATTCACAAGAAGGAATGTCTGTGGCCAGGTGCAGTGGCTCATGCCTGTCATCCCAGCATTGTGGGGGGCCAAGTCAGGTGGAATACTTGAGGTCAGGAGTTCAAATGTAGTCTGAACAACATGGACATAACCTGTTTCTACTAAAAATGAAAAATTAGTCGGGCATGGAGGTGCATGCCTGTAATCCAAGCTACTCAGGAGGCTGAGGCAGGAGAATCACTTGAACCTGGGAGGCAGAAGTTGCAGTGAGCTGAGATTGTGCCATTGCACTCCAGCCTGGGCAATGAGAGTGAAACCATATCCCAGAAAAAAAAAAAACAAAAAAAAGGAATGTTTGTTACATTTACACACCACAGTTCTTTCTCCTTCCCAATACAGCATGGTGCATCTAGGAGTGGACTCCCCACTCCTGGCTTCAGAATGCTCAAAGACATAGTAGTGTACTTTGAATGACAGATTGGTTTGGCTGAGACCAAACGTAGTAAAAGAAAATGAATCTTGAGAAAAGGTTTGAGAGAACTTCAGAATTTCTAGGCCAACAAGTTTGTATCAGATTCTCTCAGAACAAAGCCTCTAAGTAAAAACTGTGACCAGTGATTATTTTAAATGGCCAAGTTTAATGGACATATATAATGTAATATAACATAATCAGCCAAAAATTACAATATATACAAAGTATTAGGGCAATACGGAAAAATAATAAAAAAAAGATAAATATCCAGAAATCTACCCTAAAGAAATAGAGAAGTATAAATTACCTAAAAAATTTTAAAATAATTATCTAAATGGTGCTGAGTGAGCAAAATGTGAGCACAGACAACGAAATAAAATCAGGAAAATGAGAACAAACACAATAAGATAAAAACTATTAGAGAACAAATTATGAAGTTGAAGAATATAAAAAGAAAAAATGCCTGAGAAATTATCAAGCTTAAGAAAAAAACATAAAAATTAAAATGTTCAACAAATTTTAACTAAGATAAACACAAAAAGATTCATAATGAGAAAAATTATAAGCAAAGTTTTGAAAGTCACAGACTAGTAGATGATCTTGAAAGCTAAAAAAGAAAAGCTATGTGTCATTTATATGGGTTCTTCTGTCAGATAATCAGTGAATCTACCTGCAGGAATCTTGCTGGCCAGAAGGGACATGGGTAATATTGTCAATGTGCTGAAAGAACAAAAAATTTTAAGCAACAATACTATATCCAGATACACTATTTATCACAATGAAGAAAAAGCAAAGTCTTTTCATGATGACCACATACTGCAACAGCATATCACCACTAGGACTGCACTACAAGAAATGCTAAAGAGAGATTTTCTCATGAAAAATAAAGTCATGCTAAATAGCATTGCAAAATTAGATGAAAGTACATAACTCTTTGGAAAAGAAACATGCAAGCACAAAAATAAAATTCTGATGAATTCAAATGATGGTTCAGAAAACATACGTAATTATGTAATATAATCAAAAAACAAAAGACTAAAAATACGCAAAAACATTTGTTAATGATATATAATATAAAAAGATATTAGTGACATCAATAATATTAAGTTGAGGCAGATGGAAAGAGAAAGAATGTTCGTATGCAATTGAAATTAATTTGTTGCTGGCTGGGCATGTTGGCTCATGCCTGTAATCACAGCACTTTAGGAGGCCGAGACGGGAGAATCATGAAGTCAGGAGATTGACACCAGCCTGGTCAACATGGTGAAACCCCCCATCTCTACTAAAAATACAAAAAATTAGCTGGGCATAGTGGTGGTCCCCTGTAATCCCAGCCCCTGGGGAGTCTGAGGCAGGAGAATCATTTGAACTCAGGAAGCAGAGGTTGCTGTGAGCTGAGATTGCACCACTGCACTCCAACCTGAGCGACAGTGTCAGAATCCATCTCAAAAGAAAAACAGAAGGTTTTATGCAATCCCCATGGTAACTGCAAGAAAAACATTTACAGAGATACACACACACACACACACACACACACAAATACATTAAAGCATGCCACTATAAAAATCAACACAGAAGGGAAGATTGAAAGGAGTGGGTAAAGGGGATCACATAGCTATGAAAATCAGAGAAAACAATGACAAAATTAAGTTCTTCAATTTCAAAAAGATATCTTAATATTTATGAACTAAACTTTTCAATCAAACCATGTAAATTGAATAGATGGATTAATCAACAACAACTTTATCCTTTCCATAAGTGACTCACTTTAGATCTAATGTCAAAACTAGACTGAAAGTAGTAAGATCAAAATCGACTTTTGATGTAAATTGAAATCCTATGAGAGCAGTGCTGGTCACAGCTGTGTTAGGCAAAATATATTTTAGTCATAGTTCATAAAACAAACTTTAAGTAGGCTGGGCATGGTGGCTCATGCCTGTAATCCCAACACTTTGAAAGGCCAGTGTGGGTGGATCACAAGGTCAGGAGATGGAAACCATCCTGGCTAACACGGTGAAACCCTATCTCTACTAAAAATACAAAAACGTAGCTAGGAATAGTGGTGGGCACCTGTAGTCCCAGCTACTCGAGAGGTGAGGCAGGAGAATGGGGTGAACCCACGAGGCGGAGCTTGCAGTGAGCTGAGGTCGTACCACTGCACTCCAGCCTGGGCGGCAGAGGGAGACTCCTCCTCAAAAATAAAAGTAAACTTTTAGTCTAAACTGTCACAGGAGACAAAGAAGAGCATTAAATAATAATAAAAGGGCTCATTCACTTAGAACTTATGAAATTTTATTATATATATGTGTGTATATATATAGATAGATAGATAGATAGATAGATACATAAATTTTTCACACCAGTCTTTCCAAATGTACAAAGTAAACATTGAAATAATTATTACAATAGACAAAAAAAATGGTAGAATACTTTAATTCAAACTTTTAATAATGAATAGTAAAGCTAGCCTAAATATTAATAAGGAAACAGAAATTTTGAAAACTCTACAGAAAAATTAGATCTAATGAGAATATACAGAATACACAACAATAGAAGAACACAATTTTCTCAATAGTTTATAAAACATTCTCCTGGATACAAAACCTATTAGGCCACAAAACAAGACTTAATAATTTTTTAAGAATAGAAATCTTAAAGACTATTATTTCTGATCAAAATGGAATAAAACTAGAAATTGATAACAGAAGAAAACAAAAATATCAGCACATATGGAAATTAAACAACTCACTTTTGAGCATGCTTGTGTTCAAGGGTTGTAAGACTTAATATTGTGAAAATGTTCATACTTCCTAGTGAACTACAGATTCAATGCAATCCCTTTTAAATTAATTTTTTTTTTTCAGGAATAGGAAAAGTAACCAACAATTATATGGAATCTCAGGGACAAAAAAAGAGCCCAAAAATGTTAAAAAAAAAAAAAAAAAAGAAACAATGTTATTGATGTCACCTTTTCTGATTTTGAAGCACATTACAAAGCTACAGTAATAAAAACAGTTTGGTTCTGGCATAAAGACAGACAAGTTTTCCAATAAAACACAATGTAGCACAGATGAAAACCTTGCACATGTGGGCAAATAGTTAATGGAACACCTATATTCTTTGAAACATTATTCAAAAAGGCCAATATTTGAAAGCAAAACAAACTTTCTTCACCAAATAAATGAATAAATACAATTTGTCATATAAAAGTAATGGAAAACTACTCAGCCTTTAAAAGCAGAAAATCTTGTAACATCCACAATAAAGATAAACCTGAAGCACATGATGCTAACTAAACTTATCCACAGTAAAACAGATACTTTATGATTCCACTTACTTGTAATATCGAAAGTATTGAAACTTTTAAAAACAGAAAATGGAATCGTTTTCATCAGGAGCCTGGTGGTAAAAAAAAAAAAAAAAAAAAAAAATGGGTATTATTAATTTATATTGAGTTTTAAGTTTTGCAACAGAAAAAGTTTTACAGATATGTTGCATAACAACGTAAATACACTTAACATGGCTAAACTGTATAAGAAAAAATATTTAAGATTCTCAATTTTATGTTACATATTTTTACCACAATTAAAATTAACAATGACACCTGAGGGCAGGTGGCGCAGGCCTGTAATCCCAACACTCTGGGAGGCCAAGGTGTTCAGATAACTTGAGATTAAGAATTCAGGACAAGCCTGGCCCCATTTCTACTAAAAATACAAAACTTAGCCAGGCATGGTTGTCCATGTCTTTAATCCCAGCTATTCAGGAGGCTGAAGCAGGAGAATTGCCTTAACCTGGGAGGTGGAGGTTGCAGTGAGCCGAGATTGTGCCACTGCACTTCGGGTGACAGAGCAAGACTCTGTCTTAAAAATAAATAAGACATCTAACCTACCTTCAAACCACAAAACAGTTTCTTTCACATTAAGATATTATAAGATAAAGGTGTTGAAATTAAGACAATTTCCATGAATACTCACCTAGACAGAATCAATTATTGGCCACCAGCCAAGAAGAAAAATATACAAATCATAAACAAAATAGGCGTAACGTTTATACAAGCAAACAAACACTTAGATAATTATATTGAAAAAGGAAGTAGGGCTGATTCATAGTTGACTTTTGCCTCACACTGTATTAAGATGTACAGAGTTGACAATTGTCATACAAAATTATAATATATAAATTAAAACTAAAAACAGTAAACTGATGTAAGGTGGCCTACCCTAAAAAATGAAACAAACAGACACAAAATTGCAAACAAAGTTAAAATTAACATTAACCCCCAAAATTCTGATTTGAATGCTGCAATTCAAAACCATAATAAATAGGTAGAAGCTAGAAACACAATTGATGTGAGGCAGCCTACTCTGAAAAATACAGAAATATAAAATACAAAACTTAATGAAGAGCAACTTTAACCCATAAAATCCTCAATAAACAGAGAAAAAATCTAGATAACTACAATTTTCAACTCTAACTGTGCATCCATGAAAAGCATGAATTTTTAATTGTTTGATACAGTTAAGGCAACAACATTTCAAAGAAAACATATTATAATTATTCATAAAGCTTTGATGAGAAAGTTTTAAAAAATAAGCATTTAAGTAATACTAGAGAAACTTCTAAATTATGCTACTGATACATTGATATATTGCTGCTTTGTTTTTCCTTTATTTTTTATTTTTTATTTATTTTTTTTTTTTTGAGACGGAGTTTTACTCTTGTTTCCCAGGCTGGAGGGCAATGACATGATCTCAGCTCACCACAACCTCCGCCTCCCAGGTTCAAGCTATTCTCCTGCCTCAGCCTCCTGAGTAGCTGGAATTAGAGGCATGTGCCAACACGCTCAGCTAATTTTGTATTTTTAGTAGAGACGGGGTTTCTCCATGTTGGTCAGGCTGCTTGTCTCAAACTTCTGACCTCAGATGATCCGCCCGGCTTGGCCTCCCAAAGTGCTGGGATTACAGGCATTAGCCACCATGCCCGGCCCATTGCTGCTTGTCTTACAAAGTGGTGAGGCTGTAATCTAGCCTTTAGAAGAAAAGTCTTACATTTCTAAATACAATAACTATATATATTTTAAATACAGTATAAAAATTGATATATAAAGTAATACTGGGAATAAGTTGTGCTACAATTCAGGTAAAAATTGAGGAAACTGGAAGAAAATGCTACTAATCACATTGTTCCTAAAGTCAATGAAACATACAAGACAAATATTTTAATAAATTATATAATTTATATATAACATATACATTTGAGAATGTTGTATTATTTTATTTATGTATTTATTTTTTGAGGTGGAGTCTCACTCTGCTGCCCAGGCTGTTGTGCAGTGGAAGGATCTTGGCTCACTGCAACCACTTGAAACTCTGTCTCCCAGTTTCAAGTGGTTCTCTTTCCTCAGCCTCCCGAGTAACTATGATTACAGGTGCATGCCACCACACCTGGCCAATTGTTGTACTTTTAGTAGAGTTGGAGTTTCATTATGTTGGCCAGGCTGGTCTCAAACTCCTGGCCTCGTGATCTGCCCACCTCTGCCTCCCAAAGTGCTGGGATTACATGTGTGAGCCACCATGCCAGGCCTTGAACATACTATTGTAGAACTTCTGAAACTAAGATTACAGACAAATTACAGACATATGACAATTCAGAAAGTGAAAACGCTGTCATGATATTCTTGTTGTTAAAGAAGACAGAATCACAAAATAATAAGTGAGAAATAAGGTAATAATTGGAAATTCAATGTATGTACAGCAATGTTCTAATTTCCCCTATGGGAAAAGTTTTTGTAAGGAATCCATAAAATGAGTACATACAATAAACCACCCTACAATAGACACTGTTGGCATATAGAGTTTAAATTTTTAAGATTAGGTCTTGATAAGAAAAAATAATTCTCCATAAAACTTTTTTTTATATTTAACAAGATACTTTTGCACATAAAGATTTTCCATCAAATTTTTTGTGGAATTATGTTTTAAACCTTCATAGGATATGAAATTATAAAGCAGAAAACATGTGTCTTCTCTCTCTGGTGTTCCTGGAATTTCTTTTTTTTATTGTATAATCCCATTTATATGAAATATCCAGAATATGCAAATCCATAGAGACAGAAAGCAGACTGGTAACTGCAAAGGGATGAGGAGGAAAGAATAGAGAGTGACTGATAAAGGGTATAGGATTTCCCTTTATCATCCCTGCTTCCCCCACAGTGGTGACAGTCATAACCTTGTTAATAAGCTAAAAACAAATGGATTGTATATTTCATTTATGTTTGTTTTTAGATTTGAAGGTCTCACTATGTTGTCTAGGCTGTTCTTGAACTCCAGCCTCAAGCAATTCTCCACCTCAGCCTCCCCAGCTGCTGGGATTACAGGCCCAAGCCACCATATCTAGTTCTGATTATACACTTCAAAATTGTATATTTTATTGTATGATACGTATATCTTGGCTAAAAAAAAAGAACAGGGAGTTCTGTACTGATATGATATAATCTCCAAATATATTAAGTAAAAAAAGAGAGGTACAGAATAGTGTGTGCAATATACTACTATATTCTTAAAAAAATTGTACACACATATGTATACACTGTCCAGGCATAAAGCCTCTCAAAAGACATATGGGAAACCAGTAACATTATTTCCTGAAGTGAAGGATCCTAGAGCAACTGTGGATATTGTGGTCTGGAAGGGAGACCTAACTTTTCAACATGCTCTTTTGTACCTTTTAAATTTTGTATAGAGTACAACACTTCCCTTATTCTCTAATTTGAAGAAAGAAAAAAGGAATACTGTGATGCTTTCTCTTTAGTCTTTAGTTTTATTTTAAGAGATCATCTGCTTTTTTCCTGTAATAAACTTAAAACATATCCACCCATTTTGTCAGATTATTTATTTCTTAGCAATTTGTGTTAAACTTACAGTTTTTGTCTCAATCCTTAGTAATACTATATTCATTATATTTCAGATGTTTAGGTTTCTCATGGAGAAAAAGAAACACAGGCATACACCTCTATACTATCCACCTGCTAGTCCTGCAACATGATTTCAATAAAGTGTTACTGATCCTTGAAGAATTTCTATGATGTCGGCAAAGTAATATCAACAAGAGTGATTGTAAAGTAGCTGGCCTTATAAGTCAAGAGTTATGATATTTGATCCACTGTTCAATCCATTTCTAGATCTGATCTAGATTATTTTCCTTTTTATTTATATTTATTTATGTATTTATGTATTTATTTATTTATTTATTTTGAGACGGAGTCTTGCTCTGTCACCCAGACCGGAGTGCAGTGGTGTGATCTCAGCTCACTGCAAGCTACACATCCCAGGTTCACACCATTCTTCTGCCTCAGCCTCCTGAGAAGCTAGGACTGCAGGCACCCACCACCATGCCCCGGCTAATTTTTTTTTTTTTTTTTTTTTTTGGTATTTTTACTAGAGATGGGGTTACACCGTGTTAGCCAGGATAGTCTTGATCTCTTGACCTCGTGATCCACCCACCTCGGCCTCCCAAACTACTGGGATTACAGGCGTGAGTCACTGCACCCAGCCAATCTGATCTACATTATTTTCTAGCTCTTCTGGTATATTGTTGGGCAACTGATGTACAATTTCTTCCTTGTGGGATGTTGTGGCTTCTTCATAAAGAACTTGAATAATCTCACACTGAATATTGTCGTTAGAGTCTTCTCATTATAGCTCCTTGTTTCAAGTCTTTCATACAATACGTTGGTATCTGTCGTCAGCAAAAAAAACTGTATGAAACCAGCCTTTAGGGAAGAAATCACAACCGCGGTATTCAACAATAACTCCACTTTCTCTCGTTTGGTTATCTAACTCATCAAGTACTCTGTCTTCATCTAAAATGGGACAATCATACTCTTCATCATAGCCATCACACAATTGCTCTTCTCAAGGTAAATCACCCACATCAATGTATTTCAGTCCTGATATCGATGCAAGTTCTTTGCCAAGTGTGGTTTTCCAACCCCTGGCGTACCGGTGAGCAGGATGTTCACAAGCAATGATGGCTTGCCGCAACAGCTCCAAGCACCTTGCTCACATGACCTTTACACTACTGTTCTTGGAATTTCTAAACCAATTCCCAATGCCTCCCAATGCCTTCACAACTCCCTTCACACACTTTTGACTTGATGCACCACATATTTATTAAAAAATTGCATAACGTAGAGGTCTCCAGAAATGTGCACAGATTTCCCCAGATTCCCAAAATTAATGAACACTAATCAGATCATGTAGGTTCTTACAGATTCTGGGAGGACTTTGGTTTTCAGTATGAATGCACTGGAAGATTCTGGGAGGGAGAAAAGAAGCCATAGAAGATTGAAGAGCATAGTAAGCATGGGACAGGAACATGTTTCTCTGTGACAGCAAGAAAAATAAAATTAGGCTTTTCTAAAACAATTTCCATTGCAACAGAGATGACCAAACCCTATTTAAACTCTGTCTTTCTCTGTGACCTTTGGACCTCTCCCATGTGTTACCTGCTCATTTATTTTCACCTTGCTTTGTGTATGGCTGTTGCCTCCTCTCTTTTCACACTGCAGGAATTTTTTCTTTGCTACAGACTCTCCACCAGAGTTTTTTTTTTTTTTTTCCCCTTCCCCGCAATAGTAAGTGGGCTCACCGGAAAATGCCCAACTTTCAGCATCTTCCTCAGGAGAGAATTAACGCTGTAGAGTTATGTGTTGAAATGTTTGTCTTTTTGAGATATTGCCTAATGACTAGATTCTGTCTTTCCTGACATGGAGTGCTGAAGGACATGATGGACTCATACAGATGACAGTTGTGTCTGATGACAAGAAAGAAAATTGCAGCACTAGAGAAACTGCAATACCACAGACAGTCAACTGGGGAAGAAAATAGCTAATCAATCTAAAAACAATGAAACAAATTCTCTTTAACTGAGAAATACACAAAGATCCAGAGAAGACATATCTGAGAATGCATCTGTGAAGCACCCAGAATCTATAGCCTGGCTGATTGCTGTCAATATCACCCTTTACTAAGCCAGTTTGTTGTTGTTGTTGTTGTTGTTGTTGTTGTTGTTGTTGTTTTCTTGAGAAAGAGTTTTGCTTTGTCGCCCAGGCTGGAGTGCAGTGGAGTGATCTCAGCTCACTGCAACCTCCATCTCGCGGGTTCAAGTGATTCTATTGTCTCAGTCTCCTGAGTGGCTGGGACGAGAGGTGCACCACAACGCCCAGCTAATTTTTTTGTATTTTCAGTAGAGACGGGCTTTGCTATGTTAGCCAGGCTGGTCTCAAACTCCTGGCCTCCAGTAATCTGCCCATCTCAGCTGCCCAAAGTGCTGGGATTACAGGCATGAGCTACCGTGCCCAGCCGTGCCAGGCTTTAAATACTAGATTTGATGGATATTTTGTAATTTTCCAGATCTTATAAAAAAAATTACAAGGCATACGGAGAAGGTGGAAAATATACTTCACTGGAAGAAACAGAATAAATATCCAGAAGTTGACTCTTAAGAAATGAAGATTTTTGCATATCTGATAAAGAATTAAAAATAATTAAGCATTCTCAGTGAACAAAAATGAAACAAAAATAGAAAATTGAATAACATTTAAAAATAATAAATGACCGAAATGTGATATCAACAAAGAGATGAAACCTTTTTTCTAAAAACCCAACAGAAATTGTGGCATTGAAGGATCCAATAACTGGCATTTGCAAATTCACTGCAGAGACACAACAGCAAACATTGGAGCAAAAAAAGAATCAGGAAATTAAATATATATTATTCACAAATATTTAGGCCTGGAAACTAACTTTTGAAAAAAATGGAAGAAATAAGGGTTAAATATGAGACTTACTGGACACTATCAAGTAGACCAATATATTCAGAGAAAGAGTCTTATGAAAAGAATATGGGAAGAAAATGACATAAATGTTATCTGGGAGAAAAAGAGGGCATGCTGAAACCTTACACATATCAGCAATGAAACAAAAAATCCTAACAACCAAGAATAATGGACCTGGAAAAAACTGTACTTCAAAAATTAGAAAAAAATAAAGCCTTTCAAAGTTTAAAATAAAAAAACTAAGGTTGCTTACTACTAGAATAACCCTAGAAAAAAATGCAAAAGACAGTCAATTATGTTGAAACATTAAATGATGCTGGACAGCATCATAAAATGATATGAAAATGTAAAGCTCTCTGTTAATATAAATATATACACAGATACAAAATTTGCTATTGTTATAATAATGGTGCATACAATTCTTAAATCTCTGTGAAAATGCATACAATATATAGAGATATAATTTGTAACATTAATAATAGAGTGGGGGAAGTAAAAATGTATATATTTTGTATGCTGTTAACTTGAAGTTGAAGGCAAAAGCTGTTTGCCCTGGGGACCTTAGCACTGGGCAAGGGATGAGGCAAAGCTGCCATTTTGTCTACCTTGGTTGTTCCATCTCCCCCTACTCTGCATAGGGATTTTTCTTGGTCTTCAGGAATAGTCAGTGTGGCCAGACTCTGTTCTGCACACACAGTCAGGTGTAGGTAGGTGTGGCATGTATAGAGGGGGCCTGGGATTCTAAAAATAATTAAATATGCAAAAAGTGGAAATCTGAGAATTTTGGGCATGATTCTCAGGACTTTGGGCTGGGGAAACAGTAAGACCTTGCTTCCATCCATGTGGTTTCTCATCAGAGTTGTTGGGGCCTTCTCCCTGCAGTTGTCCCTTAAGGAGATGTTGCAGGAGATTTAGCCGGTGCTGATGGTCCATGAAGAAATGTGTCACTGCACCTCCTTCTCACTGCACCTGGTTAGCAACATGCCAAACCACTTCCCAGGGCGGCAAAACAGTGAGGAGCTGCAGGAGGGCTCAGGGCTGTGTATGAGGGAAGGCTGGTTTGGAAGTTGGGTAGACTGCCTTGGGGAGGGCCCCAAAAAAGAAGGGCCAGGCAGCACTTCCCCAGTCCTCAGAGGTCTTTGTGTCACAGATAAGCATGTGAATGTAAGAACAGAGTTGTAATTCTAAAAAATTCAGGCAGTACAAAGCCAGGCTTGATATCAGCCCAATCAAATTCTATAAAAATAAATGATGTCTTAGAAAAAAAAAAACTTAAAAAGCTTCACAGTATTTGAGTGGGGAAATCTGTCCAGTGCAGCACCAACTGCTGTGGTGAGATTCACCTGGTTGTAAAGCAAAATCTCTCATGTATTCATGTTCTCTGGGGAAAAGCCACTTATGTTCCCAGGGTCTACCTGCTTGCTAAGAGCAATTGTGGAAAAGAATTGTAGCTCAATGGTGCCCATAGTTGATCACAGGAACTTTCCTCTTTCCCCAAACCGTCACCATTAAACTTCAGTGAAACACACACTGGAAGACCGTCTGAAGTAGGAGGTCCTGGGGAGTCCTCAGCACACCCCTTCATGAGGGCTGCCCAAAAAGGCAGCTCTAAACGCTCCTTCAACCCAAGACACTAGTGCAGAAAAAGCAGTTAGCCCTGTCGGCTCAAGACCCACGTGTGCTTCAGAGGCATTTGGCAGGAGATTCTTTGTAAGAAATGATCCCTGCCTACTAGCAGACAGGAGTGTGTGTTTGTGTGAGTGTGTGTGTGTTGAAATTAGAACCCCACCTTATGTGTTCATTATGGAATTTGAAAATGGAAGCCTAAAGTTGAAAATTAAAATCACCCATGAAAGCATCTTGCAAACTATTTTCTGTGCTAGATGCGATGTTTTAGGATACAAGGCCCTGGTAACATCCTACTCCTTCTCCCTGAAAGAGCTACACACACTACTCAAGGCCTGCTTCCACATGAACCACGTCCTAGAGCAGCTTAAGAGCCTGAACCCATCTGCTGCCTTCAGCAGGGCTGACTAAAGCTGCTTGTTCTTCCCGAGCATATTCTCCAATGACCTGAGAGGTGGAGGAGACATTGGGGCCAGGATTGAAAAGAGGGAAGGGGAGCATGGAAGCCAGAGGCTGAGGACCAGGTTTTCTCACCTGGAGGGGTCTGGCCTAGCGGCACTCAAACCAGGGTCAAATTTAGGTGGAGACAGCTGGCCTTGGGTTGCCCTGTGCTGACCACCAGCCTCGAGTTCCTCAAACAGTAGGAGTGAAAGAATGGCTTGGAGATGAGCCTCATTGACTGTTTGCCACCTGAGTACATCTTGCCAGGGTCCCAAGAGGGACCATTGTGTCTCCAGAGCCATGACTGGAAGGTGGAACTCCCAAAGGGGGCAAAGAAGAGGGTCCTTGGTGAAGTGAAGAGCTTATTTCTACTTGACCATTCCTGAAGGGCTTTAGTGCCTAAAAGTGCCCAGCATGAGCAGCTGGAACCCACTTCCTAGAAACTGCAAGATGCAAGGGGACCTCATGTACCTCTTTGTAATTACAGACAAGGACCCGAAGGGCCCCATCACTGCATCCACATGGGACTTTTACTGGATCCAGTAAGTCCCTGCCAGCTCCCCACAGGCTCCTGGTATGTCACTTGTTCTGGGCCTGTGGACAGACAACCAGGACACTTGCTCAGTGCCCACTTCCTCCTTGTAGGCCTACAGCCTATTGCTCAACCCCAAGCTCACCAGCCTTTGCTTCCTAAGCCATTCGCCACTGGAGCTGCTCAAGTACCACAGCCTGAACTTCACAAAACACTTTGTCATGCCATGAAAGAAAAGGTAAGGCTGCCGGGCATGGTGGCTCGTGCCTGTAATCCCAACACTTTGGAAGGCCAAGGAGGGCAGATCATGAGGTCAGGAGTTTGAGACCAGCCTGGCCAATATGGTGAAACTCCATCTCTACTAAAAATGCAAAAAATGGCTGGGCATGGTGATGCATGCCCTGTAGACACAGCTGCTCAGAGACTGAGGCAGGAGAATTCCTTGAACCCGGGAGGTGAAGGTTGCAGTGAGCTGAGATCACATTGATTCACTCCAGTCTGGGTGACAGAGTGAGACTTCTTCTCAAAAAATAAAATAAAATAATAAAATAAAATAAAATAAAATAAAATAGTAAAATAAAATAAAAGTCACTGTTTCATCTCCCCCGACTTGTGTCATGTTACAGGGGCTTATTGGATGAACCAGCCAGGCCAAACTCCAGAGTTTCCGCCCAAACAATCTGTCCCCACTGCTTGAGTCCCCTCTAGGGAGCTGTCAGTGTGACAGGGGGCACCTCTGGAAGTGGTGGCCATTTGCTTCTATCTGACCTCAGGGCAGCTTCTCAGGGCAAGAAGATCCTAGAGCAGATGGAAGTCTCAGAGAAGAAGCCTATGTCCAGGTTCTTGGCTCGGTCAGCTCTGTATCTCCCTCTCTCCTGTTTGTGCCATGGACTGTGTGCACACAGAGAATGCCCGCACCTTGAGGCTGAACTATGAGGAGAACCTTCCTGAACAGGGGCAGGCAGACTCATCCTGCCCTCAGTGGGAACCCCCTTCCTCTGGGTACTAGACAGAATTCTGTGCACTTTCCTGGAGGCTCCATGCTGGATCTGTTCATTTGGAAGTTTGAGGCTGTCCATAGGGAGGTAACAAAAGAGACTTCTCCTCCGTCTGGAAAAAAAAAGAAAGAAAGAAAAGGTAGACTTCTCAGAGCAAGTTGTGGGGCACAGGCTGAGCCCTTGCCTCCCTCCCTGGTCCCTCTATGGTCCCAGGACTGAAACAAGGAGCTGCAGACAATGAGGGAACTGCTCTGCAAGAACGGCCTGAGTGGCTGCTTCAAGAAAGAACCACAGTGAAAGTGCCTACAGCCCCTAGTGACTGAGTGGCAGCCTCAGGCCCACCTACCATCTGCAGGCAGGTTTTCTTGCTGACAGAATGAAAGCAAGGAAAGCAGGAATGAGCCCAGCCCTCTCAGTCACCCTGAAGGCTGCCTGGGGTTCCCTGCAAGGCCTTCTAGCCTTCTGCTTCTTGGCAAACGACCCAAGCATCTTTTTCTGGCCTTCGAGAATTTGATTCTCTGGAAGAAGACCCTACTTTTCACTAGGCTTAGTGTCCAGGGCCAGCCAGCTCCCCACCTTCAGTAACAACCAATGGTCTCTCACCTGGGCACACACTGCCCAACTTTGGCCCTTCTAAGGCAGGAGCTCATTTGTCTTGCAGGTTCAGCTTGCTAGGGCTTAAAAGTTATCATTGCTGTTATTAAGATAGAGAAATTAGGGGGAAAGAGTTGTCTTAAGAAATTTCCCCTAATCTTACCTTGGAGATCATCGGCACAGGTGACAGCTTAGGCAAGGCTGCTGAGGATGTTGGGGGAGAGGACCCAGCCTGTCCAGCCAGCTGGTCCTTGCCAGAGGTGGCTCATGACCCATCCCCTGAGAGAAGCAGGCAGACATCCCAGCAAGGAGCTGGGGTGTATAGATCAGGGCAGCCCAGGCACACTGATGGTGGCTTGGCACTACCTCCCATCAAGAGGTTTCACCACAGCTGACCCTTGGATCCAGGGGGTGATTTACAACATGTGCAAGGCAGTCAGCTCCATCAGCTGTACAGCCTTCAACATTCACTTCACCTTGGACATCTCACCAGAAAGCATTGAGGACTGGCCAACGCAGAAGCTCTGCAAAGTGAGATAGAGCATCGTTGGGTGGGGGATCTGGGGCCTGTCTGCTCATCTGATAATTGCTTCCTGAGGGTGTGCTCTGCAACCAAACAGTGACTGTTTTCATGTTTGTCTGTTTATTTATCAGTTTTAAATATCCTAATATTTCATTTATAGTAGTTTCTGTCTCGTATTTGTGTATTGGTAAAAATTGTATTAGAAGAAAGAGGGCTTAAGACAACAATATTTTAGAAGATCTTAAGGGGGCATAGACTTTCATGTCAAAACAGCTACTGTTGACCTCTTTTTGCTACCTTTGTGCAAAGTATACACAGAAAGTGCAGCCAGAGGTGATGAGGCCAAGTGTGTAGAGCAGAGCTACCTGGGCTTGCTTGCTGGTCGGCAGTCAGGTGGACTCTGGCTGTGAGGTGGTGCCCACCTGGATCTACACCCCCCACCCCCTCTCCTGAGTAACCAACACAAGGCAGTGCTAATTAGTGGGCGAGTGATAGGCATCGGGCACCCCAATACCATCTGGGAAGAATTGAATGCCATCTGGGCTGGGGTTGTGGGGGGGGCAGGGGCTGTGGCTGCATTGGCTTGTTATGGCACCACCCACAGATGCATCTGCACTGTGCTTCTTCTCCAGCAGTCAGCTGCCCATGGTCCTGAGCCTGTCATGCCATGCCTGCTACCTCACACTGCTTGTGTTTGAAAAAAACATCCTGAGATGGTGCTGCTGGATGTGACCACTGGCAAGAGGACAGCACCTTTGTCCTAGGGGATTAGGAGCTGACCAGATTGCTCCTGACTGCCTCTAGAACAAGTGGGGGCTGGTGCTGCAATTAACGATGCCTCCAAAAAGATATGTTTGCAATGGCTCAATGAATATTTGATGCAGAGGCCTACATGAAGACACATGAATGGAGTGTGTGGACATCAGTTAGCAGCTGAGAAACAGGTGCCTCTCAGGCCTCATCCTCCAACAACTGTGGAACGTGCCCAAGCCATGAGTATATACACCTGGAGTGTATACATCTGGCTGCTGCTTTTGCTGCCACTATCCCCAGGCTCAATATGGCTTAAAATCTGGATTTTAAATAGCAAAGATAGGAGGCTTTTCTGTGTCCTGGAATAGGAAGCCAGAGATCTGTGTAGGGCTGGCACTGGGTGCACATTAGTTTTGTGACATGATGAGAGCTGCAGTGGTTTTGTTAATCGTGATAGGCCTGGGCTGGTTGCAGCTCTGAGTGATGGGCAGGGAGTCAGCAATGGTGGTCATGTAGACATCCATGTGCCCAACTCTGGCCCGCCTGCCCTCAGACATAGCAAGAGGCACCACCACAGGCCCTGACTTGCCTCCCTACTCCTTGCATGCCAGATGGGAATACCTGAAAGCTACAATCTGAATGTATTCTTCTGCCATTTTGACCTGAGCTGCCTAACGCACAGTGTGTGGGGGGGCGGGGGGGAGGTGAAGGGCCTGGGGGAAAGCAGGGCTGGATCATGGATCCTGGTGGAAATTTAGAGATACAGGAGTGGTTGTCACCTCTGTGTGGAGCCCAGCTCCCTTCCTGATCCTTGCCACACAGCCCCGTCTGCAGAGACCAGGTTTGGCAAGTTTGGGGATCCCTAAGACCCTGGGCTACTCCCTGTCAGTCCTGTCTGTGCTCTTTCCCTTTCCTGTTGGCAGAGCCCAACATGGAGGAGGAGGCTGCCGCCCTCTGAGCCTGAGGAAGCTGTGTCTGACTGGGGCTTCTGTCTGGGGTTTTGCAAAGAGCTACTTTTGAATATGGCCTGTTCAGATACCTTGTTTCAAAGGAAGTGAGGGTGAACTGGCAAGTGCAGCAACTCCACACTTGATAAATAACTTTTTCTTGTCTCTAAACCATCACATTTTCATTTCACATTGGAATAAAGTAAGTGAAACCTGCCACACCAGCCTCGCCCGTGTGTTCTGTAACCCAGACTCATTTGGTTGTGAGGGCTGTTGTCAGTAATCTTATGAAAAGAAGAATATGTATAAATTAGATCAAAGGTAAAATTATGCTTATAATGTCATTTGTGTGGGTGATAAGAGGGTGGACTAACAGGCACTCAGGTGGAGTTTACTCACCTGTCGTTTACCAGACTCATGACTGTAGCTCTGGTGAACATCACCTGACACTGGTGACAGAAGAGAAAAGGCCAGTGTGAAGGCTAGGTGGGGGAGAGGTGCCAGGCTGTGGGGCTAGGTTTTAGAGTCATCTGGACACTCTTGGAGAGCTAATGAGATGGGAGGAAGGCAGTCCCCCAGGTGAACCTTACTACCGGAGCCTATGGGCTCGCGGTGGGGGAGGTGTGTGGGGGTGGCCTGTCCCTATGAGAGGAAGAGTTTACAGCTTTTACAGCTGGTGGCTGATGCTCAGCAATCCCTCTGCAGAGCAGGCAGGTCATCAGCCATGTGTATAGCTGAATGTCTTTTGAAGTGTTTAGAGAGTGCTCTATGTCTTAGAAATTCCTTTCCCTTGGCCTTGTCCAGTGAACACGGCTCACATGGCTAACACCACTTCTTGAGATGCCTTCACCATGCAAAGCTGAGAATGGATTGGGTTTAGTTACCATTGTGCCTCCTCCTCACCTGAGAGGCCTATTTTCTTTGGTTGATTCCTTAAGTGTATTAGTGCTGTCAGTCACCTTTGGACAACTCAAATGACAAGCGGCTGTTGTTTCATAAAGAAAAAAAAAGAAAATGAAGTCTTTGAATGTGAAACCCTCATTTTCTCCTCTCCTTCTCTTAGGTGAAAGATTTTATTTTTAAAAAAAGAGTACACAGTCGTATCCCAGCAGGTGTAGTGTGAGAACTGGTTTGTGCTAGGGTATGGTTTCAGTGTGGATGGGCAATTCTTCAAGATGGAAAACCAAGTCTCACTGAGTTGCTGGAGCCATACCCGCCTATCTCCACATCCCCCACCATGGGCTTTCACTTACCTCCCATGCTTGAATTTTTTAACATACATACTGGTGTATATATATACACACACACCCATATATACACACACATATATACACACATACACACACATATATACACACATACACACACACATACATACACATACAGGTCTCACTCTGTCACCCAAGCTGCAGTGCAGTGGCTGAATCATGGGACACTGCAGCCTCAAGCTCTTAGGCTCAAGGGATGCTTCCATCTCAGCCTCTCAAGTAGCTAGGACTACAGGCAAGCAACGCTACACCCAGTTAATTTGTAAATCTTTTTCTAGAGACTGAGACAACTTATGTTGCCCAGACTGGTCTTGAACTTCCGGGATCAAGCAATCATCCCACCTTGGCCTCCCAAAGTGTTTAGATTGCAGGTGTGAGCTACCAAACTCAGCCAAAAATATGTTATTTAAAGAACCATTACAATCAAATTATGAGTTATGAGTGCACCACCACTCTCCAGCCTGGGCACCAGAGCAAGACCTAGTATCCAAAATCCAAACAAAATGAAACAAAAAAATACAACCAAATTAAACTTTGAAGATTGTGTCATCTGTGTCCAGCCCTGCCCTCCAAGCTATCACAGTTAAATATAATGGTTATTGAGAAAACGGTTAGATATTAAGAAATTTCTATATGTCCTCCAGCTGAGAATGAGATATTCTAAATGTGGCCCGAATATTTTCTCACCACTACCTTCAGAATCTAAACTAGCAAATCAAATCAGGACACCTGCAGAGGACAGTCGGTCATTTTCAAATAGAAAGAGAATTACCCCCGTTAATAAGAGTAATACAGTGATTTTCAAAAACAGAAGTCAGCCTGAGATGCAGCACAGTCAGGGCACAACTACCCTGGAATAACCTCCTCACACAGTATGGTTGAGGAGCCTTTCTTAGATGAGCAAATTTGGGCAATATAATTCCTGCTTATTTATTCCCAGCCCTGGCTTCCTGCCTGATTCCTAATGGCCACCTCACGATGTGGTCAGCAGTGGGGTGCAGTGTTGTGAGAGAGGGGCTCAGGGATGGGACAAGGGTCTTTCCTGCTTATCAAAATGCTTAAAAAGTTGTGAAAAAGGTTTCCAAATGTTCTACTTCCTACCTTTAAATAGCTGCTAAGATGCATTATACAACAGACTCAGGAAAGGGAAAGAACAAGTGCATTTCAAGTCTCAGCTCACTTCTTAATTAGCTGTGATACTCTGGGCATGTGACTCCAACTATTTGAGCCTGTTTGCCTGTTCACCCAAGACAATCCTAAGCAAAAATGGCAAAGCTTGAGTCATCATGCTACCCAACTTCAAACTATATTACAAAGCTATAGCAGCCAAAACAACTATACAAAACAACAACTACTGGTACAAAACAGATATACAGACCAATGGAACAGAACAGACATCTCAGAAATAACACCACACATCTACAAGCATCTGATCTTTAATAAACCTTACCAAAACAAGCAAAGGGGAAAAAAAAATCCCTATTTAACAAATCGTGCTGAAAAACCTGGCTGGCCATTTGCAGAAAACAGAAACTGGATCCCTTCCTTACATCTTATACAAACATTAACTCAAGATGGATTAAAGATTTTTGTTTCACGGGTTATTTTTTGAGATGGAGTCCCACTTTGTTGTCCAGGCTGGAGTCCAGTGGATTGATCTCGGCTCACTGAAACTCCATTTTCAAATAGAAAGGGAAATACCTCTCTAGCAATTCTCTTGCCTCAGCCTCCTAAGCAGCTGAGATTACAGGTGCCCACCACTACATCCAGATAATTTTTTGTATTTTTAGTAGAAACGGAGTTTCACCATGTTGGCCAGGCTGGTCTCAAACTCCAGACCTTGTGATTTGCTTGCCTCAGCCTCCTACAGTGCTCAGGTTACAGGTGTGAACCACTGCACCTGGCTGGATTAAAGTCTTAAATGTAAAAACCCAAACCATAAAAACCCTGGAAGAAAACCTAGGCAATACCATTCAGGACATAGGCATGGACAAAGACTTCATCACTAAAACACCGAAAGCAATTGCAACAAAGAAAAATTGACAAATGAGATCTAATTAAACTAAAGAGCTTCTGCACTGCAAAAGAAGCTGTCATCAGAGTGAACAGGCAGCCTACAGAATGGGAGAAAATTTTTGCAATCTATCCATCTGACAAAGGTCTAATATCCAGAATCTAGAAGGAACATAAGTTCCCAAGAAAAAAAAAAGAAAAGAAAACCATGAGAAAGTGGCAAGGGATATTAACAGACTCTTCTCAAAATAAGACATTTGGCTGAGTGAGGTGTTTCGGGCCTGTAATCCCAGCACTCTGGGAGGCTGAGGCAGGAGGATCATGAGACCAGCCTGGCCAACATGGTGAAACCTCGTCTGTACTAGAAATACAAAAAATTAGCTGGGTCTTTGGGTGGGCCCCTGTAATCCCAGCTTATCAGGATGTTGAGGCAGGAGAATCACTTGAAGCTGGGAAGCAGATATTGCAGTGAGCTGAGACCCTGCCACTGCACTGCAGCTTGGGTAACAGAGCAAGACTTTGTCTCAATAAATAAATAAATAATAAAAAAAAAATTTATGTGACCAAAAAACATAAACCTCATTTTCACTGGTCGTTAGAGAAATTCAAATCAAAACCACAATGAGATACCATCTCATGCCAGTTATAATGGCAATTATTAAAAAGTCAGGAACCAACAGATGCTGGTGAGGCTGTGGAGAAATAGATACACTTTTACACTGTTGGTGGGAGTGTCAATTAGTTCAAACATTGTAGAAGACAGTGTGACAATTCCTCAAGGATCTAGAAACAGAAATATCATTTGACCCAGCAATCCCATTACTGGTTATATACCCAAAGCATTATAAATCGTTCTACTATAAAGACACATGCACACGTATGTTTATTGCAGCATTGTTTACAATAGCAAAGACTTGGAACCAACCCAAACGCCCATCAATGATAGCCTGGAGAAAGAAAATTAGGCACATATACACCACAGAATATTATGTAGCCATAAAAAGATGAGTTCCCGTCCTTTGCAGGGTCATGGATGAAACTGGAAATCATCATCCTTAGCAAACTAACACAGGAACAGGAAATCCAACACCACATGTTCTCATTCATAAGTGGAAGTTGAACAGTGAAAACACATGGACACAAGGAGGGAAACATCACACACGGACCTGTCTGAGAATGGGCATCAAGAAGAGGGAGAGCATTAGGAGAAATAGCTAAAGTGTGTGTGGCTTAAAACAGAGATGGTGGGTTGATAGGTGCAGCAGAGGGGCACGGTGGCTCATGACTGCAATCCCAGCACTTTGGGAGGTGGAGGGGTGGATCACCTGAGGTCGGGAGTTTGAGATAGGTGCAGCAAACCACCATGGCACATGTAAACCTATGGAACAAACCTGCACGTTTTGCACATGTATCCCAGAACTTAATTTAAAAAAAAAAAAAAAAAAAAAAAAAAAAAAACAGAAAGGCACTAAGGTTGAGGGGGAGTGGGGGTAGGGGCAGGAGTGGGGGTAGGGGCGGGAGTGGGTGGGCCCTGGAACTTTATCTAATCCTTGGCAGTGGCGTGGGAACCGTCCAATCAGGCAAGCAGTTGGAGAGGAAGGGAGGGCGTGGCTTCTGGTGTTTGGCGGGAATTTTTTCTCTCCCTTGCGCTGGGAACTTGGCAACTATCTCTCCTCTTCCGCCTTCTCCACGTTGGGAGCTCCAGGTGACTTCCTCACAGTCTCTGTTAATAGCCCTGTAATCTGCAGGTACTTGCCAACGCATAGCTAAGATACCAGGACATCCTGCAAGCTGTGAAATGGAGAGTATGGGGGTTTGGCATCCCAAGAGAAGAGAGCAGCCTGTAAAACCGGCAGGACTGGCCTCTCCACGGTCAGCTCCAAGTCTCCTGTGCAGCGTGGCTGTCAGTCCCCTGTGGCCACAAGATGGTGGCTGGGCCAGCAGTGGGGATCCCTGCGTCCCACCTCGTGCAGTCCTGTCCTCTCCCTGAGTGGCGTTCTGCTGTGCTCCCACAGCCCTGCAATGGAAGGGCACCATGGATCAATAAGGCCGAGAGGCGAGACAAAGAGGGCAAAAATCTTCTTTATTGAGCTCTCGGGCGAGGTTCACTGGTCCGCAGGGGGAAGGCCAGGGAAGTCATGCTGTACCAAAGGTGCAGTGTGCTTTTATGGATGCTGGGTGAGGAGTGGGCGGGGAAGGGGCAGGGTCGGTTGAGTTTTGCCCTTCTGAGTGTGACATGCCCTAGTGGGCATGCGCGTTAGTCGGGGTGGTGGGAACAGGAAAGGTGAACCCGGAAATGCAGAGTCAGAGTATCCGAGGTGGCGATCGCCATCTTGGAGTCTTCACTGGAGTCCAATCAGTCCAACCTCTTTTTGGTTATAGAAAAGGGATGACAAAATCGTCTGGCTACTTCCTGCTGTTAAGGGGCATCGTTGGGGAGGGGGCCTAAATCAGAGGTTGGCAGTTGGATGTAGGGGTGAAGTAATATCTGGTTGAAAGCGACCCTCGTGATTTCTTGTATCCGCTGGTGGAGAAACTGTACTAGAATTGGGGCAAAACACATATTATACAGAGAATTATAATTGGGATAAAGAAAGGGAGCATCTGTTGAACCACGGGTGAAAACTACCAGAAAGACCAGGGCAGAGAGGGTCGTAGGAGTGTTTTAACTCCTCTTGGATCTTTTTTTTTTTTAAAGTTTGTAAATTGGTCTCAACTACCCCTGACTCATTGAGATAATAGCAGCATTCTTCCTGTAACAATAAACACGTCCCTCCTTTTTCTGCCATAAGCAAGTCTAAGGCCCACCTGTTCTTTGCCGTGACCTGTGCTACTGAAGTGATCTGTCACTGTAGGGAGGACAGGGACTCGGCTGATGCCTCAATGGCCAACTGCAGGCGAGTAGACAGATCTTGAGATGTTTGGATTGAGTGGGTGAGGGCTCCTTTTCCTAGCCCTGATGCCACTAAGGAGGAGGCTAAGGAGATGCCTAGTACTAAGGGTAGGAAAATAGCCCATTTGCTTTTATTTCACGACCTTGGCTCGGTCCAGGCTAGCAGATGGCTAAGTTCGTCCTGACTATATAGGGTCAGGCTAGGGATGAGAGAGATGGATAAGCACAAGGTGTGATTACCAGTTGAGTTAAGAACTTTAGTTAGCATGGAGTTACATCAGAAGTAGCCTCCGGGAGGTGCTGGGGTGCTGGTAAGCATCCTGGTCTGGTTACACCAAGAGGCATTTGGAGTAGAGTAACAGAACGGGAACTTGTGTCTTGTAGGGGCTGAGAATAGTGGGACCTGTCCTTTTGGGATCGGTGGTATAGGGGTGGATGAATTTCTTGTATAATTAAAGGGGGTAGGGAGAGGAACTGCTACTAAGGGAGGTCTTCTCAGGGCTGCACAGAGGAAGCAGTGGGAGAGGTTTTGTACCCCTGTGGATTAGAGCAATTGTGCACCTTCTGAGATTAAAGTTAACCATGAGAAGGGGGAGGACTTGGCCTGGTCAGCTGCCAGTTGAAGCTGGGTGGCAAGCTCTTTCTTGGCTGACTGGATTGAGGAGGCTAAGTCGGATAAACATGTGACAGTGGTTTTAAGCGTCCTGGCAATGCGGATCTTAGCTACTGGATACATAAAAGTTCTGTGCTCATATAGTCCTCCATCTACACTGGAGGCCCAGCAGGGGTCCCAAGGGTCAGAGATTTGGAGGTTAAATCCGTTAAAGCCATCCCATCCTCCAGTGGAGGTATTGACATAGAACATTGGGTCAGATCCTTTTTCAGTACGAGTTAATGCCTCATGGATATTGCACCAGTGCCACGGACAGCCTACATTTTCTTTGGCCCAGCTGGTATTGTATTTGGAGTTACTTTGATCATACAGGAAGCAAAGTGCAGGGTTTTTTTCTAGCTGGGCCTAGGGAAGATAATTTTAGACCTAGGAAAGCTATGGGTGCCTGGCACCCTGCTGGCAGGCATGCTGCTGTGGCTACTAGTCTAGAGGAGACTGCCTGTCCGGAACTCCAATTCTCAGTGAGGGAAAAAAACCCAGTGAGAGGGAGTCTGAGAGGGGGCTTGTCAAAGCGAACTTCATGTTGGTGAAAGTTCTGGAGGGAGCCTTGCCACACCAGTTCGTCTATATAGGACAACAGATTTTCAGGCCAGCGAAGGGTGTTAGCAAAACTAGGGAATGACCAGCTTTCCTCGAAAAGAACCTGCATAAATTGTTGGAGCCTGTCATGCAGAGAATTCATGCAGTATTTGATTTAGAGAGTTTCAGTTTGGTTGGGGAGAGGGAGGTGACAGTCCAAGTGGCCTGATGTTGTGTAGGTGCCCTCTTAAGATGGGAAATATGGTACCAGGAGGGAAGGCCTATAAGTTTAGCTGCCACTGGTGTTGTAAGAATTACCGTATAGGGGCCTTTCCACTGTTGGGAGAGACCTCTTGCCTGGAGGTCTTTTACTAGTACCTGATCTCCTGGGGTTATTAGGCCAGACTGTCTGGGCTGAGTCGTCCGGGCTTTGGAAGGCTGTGGTTGGCATGTTCTCTTAGCAACTCCCTTAACAGGGTGAGGCAGGGCAGGTATGTGCCAAAAGGTGGGGTATTCACAGGGAGCTCTTGAAAGAGGAAGGGGCGCCCGTATAGGAGTTCAAAGGGGCTAAGGCCTGTGGGGCTTCAGGGTGCTGCCTGGAGCCGCGCGAGGGCAAAGGGAAGTAAGATTATCCATGATTGGCGTGTCTCAAGAGCCAATTTGATTAGGTGTTCTTTCACAAGGCCATTGGTGTGTTCACTGTTCCAGAAGACTGCGGATGGTACGGAATGTGTAGCTTCTAGTTAACACCAAGTGTGGTTGCCACCTGTTTGACTATTTTGGAGATAAAAGCAGGCCAAATCGCAGGATTATCTGTTCAATGAGGGTTGAAGCTACTACCTCTGCTGTTTTATGAGTGGTAGGGCAGGCTTTAATCTAACCTGAGAAAGTGTTTACTAAAGTAAGAAGATAACTCGATGTATTTGCTTTAGTAAGGAATAAAAGGAAGGATGGTAGATTATGAGTTCAAGAAAGTTATATAGTGGTCTAGGCGGCAGGGCAGTGAAGGCGTCTGGCGGTAGGTGGAGGGAGTGCCATCAATCCTTATAACAGAGATTGAGGAGGGGCAGCTGGACCTGCTAAAAGATGGCAAAACAGAGTAGGTAGCCCTTGTGTCTAGCAAAAAGGAAATGGACTTACCCGCTACCTGAAGCATTACCCTGGGCTCGGCAAGGGTGAGAGGGGTTCCCGAGCCTGGGCCTCTTCAGTCGTCGTCCAGTTGGAGGAGCTGGAGGGCACCTTCGCCATCGGGGGAGGGGTCGCCATGTGGAGACACAGCGGCCACTCTGAGGCTGGGGCAGTCTGACCTCCAGTGCCCCATTTGTTGGCAGTTAGGGCACAGGCACATTGGTGGCTTGGGGTTTGGGCACTGTTTTGCCCAATGACCTCGATTGCCACACTTGAAACAGTTGCAAGGCAGGCAGGATGGTTGCTGTTGGCTAGGGCACCAGCTGGCCCAGTGTCCTGAGTTGCAGCACTTGAAGCAGGTGCCAGACGGGGCCCGGGAGATTGTACCGCTACCTCTCCTGCTGGGGCTCTTAGGGAATGCCGGTTGCAGGGCAGCTGCCAGGGCTTGGGTTTGGAGCTGAACTTTTTATTTCAGTCTTGCCTGTCATTGTCCCTCAGCCGCCTCCTCTCAGGAATTAAAAACTTTGAACGCCAGCTTTACTAAGTCCTGGATAGGGGTTTGGGGGCCCTCCACTGCCTCATCCAGGATTAGCGGATATCACTGCCCACAGCTAATGTGTTAGGAGTAGTAGATGTAGTGGACTGGTATGGCACTACGGGGAGGTGGAAATAAGAATGGGGATAAGACGGAAGCCAAGGAGTTAGGTGGGCAGGGTTAAAAGAACAAATGGGAACGGGAATTAAAATGGCTGCTGAATGGTGGCAGAAGAACTAAAATGGCAGCAGAGAAAAAAGGAAGTAAGATGGCGGAGGTGAGGAAACAGGTAGTAAGATGGTGGCGGTGCAGAAGGAGATGGCAGCGGAGAGACTAAGATGGGGGCCACAGACAAGATTAACGGCAAGAGAGGCTGGCCAGACTTCAAGGGGAAGGCTAGCCAGATGGACTTGCTCCAGTGAAAACACTTGGCGGCAGCTGTCCGACGAGAGCAGAGGTCCCAGAACCTTTGAACAAATTTGATTTTTGACTGTTTGCCTCACCTCTGACAAAATTGGTGAGGTCGTTTAGGATACTGAAGTCGAGTGTGCCTTCAGGGGGCCAGCGAGATTGGTTGTCTAAGGTGTATTGTGGCCAGGCAACTGTGCAGAAGAAAATTAGTCGCTTTTGTTTTAAATCTTGATCGAGTTGTAAAGTTGGGAGGTTGCGCAGGAGGCACCCTAAGGGGGTGTTTTGCGTGATTTTGGACTGGGTGGACCCCATCCTCTTCCCTTTATGGCAGCGGTCTGAGGGACAGCAGAAGCGGCCTTCTGGGTTCACTCAGACCACGTGGTTCCTGGAGCCTCGGATCGGCTACTTCAGACACAGACGTCTCAGAGTCGTCAGTGCAGATTTGGACTTCCCCTGGGGAAGTAAACTTGGGTCACCTGGTGATGGACTGGCCTTCCCTTGAGGAAGGAAACTCTCCCTGGTCATGCACATGACTCTCGGCCAGGGACGAAGGGACAAAAGGAAAAAGGAGAGGTACTCACCTCGCGTCAGCCAAATTGGACTGGAGTAGCTGCAGCAACTGTGACCTGGCGGCAAGTAACCGGACTAAACGAACGGATGGCCGTGTAGGAGAAGCCTGACCTGACTGAGGGACAGGCCTGATCCGACCAGGAGGGGAGTCCCCCTGAGCCTCTGGGGGAGCTTAGGAGCTGTCCCCTCCTGGGTTTCGGCACCAATGAAAGGCAACGGAAGGACACCGTGGATCAATAAGGCCGAGAGGCGAGACAAAGAGGGCAAAAATCTTTATTGAGCTCTGGGGTGAGGTTCACTGGCCCACAGTGGGAGGGCCAGGGAAGTCATGCTTTGCCAAAGGTGCAGCGCGCTTTTATGGATGCTGGGTGAGGAGTGGGTGGAGTAGGGGCGGGGTCGGTTGAGTTTTGCACTTCTGAGTGTGACATGCCCTAGTGGGCATGCACATTCGTCGGGGTGGCGGGAACAGGAAAGGTGAACCCAGAAATGTTGAGTCAGGGTATCCAAGGTGGCGATCGCCATCTTGGAGTCTTCACCGGAGTCCAATCACTGAGTATTCTTCATATTGTTCAGGGATAGGAGTGGGTCATAAGGGCAGAAACCCGACTTGGAGTGTGCGTGGGAGGAGCTGCGGCTGGAGGGGTCCCCATTCTCTCTTGTTAAAAATTAAAGGGAGTCCAGCCAGGTGCAGAGGCTCACACCCATAATCCCAACACTTTGGGGCAATGAGGTGGACAGATCAAGAGGTCAGGAGATCAAGAACATGCTGGGTAACACGGTGAAACCCCGTCTCTACTAAAAATACAAAAAAAATTACCCGGGCAGCGCGCCTGTATTCCCAGCTACTAGGGAGGCTGAGGCAGGAGAATGTCATGACCCGGGAGGTGAAGCTTGCAGTGAGCCGAGATCATGCCACTGCACTCCAGCCTGGGCAACAGAGCGAGACTCCATCTCAAAATAATAATAAAATAAAATAAAAATAAAGGGAATCCATATTAAAACGTTAACCAGTTTATTTGAGCAAACAGTGATTAGTGAAATGGAAAGCAACCAGCCGTGATTTGTAGTCCACCCAAGGAGCATGCAGGAAAGGCTTTTATAAGGTACACAAGAAAGCAAGCCAAGTTCAAGAATTGGTTAGAGTTGGCTGGGCACGGTGGCTCATGCCTGTAATCCCAGCAATTTTGGAGGCCATGGCATCCAGACCACCTGAGGTCGGGAATTCAGACCAGCCTGACCAACATGGTGAAACCCTGTCTCTACTAAAAATATAAAATTAGCCGGGCATGGTGGTGCATGCCTGTAATCCCAGCTACTCGGGAGGCTGAGGCAGGATAATCCTTGAACCCAGAAGGTGGAGGTTGCCATAAATTGATATCACGCCATTGCACTCCAGTCTGGACAACAAGAGTGAAACTCCGTCTCAAAAAAAAAAAAAAAAAAAAATTACATGTATGGATATATTTCCTGACCCTTAATTCTATTCCATTAATGTGTATATATTGACCTCCTATTCTACAACTTTGCAGAATTTGATTATTAGTGTTAACAGTTTTATTATTACTTAGGATTTTAATTATATACATAAAATTATAATATCTATATGTAGAAATAAGCTTATTTCTTTTCCATTTGGAATGTTTCTTTTCTTGTATTGCTCAATTATTCTGACCTGATTTGTATTGCAATTTTGATCAGAAGTGATGAACGCAACTATCCTTGTCTTGTTCCTGATCTTAAGGAGAAAGTTTTTAGTCTTTCACCATTGCATATAATGGTACTTTTGAGTTTTTTATAGGTACCTTTTTTTATGTTGAGGAAGTTTTAGTCTATATCTAGTTTACCAGGTGCTCTTATAAAAATGTTTTGGATTGTTTCAAATTTTTTCTTCATCAATTGAGATGATCTTTTTTTTCTAAAATTCATTCTACTGAGTTGGTATATTGCATTGACTAATTGCAATTGTTAGAGTGAGAAAAATTGGATTTACAACTTTTAATGTTTAAAACAATTCATCAGTGAAGCCATCTGATTCTCGACTTTTCTTGTTAGTACGTTTTTGGTAATTTACGCAGTCTTTTGCTAGTTACAGTTTGCATTAGACTTATTCAGAGGAATAGAAGGAATAGAACAAATATCTACCTCTATATCAATATCTATATGTGTGTTAATATATGGGACAGAGCCCTTTTGGGTTGTCATGGCAGTGTCTGCACAGGGGGCCTTTCTCAGCCATCTCTGGTATGGTTTAGAGAACCCTCTGTTCTTCCACTCACCTTATTTCAATGCTGGCCCTTGTTGGCAACAGCAAGCTTCTGTCCTGCACCAGAGGAAACAGAGTGTGACCCGATTAAAACACTGTGTCAATCTCCTGTGTGGAACTCTGCAAAGACAGTAACCGGCAGCCAGACTTGGAAGACTCAGAGCTATTTCTGGCCATCACTGCTGCTCCTTATACCCCATGCAACTTTCTGCTCCCCAGATGAGGCATAGAAATATGTCTGCACAGAACTTCAGCCTTGGAAAGCACAAGATAACAGCTCCAGGGCTCAGAACAATCAATTGAGATGGATGGGTACCACAGCAGAATTTGCCTTCCAGCTTTGCGAACCATTACCTGGTTTGTAAACATGAGCCATCAGTATTCTAACATCCCAACAGTCTGCTCTTCCTCAGAATGGGCCAGCCTCATATGACATTCCCCTACACAAAAAATTTGACATTAAATATTTATCCTGTTGTATTTGGCTTGTTTTACATAGTATAATGTCTTCAAGTTTCATCCATGTTGTAGCGTGTATCAGCATTGCATTTTTTTTTTTTTTTTTGAGATGGAGTCTCTTTCTTCACCCAAACTGGAGTGCACAGCAATGCAATCGTGACTCACTGCTGCTTCAACCTCCCCAGGCTCAAGTGATCCTTCTGATTCACATGGACTTCCCCTGTGTCTGGGACTGTAGGCACACACCATCAAGGCCAGCAAATTTTTGTACTACGTGTAGAGATGGAATTTTGCTATGTTGCTCAGGCGGGTCTGAAATTCCCAGGCTCAAGACATCCTCTCATCTTTGCCTCCCAAAGTCCTGAGATAATAAGCATAAGCCACCATGCCCAGCAGGATTGCATTCATGTTTAGGCTAAATAATATTCTGTTGTGTATCTATACCACATTTTCTTTATGTGTTTATCTCTTAGAAGATATCTGGATTTGTTTTTACCTTTTATACTGTAAATGATGTGGCTATAAAAATAGGTGTGAAAGTATCAGTCCATAAGTGAATAAAATTGAAAAACCCAAACACATCTGTGCATGCAGTTCTTAAATTGAATAACAGAGGTGTTAGCATGGTGGCTCACACCTGTAATCCCGAAAGTCTGGGAGGTAGAGATGGGCATATCACTTAAGCTCAGGAGTTCAAGACCAGTCTGGGCAACATGGCAAAACCCTGTCTCTACTAAAAATTTAAAAATTAGCTGGGCATGGTGGTGCATCCTTGTAGTTCCCAGCTATTCGGGAAACTGAGGGACGAGAATCACTTAAGTCCCAGAGGCAGAGGTTGCAGATTACGTCCTTGCATGTAATTATTTTGAATACACCTGTAGTTGAAACATATGGAAGTGTTCCACCTGTTGCTGAAACATACGGTAATTCTATATAGAACTTTCTGATATACTGCCAAACTATTGGTCACAGTTGATAAACCACTGGTCACAGTTGATAAACCATTCTCACCAGCCATGCACCAGGGTTCCACTTCACCCACATCCTAGCCAGTACCTGTTCTTTTTCATTTTTGTTGTTTTGGTTTTAATATAGCCACCTTAATAGATGTAACGTGGTACCTTATTGTGGTTTTGATGTGCATGTCCTTCATGACTGGTGATGCTGAGCATTTTTCTGTAGGCTTATTGACCCAATATAGATTCAAGTCCTCTCCCTTTTTATAAATACTGTTGTTGTTTTGTTTTGTTGTTGAGTCTTAGAAGTTCTTTATATATTCTGCTCATTATATTATACCTTATGTACCTAGTCAGATATGTGATTTGCAAATCTTTTCTCCTATTTGCTGATTGTCTTTTCACTTTGTTGTTCATGCTTTTTGTACCAAATTTTAGTAGAAGTGAGTTTTTTTGGTATCAGAAAACATGAACAACAGGGTGTTTTTCATATCAAAAAAATATAAAGGATTGACATTTTAATCAAGTCCAATTTATCTGTTTTTCATTTTGTGGCCTATGCTTTTGGTGTAACAGTCAAGAAACAATCAGCAAATTTAATGTTATAAGATTTTTGCATATGCTTTTTCCTAAGAGTTTTTTAAGTTTAACTTTTTAAAACTTTTACAGTAGGTTTGGGGGTAGACGTGAAGGTTTGTTACATAGTAAACATATGTCACAGGGGTTCACTGTACATATGATTTCATCACCCAGGTATTAAGCCCAGTACCATATAGCTATCTTTTCTGTTTCTCACCCTCCTCCAACCCTCTAACTTTAAATGGACCCCAATGTCTTTTGTTTTCCTCTTTGAGTTCCTAAGTTCTTATTTAGTTCCCACTTACAACTGTGAACATGCAGTATTTGGTTCTCTGTTCCTGTGTTTGTTCGCTAAAGGTAATACCCTCCAGCTACATCCATGTTGCCGCAAATGACATAATCTCTTTGTTTTATGGCTGCTTAGTATTCCATAACATGTATGTGGTGCATTTTCTTAATCTAATCTGTTACTGATAGTATTTGGATTGATTCCATCTTTGCTATTGTGAATACAGCTGCAATGAACATTTACATGTAGGTGTCTTTATGGTGGGATAATTTCTATTTCTTTGGGAATATACGCAGCAATGGGATTGCAAGCAGGACTATTGAATGGAAGTTCTGCTGTTAGCTCTTTGAGGAATTGCCAAGCTGCTTTCCATAATGGTTGAACTAATTTACACTTGCACCAACAGTGTATAAGTTCCCTTTTCTCTACAACCTTGCCCACATTTATTGTTTGACCCTTTAACTATAGCCATTCTGACTAGTGTGAGATGACATCTCATTGTGGTTTCTTTCTTTCTTTCTTTTTTTCTTTTTTGGGATGGAGTCTCACTCTGTGACCAGGCTGGAGTGCAGTGGCATGATCTCAGCTCACTGCAACCTCTGTTTCCTAGGTTCAAGCGAGTCTCTTGCCTCAGCCTTCTGAACAGCTGGGACAACAGGCGCATGCCACCACACCCAACTAATTTTTGTATTTTTAGTAGAGATAGGGATTCACCATGTTGGTCAAGATGGTCTCAATCTCTTGACCTCGTGATCTGCCTGCCTCAGTCTTCCAAAGTGCTGGGATTGCAGGCATGAGCCACCGAACCTGGCCGTCTCACTGTGGTTTTAATTTTCATTTCTCTAATGATCGGTGATGCTGAGGTTTTTTTAATACACTTGTTGGCGATATGTTTGTCTTCTTTTGAAAAGTGTCTATTCAGGTCCTTTGCCCACTTTTTAATGAGGTTTCTTTTATTGTAAATTTAAATTCCTTATAGATGCTGAGATAGTAGATCTTTTTCAGATGTGTAACTTGCAAATGCTTTCTTCCACTCACTAGGTTCTCTGTTTACTCCATTGATAGTTTTATTTTCTGCTATGCAAAAGCTCTGTAGTTTAATTAGATCTTACTTGTCAATGTTTGCTTTTCTTACTATTGCTTTTGGTGTTTTTGTCATGAAATCTTAGCACGTTCCTGTATCCAGGATTGTATTGCCTGGATTGTCGTCTGGGGTTTTATACTTTTCAGTTTTATATTTAAGTCTTCAATCAATCTTGAATTTATTTATTTATTTATTTATTTATTTATTTATTTATTCATTTTTTATTTATTGTATATGGTGTAAAGAAGGGGTCTGGCTTCAGTCTTCCACATATGGCTAACCAGTTATCAAAGCACAGTTTATTGAATAAGAAATCTTTTTCTTATTGCTTGTTTTGGTCAGCTTTGTCGATTATCACATGGTCACAGATGTGCAGCCTTATTTCTGGGTTCTCTATTCAGTTCCATTTCTCTATGTGCCTGTATTTGTATCAGTATCATGCGGCTTTGGTTCCTGTAGCCTTGTAGAGTAGTTTGAAGTCAGGTAACGTGATACCTCCAGCTTTGCTCTTTTTGCTTAAAATTGCCTCATCTATTTGTGCTGGTTTTTTTGTTCTGTTTTGTTTTGTTTTTTTCCCACAGAGTCTTACTCTGTTGCCCAGGCTGGAGTGGAATTTCAGGATCTCAGCTCACTGCAAGCTCCACCTCCTGGGTTCATGCCATTTTCCTGCCTCAGCCTCCTGAGTCACTGGGACTACAGGTGCCCACCACTATACCCAGTAATTTTTTGTATTTTTAGTAGAGACGGAGTTTCACTGTGTTAGCCAGGATGGTCTCAATCTGATGTCATGATCCGCCTGCCTCGGCCTCCCAAAGTGCTGGGATTACAGGCGTGAGGCAGCACTCCCAGTCTTTTGGTTTTATATGAATTTTAAAATAGTTTTGTCTAGCTCTGTAAATAATTTCATTGGTAATTTGAAAGGAATAACATTGAATCTGTAAATTACTTTGTCCAGTATAGCCATTTGAGTCATATTGGATCTTCCTATCCATGAACATGGGATGTTTTTCCTTTTGTTTGTGTCTTCTCTGATTTCTCCAAGCAGTGTTTTGCAATTCTCATTGTAGAGCTCTTTCACCTCCCTGGTTAGTTGTATTCCTTGATATTTTATTATTTTTGTGGCAGTTGTGAATGGGATGGCCTTTCTGATTTTGCGTCAGGGTTGCTATCTTTGGTGGAGAGAAATGCTAGTGATTTTTGCACATTGATTTTGCATCTTGAAACTTTGCTGAAGTTGTTTATTGACTAAAGAAGTTTTAGAGTTGTAACTACAGGGTTTTCTAGATATAGAATCCTATTATCTGCAAACAGAGATAGTTTGACTTTCTCTTTTCCTATTTGGATGCTCTTTACTTTTTTTATGTTGCCTGATTGTTCTGGTCAGGACTTCCAATACTATGTTGAATAGAAATGGTGAGAGAGGGCATTCTTGCCTTGTACTGGTTTTCAAAGGGAATGCTCCCAGCTTTTGCCCATTCAGCAGAATGTTGGCTGTGGGTTTGTTATAGGTGGCTCTTATTATTTCCTGCATATATTGAGATAATCATGTTTTCTTTTTAATACTGTCTATGTGATGCATTACGTTTACTGATTTGCATATGCTGAACCAACCTTGCATCTTAGAAAGGCAGCCTACTTGACCATGATGACTATCTTTTTGATGTGCTGCTGGATTCAGTTTACAAATATTTTGTTCAGACCTTTTGTGTTGATGTTCATCAAGAACGTTGGCCTAAAGTTTTCTATACTTGTGTCTCTGTCAGGTTTTCATGTCAAGATAATGCTGGCCTCATAGAATGAGTTGGGGAGGAAATTCTCCTCCTTTTTTGGGATGGTTTCTGTAGGAATTGTACCAGCTCTTCTCTGTACATTTGGTAGAATTTGGCTGGAAATTCATAAGGTCCAGGGCTTTTTTTGATTTACAAGCTATGTATTACTGATTCAATTTCAAAACTTGTTATTGGTCCATTTAGGAAACCAGTGTCTTCCTAGCTTAGTCTTGGGAGGGTGTGTGTGTGTCTAGGAATGCACCTATCTCTTCTAAGTTTTACACATTGTGTGTATAAAGTTGTTCATGGTAGTACTGACCTCACATAAATAACAACAACTATCAGAAACCACTAAAGTTTTAACAGTTGTTTTTATGTCTTGAATCTATTTTTGTTTAATTTTTTTACATGGAATGTGGAAAAGATTTAAACTTACTGGTTTAAACTTGGACTTGTTTTCCCAGCATCACTTGTTGAACAAACTGTCATTTCCTTTACATAATGGTTTAGGCACCCTTGTCAAAAGACAATTAACAATTTATGCAAGGTATTTTTTTCAGAGTTATCTATTTATTAATTTTATCTCTATCATTGCTTTTATGCCAGTGTCAAACTTTTAATTACAGTAGCTTTTTATGTTCTGAAGTTTAAAATGTGAGCCACCTAGCTTTGTTCTGTTTTTCAAGATTATTTTGGATATTCAGAGCACCTTCAAATTTCATATGAATTTTAGAATGGGCTATTCTGTTTGTGCAGAAGAAAAGTTGGAAAAAATAAAAAATTGGGATTACAATACTCTGTACACTACTTTGGCTAATATTGTCATTTTAACTTTATTAAGGCTTCCAGTCCATAAACATGGAATTCCTTGCCACTTATTTAAGTATTTCTTAGTTTATTTCATATATATTCTTATCTTGTATTTTTCATTGTACAAGTTTTGTACCTCCTTATTAAATTTATTGCTGAGCATTATGTTATTTCAATGTTGTTGCAAACAATTGTTTTCTTAATTTACTCTCAAATTTATTGTTGGTATATGGAAATGCAGTTTATGTTTCTGTGTTGTAAAAATAATGATTTTATCTCTCAAATCTAGATTAGCAATTCATTCACAATAAATATGCTATTTACATTGGTAGTCATTTAACTATTTCCAATAAGCCAACTAATTTCACTGTATTCTAAATATGTTCAATTGTGTTTTATTTTCATTTCTTCTCACCTGTCATTCACCCAGCCAGAATTACATCACTTCACAGATAGAACTTTCATTTCTGGTATGTGGCGCAGTGGTTTATGCCAGTAATCCCTGCATTTTGGGAGGCCAATGCAGGTGGATCACCTGCTATCAGGAGTTTCAGACAAGGCTCGCCAACATGGTGAAACTCTGTCTTTACTGAAAAAAAAAAACAAAAATTAGCTGGGCAGGGTGGCAGGAGCCTGTAGTCCCAGCTATGATACAGGAGAATCAGCTGAACTGTGGAAGTTGAAGTTGCAGTGAGCTGAGATCGTGCCATTGCACTCCAGCCTAGGAGACAGAGAAACTCCATCTCAAAAAAAAAAAAAAAAAGGAAAGGAAAAAGAAAAATATCCAACAACTTTCCTTTCTCTAATGTCCCTAAAGTCTTTGGTAATGGTATTTATTCCTGTCTCTTACAATCTTTAACATTCTCACAACACAAAACAACCAAAGTTAGTCTTCATGTTGAAAATCTTCAATGGATCTTTTACATCAGAAGATTGCTTAGTGTAATATTTAATGGAAAGGATTCATGCTGCTGAGATATAATTCTCCAGTAGTCTTTTAGAGTTTGTTGTTTTGCTATTTTTATGTCACATATCTCTCCTTTTCCAGGTTATTTTTCAAAGATTTTTGTACAGAAATAGCCTGGGAAAACGGTAGTAATTTTTCTTTTCAGGTGAATGGCAGATAAATTACTCATCCAATATAAAAAAGACAGTTTTCTCTCTGAGACAAATGTTGGACAGGTTTGCATGTAACCTACTTCTAAAAGATTGAGGTTTCTTAATCTTGAGTTTGCTCGGCTCTGATACAAATCTTCCACATGTGCAATGCGCATCTGAGCCTTTTGAAATCCCTCCAAAAGATATAGTATGAACAAGGAGAACTAATATAAATATGAAGATTTTGCCTCCAGTTCTGCAGTCAATCATAAGTATTTTGTCATTGAAACCATTTGTTTCTCAACTACGTATGACCCAGAAGTCCCCTCCTCACTTTGAGAATTCCTGCTTTTGCTTCAAATTGTCCTGCCTTTGCAGACCAAACCAATGTTAATCTTGCACACATTGATTGATGTCTCCTGTGTTCCTAGAATGTATAAAACCAAACTGTTCTGATGACCTTAGGCACACGTCCTCAGAACCTCCTGAAACTGTGTCACAGGCATGTGTCCCCAAACTTGGCCAAATATACTTTCTAAATTCACTGAGACCTGTCTCAAGTTATTAGGGTTCACAATGGAGAGTGCATTGTAGCTCCACCCTGGGACTTCTCATTAACAGGAACTGCCCTGAATCTCTCCAGATGCAGCAAAACTAGGTACATGTAAATTGTATGAAACTAAGTGGCACTTCCTAGAAGTATACTGATGAGTGTGGAGGAAAAACCAGGAAACGCCCACCTTTCAAAGACACAATAACACTGAATGATGGTTGACATTTTCAGAGTCAACTTGTTTCCTGAGTCATCTCCACCAAATTTGAAAACATTCCAGGGTGAGCTATTGTCCCTCCAGCCTTAGGCTCTCCCGCTTCGGTCCCCTGCACCCTCCCCTCAACCCTTGCAGTGATCACAGTTTCTGATTCTGCAAAAGCAGATGGGAGCCCTGAACTCTGCTCACTGCAACCTCCACCTCCCGAGTTCCAGCTATTCTCCTGCCTCAGCCCCATGAGTAGCTGGGATTACAGGCATGTGCAGCCACATGCAGCAAATTGTATTTTTAGTGCAGATGGGGTTTCACTATTTAGGCCAGTCTGGTCTCACGTGAACGGCCCTTCTCGGCCTCCCAAAGTGCTGGGATTACAGTCAGAGCCACTGCACCTGGCCAGAGAACAATGGCTTTTTAATGATTTTTTTGAGTCATGAAGTCCTTTGAGAATATTATAAAAATTAGGAGCTCTCTCTCCAGTAAAATGCACACACATATACAGAATGTTCCCAGAGCCTCTGAAGCCCCACCATGCATCCCTGCCCAAGAATCCCTTGTCTATA
Organism: Homo sapiens; assembly: GCF_000001405.40. Taxonomy (NCBI): domain Eukaryota; kingdom Metazoa; phylum Chordata; class Mammalia; order Primates; family Hominidae; genus Homo; species Homo sapiens. The sequence continues at coordinate 18,306,369 of NC_000024.10, forward strand.
GAATATGTTCTACTATAGTGCTATTCATCACAAAACAAGTTGCCCCATCACAACCTGATGTTGAAATGCACATTTGGAATCTTGCAGTCACGTAACCTTAAGTGTTCAGTCAAGAAAGACAGATTCCTCCCACAGCAATGTGGCAAAAACTTTGCATAGTACCCCAGGGCCTCCTGGACTGTTTATGATTCATCCATACACTTGAGCACGTACACAACAATCTGAGATGTGAAAGGCACAGAAGCTGGTCTTAATCTGAGCAAATCAGCAGCTTTCAGAAGCTGCAAGGAAATGAAGCATCTGAAAAAAATGAAAATTGTCCCTAACGATAGCTCAGAAAATAGGGCTGATTAGGCAAACTCTAGCCCCGAGTTTCAGTGGATCCCAGATGTCATGGATCACCAATCACTGTTACCATCCTCCTGGGAGCATACTGCTTACCTGTTTGCCAGCCAAACTCAGTAGAACCGATTTTAGAGTCAGGCAGGCCTGGATTTAAATGCTGGCTTTCTTCACTGTATAAATTTGTGGAGGCTGCTTAGCTTCTCTGAACCTTGGTTACCTCATCTGTAAAATGGGACTAACAAGAGAATCTACCTCATAGGATTATTGTGAACATTAAATGAAATGAGATATGTAAAGTGCTCAGCACCCTACTCAGCAAATGGGAAGTACTCATTAATATGGCTGTTACTATGGACAATAGCAGAGGGCAATAACAACATAACTCTGGAGTTAGGAAAACTCAATTCCATGCCAGACATGGTGGCTCATGCCGGTAATCCCAGCACTTTGGGAGGCCAAGGTGGGTGGCAGATCACTTGAACTCAGGAGTTCGAGACCAGCCAGGACAACATAATGAAACCCTGTTTTATTTTTTATTAAAAAAAAATTAGCCAGGTGTGTTGGTGCATGCTTCTTGTCCCAGATACTCAGGAGGCTGAGGTAGGAGGATCACTTGAGCCCAGGAGGTTGAAGCTAAAGGGAGTTGTGATTGCACCACTGCACTCCAGCCTGGGCAACATGGCAAGGTCCTGTCTCCAAAACAAAAAATTAACAAAAAACCCTTGATTCAGATTTTGACTCCAATTACTTGCAGGTTTAACTTTGTGCAGGTTACTAAACTCTCCCATTTTTAGTTTCCTCAACTGAAGCAAAGGGGTTAACCCCTACTTCAAAGTGTAGTTCAGCCAGGCACAATGTCTCAAGCCTGTAATCCCAGCACTTTGGGAGGTTGAAGTGTGCTGATCATTTAAGGTCAGGAGTTAAAGACCAGCCTGTTCAACATGGTGAAACCCTGTCTCTACTAAAAATACAAAAATTAGCCAGGTGTGGTGGCATACACCTGTAGTCCTAGCTACTTGGGAGGCTGAACAAGGAAAACTGCTTGAACCTGTGCTGCAGTGAGCTGAGATCACACCACTGCATACCTGTCTGAGTGACAGATTGAGACTCCATCTCAAAAAACAACAACCCCCGCCCCCCGCAAAATCTAACAAACAGTCAAAGAAAGTGACGTTCAATAAGCTAATAATGAATGTACTGTATGTGCTTAAACATGTCTGGTACATATTAAACACCCAGTAAATAGTGGCAATAAAGATGATTATGGTACTAATAATAGTTAATACTTACAAAGCTCTTACTAAATGCCAGGAACTGTTTTAAGCACTTTTCATGTATTATTTTTTTAGTTGTCATAACCAATAAGGTAAGTCCAATTATTATCTTTGAGGCCTGCAAAACTCAAATAAATTGTGCTAGATCATAGAGCTGGTAATTTTTTTTTTTTTTTTTTTTTTTTTTTTTGAGGCAGGGTCTTACTCTGTTACCCAGGCTGGAGTGCTGTGGCATGATCACAGCTCATCACAACCTCAACCTCCTGGGATCAGGTGATCCTTTTGCCTCAGCCTTCTCAGTATTTGGGACTACAGGTAAGTGCCGCCATGCCCAACTAATTTTTAAATTTTTTGTAGAGATAGTGTCTTGCTATGTTGCTCAGACTGGTCTCAAACTTCTGAGCTCAAGCGATCCTCCTTCCTTGGCCTCCCAAAGTACTGGGATTACAAATGTGAGCCAACACGCCAGACAAAATTTCAACCTAGATAGAGCTTGAGACCATGCCCTAAACCATTGTTTTCTTGAGAATAATGTGTCCATATCAGCCCCTGTATATCAGAGATTCAAGATCACTTCATATCGAGGAATCTGCCCTGATATTCACGTAGGTTCTTTTCTATTTTCCTTAAGTTTCATCCAGCTTGAGAAATAAAGGGACAGAGTACAAAATAAATTTTAAAGCTGGGCATCCAGGGAAGACATCACATGTCAGTAGGTTCTGTGATATCCCACAAGCCACAAAAACCAGCAAGTTTTTATAAGGGAATTTCAAAAGGGGAGGGAGTGTGCGAATAGGTGTGGGTCACAGAAATCAAGTACTTTACAAGGTAATAGAATATCACAAGGCAAGTAGGAGGCAGGGTGAGATCACAGGACCACATGACCGGGGCAAAATTAAAATAGCTAATGAAGATTCGGGCACCATTGTCATTGATAACATCTTATCAGGAGACAGGATTTTGAGATCAACCGGTCTGACCAAAATTTATTAGGCAGGAATTTCCTCTTCCTAATGAGCCTGGGAGCACTATGGGAGACTGGGGTCTATTTTTTTCCCTGCAGTCTCGACCATAAGAGATGTCCACGCCTGGGGGGCCAGTTCAGAGACCCACCCCCAGGTTCGCATTCTCTTTCTCAGGGATATTCCTTGCTGAGAAAAAGAATTCAGTGTTATTTCTCCCATTTGCCTTTGAAAGAAGAGAAATATGGCTCTGTTCCACCCGGCTCACCGAACATTGCTCTTATCCTGTTCTTTTTTTCAAGGTGCCCAAATTTCATATTGCTCAAACACACATGCTGTACAATTTGTGCAGTTAATGCAATTATTACAGGGTCCTGAGGTGATATACATCCTCCTCAGCTGACAGGATTAAGCGATTAAAATAATGACAGGCATAGGAAATCACAAGGGTATTGATTGGGGAAGTGATAAGTGTCCATGAAATCTTTACAATTTATGTTTAGAGACTGCAGTAAAGACAGGTATAAGAAATTACAAAAGTATTAATTTGGGGAACTAATAAATGTCCATGAAATCTTCACAATCTGTGTTCTTCTGCCATGGCTTCAGCTGGTCCCTCCATTTGGGGTCCCTGACTTCCCACAACAACTTCGCTAACGTTTGAGACACTTCCCATTACTGGCTGGAGCTCCCCCACCTGTCCCTTCAGTTTTCATGGCTTGTGGGGGAACCACTGTCCCAAAAACATGCACACTGCTAGGGCCACATGCAGTTCTAAGAGATCAAAGACAGCCTTCTCCAAATCATTCTAGATCTGCTGTTAGTCTCAGTCAGCAAATGGCCACTGACTGCTCTAGTATTAGAGGGACAGCACTTCTCCCTGACCGCACCAACAGAAAGCATTCAGGGTTTGCTTGACGATTTCATGACGGAAATATATTGGGATGGAAGAATGTTCCCTGCAAGCTTGTTTTGGAACTTCAGAGCTCAGGCAGGCTCCAGTGACAATCGTGTGATTAGGGAGCCCAGACTGATGGCAGACCCAGGGCCCACTACTCTCCTCCAAATTCGCGAGGCTCCCATTGTCATGGCTCACAGGAATCCAAGAAGAGCACCAGGGACAGGAGGCAGACATCCTGACATTGTGACAAGGATGGGTAATTGAACATAGCTAGGTTACATTAATCACCCAGGGTCAGAGAACACAACAAGGAAAGGAGAGAGGGGAGAAATCAGTCCAGGCTTTCTGGTCAGTTGGCACAGCAGCAGTGGCACAAAATGGGTTTATGTGAGGAATTTAGCTCATGTAATCTCTTACAGGGCACCCCCTCCTTGCAAATTGCCCCAAATATACATACAATTTACATTCAAGGCCAGCCCCAGCCTCCCCTCTGATGAGATTGCTGCCCTGAGCTCTTCCTTTATAGAAATGCTGGCAACCCCATGGCTACTCAGCCACCTATGGTTTAGGGGGACCATAGAGGCTTGCATTTGCACTGCTGGATTCAGAGGCAGGGAGCCCTGAAGCCCACAGATAGTCTTCTAGATTTAACTATTCACAGAGATCAACTGGTCATTATCTCCTCTGGGATGTGTGTTCTGCAGACCCTGCTTTCTATTTGTACCTCACATCTGGCCCTGCCCAGAGGATTGATTTCAGCAAACATAAATTTGGAGGGAGCTGTCCATCTTGGAAAATATTCTGGAATGGAGGCCTGAAAGCAGGGAGGAAATATGTTTCCCAGGAACCAAATGCAATGTTCAAATACAAATCATGCCTGAACACTCCCTAGGCTTCTCTGAGTGGGTTACATGACTGCAGGCTCAGGGAGCTTCAGGAGATGTGCACCATCTGGCCTCAGTGAGCAGAATCTGTAGGAGTTGCCACATGGCCTCTGACCTTGTGTATGATCTAGGTGAAGATACATATTTTTCTTACAATATGACAGAGAGCATGAAGCTAGAAGCAGGAACATTTGAGATGACAGAACCAGGAATCCAAAAGATAGTGTAAAATAAGGGTAAAGTGCTGACTAAAAGATGAAATTTATGAATAGCAGGAACAGATACCATCTTGCACTTTGCTCAACAACATAAACAAAATCAACCAAAGGACCCTGCCAAGGTTTAGATTCTTGTCAATGTTACCCTCAGCACAAAACATAATCTTGTGAAGTCCCACTTCCTCACTTGTAAAACATTATGACGTTATTATGAGAATTAAATCAGTTAATGTAGGCAAAGTGCTTACTTATGGTGATGATGATGGTGGTGGTGGTGGTGGTGATAATGGTGATGGTATGAAGGTGGTGATGAAGATGATGGTGGTGATGGTGATGGGTGATGGTGATGGTGCTGGTGATTATGGTGATGGTGATGATGGTGGTGGTGATGATAGTGATGATAGTGATGATGGTGATGGTATGATGATGTGGTGGTTACAGTGATGGTGATGATGATGGTGGTGACAGTGATGATGGTGGTGATGGTGATGGTGGTGATGGTGATCGTCATTATGGTAATGATGGTGGTGGAAATGATGGTGATGATTGGTTATGGTGATGATGTTGGTGATGGTGGTGATGGTGATTTTGGTATGATGGTTATAGCAATGGTAATGATGGTGATGGTAATACTGGTAGTGATAGTGATGGTGATGGTGATGGTGATGGTGTTGATGGTGATGTGATGATCTTGATGGTGGTGATGGTGATGATGATGATGCTGATGGTGGTGATAGTGATGGTGATGGTGATGATGATGGTGGTGATAGTGATGGTGATGGAAGATGATGATGATGATGATGATGATGATGGTGATATATAACACATGGTACTAATCACAGTGCTTCCCACTAGGCAGTCTCATTCCAGAGCCTATGTTCTTAACCATCTTACTATACTAATTCTCATGAGTGTTAAGTATAATTATTATAATTTTTACTGACTAGGAAGAAATGTGGCTGATCCACAGCATGTGTAAAAATGGCATTAAGGATGATGGCTGACAGCAAGTACAACCTGAGTCACATAAAGACTGTCTGTAAGTGAGAGGTGGTGACAGTTCCAAGCTACTTTTGCAGCATAGATATCACAAGAGGAGAGGCCTAAAGACACACAGAGCAGGATCAGAAGGAAATGACTATGGCTGGGTGTGGTGACTCACGCCTGTAATGACAGCACTTTTGGAGGCTGAGGCAGGTGGATCGCCTGAAGTCAGAAGTTTGAGGCCAGCGTGGTCAACATGGTGAATCCCCGTCTCTACCAAAATACAAAATGGTGGTTCTGGGCATCTGTAATCCCGGCTACTCGGGAGGCTGAGGCATGGGAATTGCTTGAATCTGGGAGGCGGAGGTTGCAGTGAGCCCAGATCATGCCATTGCACTCCAGCCTGGGCAACAAGAGTGAAACTCCATCTCAAAAAATAAATAAATAAATAAGTAAATTAATTAATAAAAATGAAAAGAAAGAAATGACCAGAATGACCAAACCATAGCATAAGAAGATTAGCCAAGACCAGGTATGGTGGCTTATGCCTGTAATCTCAGCAATTTGGGAGCGTGAGGCAGGAGGATAACTTAAGCCCAGGAATTTGAGACCAGCCTGGAAACATGATGAGACCCAGTCTCTAAAAAAAATTAAAAAATAACAGCCAGAGGACCTGGCACGTTTTGCCTGAAAAAAATACTTGAGGGACATTCCAGCCACTTTCTAAGGCCTTAAGCCTGCTACATAAAATCCAAGGTCCAGAAGTAGGCCATGTGAATGTGAGTCCTAGGTAGACGGATCTCAGCTCAATATAGGAAATCCTTTCTGACGTGTTGACCCAAGATGAACAGGAAGCATCATGTCCCAGAAGCATCTGAGTGCTGGCAGAATCCAGAATTCTGGGACTCAAACACTGGATAGGGGAGTAGCTATTTTACAGGCTCTAAATAGCTCCTCCTAGTGTGGGACTAGGACCATCTGACGACCATATGCATCACCCGGGGGCTTGTTAGACACATTGATCCAGAGTCTCCACCCCAGCCACTGAGTCTGAATCTGTATTTTCACAAGTTGCACAGGTGATCTGTGTGCACATGAATGCTAACAAGCACTGATGTGGAGACCATCTGAAAAAGACTCAGGTCCAGGTGGGCTGCAGCTATGAATATCAACAGTGGGGAGAAACCTGGGGCAAGCAAGAGCACGTGGTTCTAGAGTCTGGTCTTTAAGGGGATGGCCCAGCTGTGCTTCCAGCCCAGCTGCTCCAATTATGTCTGTTTTTTTAATCTAGTGGGGCTCAGAAGAGTCCATCAAATTTGCATAAGGAGGCCTCAGGTAAAGGGGCTCATGGGTACAGGTACTCATCTGACACCTCATTAAGCCATCTTGGTAAATCATCTCTAGAATGCCTGTTGGTATTTTAGGAAACAACATAAAGGGAATGACAATTAAAAGTAACAACCTGAGTGGGAATTTCTACTTCCTTCCAGTGGCTGGCAAGTAAAGCACTTTGGGAATTTTTTGGTATGGTAACAATTCTATACATTTTCTTTTTCTTCTTCTTATTATTATACTTTAAGTTTTAGGGTACATGTGCAAAATGTGCAGGTTAGTTACATATGCATACATGTGCCATGCTGGTGTGCTGCACCCATTAACTCGTCATTTAGTTTTAGGTATATCTCCTAATGCTATCCCTCCCCACACCCCCCCCCCCCCACCCCACCACAGTCCCCAGAGTGTGATGTTCCCCTTCCTGTGTCCTTGTGTTCTCATTGTTCAATTCCCACCTATGAGTGAGAATATGCAGTGTTTGGTTTTTTGTTCTTGTGATAGTTTACTGAGAATGATGATTTCCAATTTCATCCATGTCCCTACAAAGGACATGAACTCATCATTTTTTTATGGCTGCCTAGTATTCCATGGTGTATATGTGCCACATTTTCTTAATCCAGTCTATCATTGTTGGACATTTGGGTTGGTTCCAAGTCTTTGCTATTGTGAATAGTGCCACAATAATCACACATGTGCATGTGTCTTTATAGCAGCATGATTTACGGTCCTTTGGGTATATACCTAGTAATGGGATGGCTGGGTCAAATGGTATTTCTAGTTCTAGATCCCTGAGGAATCGCCACACTGACTTCCACAATGGTTGAACTAGTTCACAGTCCCACCAACAGTGTAAAATTGTTCCTATTTCTCCACATCCTCTCCAGCACCTGTTGTTTCCTGACTTTTTCATGATTGCCATTCTAACTGGTGTGAGATGGTATCTCATTGTGGTTTTGATTTGCATTTCTCTGATGTCCAGTGATGGTGAGCATTTTTTCATGTGTTTTTTGGCTGCATAAATGTCTTCTTTTGAGAAGTGTCTGCTCATGTCCTTCGCCCAGTTTTTGATGGGGTTGTTTGTTTTTTTCTTGTAAATTTGTTTGAGTTCATTGTAGATTCTGGGTATTAGCCCTTTGTCAGATGAGTAGGTTGCAAAAATTTTCTCCCATTTTGTAGGTTGCCTGTTCACGCTGATGGTAGTTTCTTTTGCTGTGCAGAAGCTCTTTAGTTTAATTAGATCCCATTTGTCAATTTTGGCTTTTGTTGCCATTGCTTTCGGTGTTTTAGACATTAAGTCCTTGCCCATGCCTATGTCCTGAATAGTAATGCCTAGGTTTTCTTCTAGGGTTTTTATGGTTTTATGTCTAACGTTTAAGTCTTTAATCCATATTGATTTAATTTTCATATAAGGTGTAAAGAAGGGATGCAGTTTCAGCTTTCTACATATGGCTAGCCAATTTTCCCAGCACCATTTATTAAATAGGGAATCCTTTCCCCATTGCTTATTTTTCTCAGGTTTGTCAAAGATCAGATAGTTGTAGATATACGGCATTATTTCTGAGGGCTCTGTTCTGTTCCATTGATCTGTATCTCTGTTTTGGTACCAGTACCATGCTGTTTTGGTTACTGTAGCCTTGTAGTAGAGTTTGAAGTCAGGTAGCGTGATGTATCGAGCTTTGTTCTTCTGGCTTAGGATTGACTTGGTGATGCGGGCTCTTTTTTGGTCCCATATGAACTTTAAGGTAATTTTTTCCAATTCTGTGAAGAAAGTCACTGGTAGCTTGATGGGGATGGCATTGAATCTACAAATTACCTTGGGCAGTATGGCCATTTTCAGGATATTGATTCTTCCTTCCCATGAGCATGGAATGTTCTTCCATTTGTTTGTATCCTCTTTTATTTCATTGAGCAGTGGTTTGTAGTTCTCCTTGAAGAGGTCCTTCACATCCCTTGGAAGTTGGATTCCTAGGTATTTTATTTTCTTTGAAGCAATTGTGAATGGGAGTTCACTCATGATTTGGCTCTTTGTTTGTCTGTTATTAGTGTATAAGAATGCTTGTGATTTTTATACATTGATTTTGTACATTGATGTATACATTGATTTTGTATCCTGAGACTAAACCAGGAAGAAGTTGAATCTCTGAATAGACCAATAACAGGCTCTGAAATTGTGGCAATAATCAATAGCTTACCAACCAAAAAGAGTCCAGGACCAGATGGATTCACAGCCAAATTCTACTAGAGGTACAAGGAGGAATTGGTACCTTTCCTTCTGAAACTATTCCAATCAATAGAAAAAGAAGGAATCCTCCCTAACTCATTTTATGAGGCCAGCATCATCCTGATACCAAAGCCGAGCAGAGACACAACCAAAAAAGAGAATTTTAGACCAATATCCTTGATGAACATTGATGCAAAAATCTTCATTAAAATATTGGCAAACTGAATCCAGCAGCCCATCAAAAAGCTTATCCCCCATGATCAAGTGGGCTTCATCCCTGGGATGCAAGGCTGGTTCAATATACACAAATCAATAAATGTAATCCAGCATATAAACAGAACCAATGACAAAAACCACGTGATTATCTCAATAGATGCAGAAAAGGCCTTTGACCAAATTCAACAATGCTTCATGCTAAAATCTCTCAATAAATTTGGTATTGATGGGATGGATCTCAAATTAATAAGAGCTATCTATGACAAACCCACAGCCAATATCCTACTGAATGGGCAAAAACTGGAAGCATTCCCTTTGAAAACTGGCACAAGACAGGGATTCCCTCTCTCACCACTCCTATTCAACATAGTGTTGCAAGTTCTGGCCAGGGCAATTAGGCAAGAGAAGGAAATAAAGGGTATTTAATTCGGAAAAGAGGAAGTCAAATTATCTCTGTTTGCAGATGACATGATTGTATATCTAGAAAACCCCATTGTCTCAGCCCAAAATCTCCTTAAGCTGATAAGCATTTCTATACATTTTCACAGATCACACAACATGAAAGCTTGTCTATATTGAAGGTTTTTTTCCCTTTCCTTTCCTAGTGCTTTGGGTTTGCAGCTTTATTTTATTGCTGTTTTTTTGTCTTCTGTGTTTTTTTTTTTTTCCTTTCCACTGAACATTTCCTAGTTTTACTTTGACTTGCAATGGGAGAGGGTATTGCTTCTAGATGTAACATGACATCCAAAGCATAAAATGGTAAATGAAGCTGCAGGTCATTTTCAGCTGAAAAAGGAATTTTACGACTCATAATTATGACCATGTAAGGCATTTTCACGGCAGAGTATTTTTTATCTTAGTTCTCCATTGGGATGGCATTGAGGGATTTGCTGTCCAGTAGAAAGTTCACCTCTAAATTATTCACTCTCTGCAGCCTCCTAGCCTTGCTTCTCTCCTTCACAGGTGCATGGGCATTCTTGCTAGACCTTCTACTCTCCTGGAACTGCCAGGCCCCTGGTGTTGCATATTCCCCTGGTTCTCAGGGCCCTTTGCGATGCATCTTCCCCATCCCTCATGACCCTCATGGCCTACCTGCTAGGCCCACGGTCTAGGACCTGAGCCCCTTAATAACACTCCTTGATCTGCCTTACACACTCTCCTCCTACTCCTCCTCTCTGATAAAACCCGAACTTTGAGTCATCCCGCCATCTGCCTTCTCTGCTTCTGATTCCACCATGCTGAGAGAGGAGAAAGCGCACAGAAGCACCAGCTGAGGCCACCACAGTTTCATGGTCTCAAGCCTTCCTTAGATTCTTGTGCTCTCTGACAACCATTTTAGTTGTCCTAAATCAGCTCCTCAAAAAAAAAAAAAAACCTCATTTGGCCCCACTTCCCAGCCTCACAGAGGAGACTTCTCTTTGTCACAGCATGTTGACATCTCTTTCAATACCAGTACTTTTGTTAACTCACTGAGGCGGCTTTTAGGATACTGGGACAGGTTCCATGACCCTGTGATAAAGCAAATGAATATGAATCTCTCAGGTGGGGCCCAGAGTTCTTTTTTAGTTACTTTTGTTATCATTTTTTTTAGAGACAGCGTCTTCCTCTGTCATGTAGGCTGGAGTACAGTGGCATGATCATAGCTCACTGTAGCCCCTAACTCTCTGGGCTCAAGACATCCTCCTGCCTCAACCTCCTGAGCAGCTGGTACTGCAGGTGCAAGCCACGATGGCCAGCTATTTTACTTTATTTTATTTCTGAAACAGAGTCTTGCTCTGTTTCTGTATTAAACCTTGAATACTATCTAGGAGGGACCTATCATACTATAAACAGCTCTGGGTAACACACATTTCATAAGGTCCAATGTCACGAGTTTAACTTTTTAGTGTTATCCAAGTACTTTCTTACCTGTAGCCTCTTTTTTTTTTTTTTTTTTTGACAGAGTCTTGTGGTGTCACCAAGGCTCAGTCCAAAGCCACAATCATAGCTCAATGCAGCCTTGAACTGCTCAGTTCAAGTAATCCTCTGCCTCAGACTCATAAGTGGCTGGCACTACAGGTGAATGCCACTGGGCCCAACTAATGTTTTTATTTTTTATTTTTTTACTAGTAGAAATGGGGTCTGTATATTTCTCAGCTTCTTGAACTCCTGGACCCAATCAGTCTTCTTGACTTGGCCACTCAAAATTCTGGGATTCACGGCATGAACCACTGTGCCCAGCTTCATTTTTTTTTTTTTTAATTCACTGGGCAGGGTGGAGTGTGCTTTTTATCCTAGCTACTCAGGAGGCTGAGGTGGGATGACTGCTTGAGCCCAGGCGGCCAAGGCAGCAGTGAGCTATAGACTATCATTACCTTGGAAGAGAAAAAAAGAAAAGAAAACCCCCTCCGTGGGCCAAGGTGATGCAGCCATCTGACATAGGATTTTACATATAATTAATTTTACTTATTTATTTATTCATTCATTCATTCATTTATTTATTTTTTGGACAGAGTTTCTGTTTGTCTCCCAGGCTGGAGTGCAGTGGCATGATCTCAGCTCACTGCAACGTTCTCCACCTCCAGGGTTCAAGCAATTCTTGTGTCTCAACCTCCTGAGTAGTTGGGACTACAGGCATGCACCACTACACTAGGCTGATTATTTTGTATTTTAATAGATAAGGGGTTTCACCATATTTCCCAGGCTGGTCTTGAACTCCTGAGCTCAAGCAATCCACCCATCTCGGTCTCCCAAAGTGCTGGGATTATAGGCGTGAGGCACGGCACCTGGCCTTGGATTTTAGATAGAATTTAAGGAGCTCGTGATCCCCTTGAAGTTCTTTCATCATCTTCCCAGACATACAAGAAGCCTAGTTAAAAACATCTGGGTTAGAAGTTCTCTGCGGTCTTTGCATCAGGGTGTAAGAAATGGACAGGACCTCAGAGTTCAATGAATATAATCCTCATTAAAGTCAGATATTACAATTCAGTCAGTGAGGCCCAGAGAGTTTTCATGGCTGACTCATAGCATAGCGGAAGGAGACCTGTATCTTGGTTTTCTGAATCCCATTTCTCACACAGTGTTGTGTTAATATACTGTGTTTAAAAGAAATGTAAAGAAGGAGAGAGTCCTGTGGAGAGAATGGCTGGGAGCAAAAATAAAAAGCAATCGATATTCCTAGGATGTATAGGTTGGCTATTACTTGGTTTGTTTTGCATTCAACATAGATTAGCTTTCTAGCTTCAACCCAAAAAAACCAAGCCTGAAGCTCCCTTCTAGCTCCTTACTTTGGATCTGTGACTAAATCCTGAAGAATTGTCTGAGCAAGATCTGTGGAGAGGCAGATAGTGGGGCCTAGGCACATCATGAGTTCTAAATGGCTGATGTCATTACAAAAAACATAAGCAAGAAAGAATCTACTGTTGCCCGGAAGTGGGGGGGAGGTTTCTAAGGAGAAAGTATGAGTATTGAAGAAGGAGGGTAAGGGTTATGTAGCAAAGAAGGGGTTATTGGATGGTCCCTGTAGGCTGGGGGTGGGAGAGGGGAACAGAGCAGGGTGGGGTGTGAGTGAGGTACGCTCCGAGATCATTTTTGTTTTTGTTTTTTGACCAATAAAGTGTTCAATTTTTTTTTAGTTTTAAAATTTTAAATTTTTTTTGATCAGTGAAATGAGAGATGGTTTGGGGGACGTCTGGGAGCCATCTAAGAGTTTTATTAAGCTGGAGATTATCAAATTAAGATTTGCATTTTAGATATGCTTTTACATGGAAGATAGATCTAAGATTTTTTTTCAGTTAAGTGTTAGAATGCAGTGCCCAGATTATGAATCATTCATTCATTGATACAACTTTACGAAGCTCATAATATAATTCAGGCACTGATCTAGACAAGAAAAGATAGTCCAAAGCAGCACAGTGACAATGGAGATGCAGTTATATAAGGAACAATACATACAGAGAAGACAGATTTGACAAATACTTAGGAGATAAAAATCAGTAGGACCTAATGACTATTGAGGGCAGTGGGAAGTGGAATGAAAATAGTAAGGATATTGACAGATGCTTGAAACAAATGTGTCCAATATTTTAGAATTATATAATAAATTTAAAGGAATAGTCTGTCAGGAGCCCCAGAAAGATTAAAACCCAAATGCTAATACATAAAGATCAAAACAGCCTTCATTTGCCACATCTTTGAATGAGAAGACTACTTTGGACTTTGTTATTTCTCCAAGGCAGAGACACAGGCCTGCCAAAGGGAGGTAATAATATCAACTACCAAATTGTAGGTTTAACCGAGAGAGGTTGAAATAAAAAGTACTAAAGTTTTGCTGGGCGTCTTTCAACAGCCTTGTGGTAAGCCATTCCTACCAGAATTCTGATTTTGTCAAAATGTGGTTACTTTCATGTAATTTTGGAATAAGCTTTTAAAAACTGAGAGCAGCAAGAACAGCATGTGAACACAGATGGGCTGGGGGGAGGGGCAGATTGAATTGGGTGAAGTTTATACGAATAAAAAAGAAGAGGGGATTTTACGAATGCTACTTTCAAAGGCAAAAGACCTAGTCAAAGCACTTATTTTTGCTTTCTTAATTCCTTACCTGCTACTGCAAATAAAGAGCAGCAAAATTAAAAGAAAAAAAAGCTATGTGCTGTAAATACCTTTAAAGACACTTCTTTAGTAGTTCATTGTGTTGCATACATCATAATGTCTTGCTGGGCAGGCTGCCCAGCTCAACTTCCAGTCTCACGGTTCTGTGAGATGAAAAGTGAAATGTAATATTTACAATCCTGGGAATGAATTAATCCCTGGCAAAATAGAAGGATTTGATTTTCTTATCTGCTCATATCTAGCTGGCTTTGTACCTAAGAATGGTACCAGGGATCTGTTTCTATTTGTCGCCACAGGACAGGGAACTAGAATCAGTTCCTGAAGCTAAAGGCCTGAAATGTCTCAGACAAGCAAAAACTGACAGAATTCATCACCACTAGACCAGCTTTACAAGAAATTCTCAAGGGAGTCCCACATCTGCAAGTGAAATGATAATTACTATCAAGAAAACACACAAAAAAAGTATAAAACTCAACGGTAGAACACATACACAAAGGAGAAAGAGACAAGAATCAAACTTTATCACTACACAAATCCACCAAATTACAAGGATGAACAATTAAGAGGGGAAGAAAGGAAAAAATATATATATTTTTTGTGTATTTTGAGACCAGCGTGGCCAACATGGTAAAACACTGTCTCTACTAAAAGTACAAAAATTAGCTGGGTGTGGTGGCGGGCATCTGTAATTCCAGCTACTTGGGAGGCTGAGGCATGAGAATTGCTTGAACGTGGGAGCTGGAGGTTGCACTGAGTCAAGATCATGCTACTGCTCTCCAGCCTGGGCAGCAGAGACTCTGTCTCAAAGAAAAACAAAAAAAGCAACTACATTTTAGGCTAACAAAGAGATATTTACAAAACATTTCATCCAACAGATGCAGAAAACACATTCCTTCATCAGCACAAGAGATATTCTCCCTATTCTGGTCTATTCTACCATATGTTAGGCCACAAAACAAGTCTCAACAAATTTAAAATTATTGAAATTATATTGAGTATCTTTCCTGACCACAGTGGAATAAAACTAGAAGTCAACAACAAGGCGAACTTTTGAAATTGTACAATTACATGGAAATTAAACAGTATGCTCCTGAATGATCAATGAAGAACATTTTAAGTTTTCTTTTCTTTCATTTTCTTCTTTTTTTTTTTTTTAAAGTAGCTAAGAACAATCGTTCTGAAGACGCAAAGCTAAACTAACTGCTAACATCCAAACACAGCCGACAGTGTAGCTGCAAACTTTGCTCCTGATCCGTGGGCAAAAGGAGCTCTTAGCTTTGCAGGAGCCTTCATTTTGTGCTGCCTGCCATGGGACAGAAAAGAAGCACCTGTGAGCAAGAGCCATACACTCAATATACCACTGCTGACTCCTAAGTGCCCAGAATTTCATCCAGAGAAGTAGCTTTAGAAGTTAGGTGATGAATTCTATTCATTTATTTAAAAATTTATATATATAAATATAATATATTTGTATGTTATATTATATTTCTATATATTTTTAGGCAGAGTCTTGTTCTGTTGCCCAGGCTGGAATGCAGTGATGTGATCTTGGCTCATGGCAACCTCTGCCTCCCGGGTTTGAGTGATTCTTCTGCCTCAGCCTCTTGAGTTGCTGGGATTACAGGCATCTGCCACCATGCCTGGCTAACCTTTGTATTTTTAGTAGAGATGGGGTTTCACCATGTTGGTCAGGCTGGTCTCGAACTCCTGACCTTAAGTGATCCACCTGCCTCGGCCTCCCAAATTGTTGAGATTACAGGCATGAGCCACCGTAACCAGTCAGTTTTTTTTCTCAAGCAGAAGAGCAAAGATGAGGGAGTCTCCACACTAACAGCACACCAAGGATATTATCTGCCTGCATTAGGAAGCTTCCAGGGCATACAGGATGGCAGGAACTTCCAATGGGGTGAATGAGAGTGACTTAGAGCTACTTGATGGGATCCCTTTGGATGCTTCTGATACCTCCACCCTTCCTGAGGCTTTGCCACTGGGCTTGGCAAAAGGAGAACCCTTTAATATTTAGGAGAGCAGAGAAAGAGGGAGAATGGAGAAGCCACATACTACAGTCTTCTGTGTTTTACTGGCTAAAGGGCTGCAGATATTTTACATGCCCCCCATATTGTCAACAGACCAGGCAAGGTGACTGACACCTGTAGTCACAGCACTTTGAGGTGGGCTGAGGTGGGCGGATCACTTGAGATCACGAAGTCGAGATTAGCCTGGGCAGCACGGCAAAACCCCATCTCTACTAAAAATACAAAAATCAGCTGTCTGTGGTGGTGCGCAACTTAATCCCAGCTAATTGGGAGGCTGAAACAAGAGGATTACTTGGACCCAGGAGGCAGAGGCTGCAGTGAGCCAAGATCACACCACTGCACTCCAGCCCGGTGACGAAGTGAAAGTCTGTCTAAAAAAAAAAAAAAAAAAGGCTGGGTGCAGTGGCTCACGCCTGTAATCCCAACACTTTGGGAGGCTGAGGCAGGTGGATCATGAGGTCAGAAGATTGAGATCATCCTGGCTAACATGGTGAAATCCCGTCTCTACTAAAAATACAAAAAAAAAAAAAAAAAAAAAAATTAGCTGGGCGTGGTGGTGAGTGCCTATAGTCCCAGCTACTTAGGAGGCTGAGGCAGGATAATGGCGTGAACCCGGGAGACAGAGCTTGAAGTGAGCCCAGATCACTACACTACACTCCAGACTGGGCAACAGAGTGAGACTCTGTCTCAAAAAAGAAAAAAACAAAAAAACCCAAAACCCAAAAGCCAAAATTGCCAACTGGAAGAAGGCAGAAACAAAACAGGTGCTCACAGCTGCCAGAGATTTGTGGGCCCTGCCTGGGTTAGAGGTATAAATGCCAGCTCTGCATTGGAGACATGAGGGAATTTCTTTTTTTTGCTCTTGCTGCAGCTCCGTGTAACTGCATACCATGGTATCCCTTTCCTTTCTGGGTGATAATGGCCCACCCATAAGCAGGTTACTAACAAAATGGAGGACAGGACTTCACTCCTCCCCAAACACCTACAAGGGAAAGGTCCCATTTTACTGAGCACCACAGCTACAGTTTTAACAGTTACTGCAAAATAAAAGTTGCTACATTCTCATGATGATGGGTTTTTCTATCACCTGAAAAATTATTCACCAAGTGTCTGCAGCCAGGGTGAAAAACACTCTTAAAGTTTAGATATGCATCAGTATTTCCCTCAAAATAGCACAGGTTAAAGCTTTCATAAACAGAAAACCAGAATAAGTAGTTGAAAAACATGTAAGTATAAATTAACAGCCACAAAATGGGACAGTTAGAGACTGTGAAATAGCTTTGTCTTGCGGAAAGATACAATCTGAGAAGCAATTCTGCAGCACTTAGCTGAAAGTCAATAGGAGGCTGATCAAATGAAGTGGTAGAAGCCATGCAATTTGTCACACCAAGCATCTGTGACAAACCCACATTGAATCCAAAGAATGTAGGTGATCTGACAAAAGGCCTCATGTTTAAAATTTGCCCTAAGTTTCCCCAAATCTGCCAAAAATTTCCCCACTTGAGCCACTTTTTCAGATACAGTTTAGCTATCTGTTCTTGTGACACTAGGTGCCTTTAGAGAGTTCTTGGGAGCCACGTGTGGTGGCTCACACCCATAATCCCAGCACTTTGAGAGGCCACGGCAGGTGGATCACTTGAGGTCAGGAGTTTGAGACCAGCTTGGCCCACATGGTGAAACCCCGTCTCTACTAAAAATAAAAAAAATTAGCCAGGTGTGGTGGCATGCGTGAGTAATTCTAGTTACTCAAGAGGCTGAGGCAGGAGGACTGTTTGAACCTGGGAGGCAGAGGTTGCAGTGAGCTGAGAGTACACCACTGCACACAAGCCTGGTTGACAGAGCAAGACTCTGCCTCAAAAAAAAAATAAAATAAAATAAAATAAAATAAAATAAAAATTATTGGGGCTGGGTTCAGTGGCTCATGCCTGTAATCCTAGCACTTATAGAGGCTTAGGTGGAAGGATGGTTTGAGGCGGGGAGTTTGAGACCACCCTGGGCAACATAGTGAGACAGCATCTCTGCCAAAAAAGAAAAAAAAAAAATCCATGTTGAGACATTTTTGTGTAGAAAAAGAAAAAAAACAAAAAACAAAAAATACCTAGGTGTAGTGGCGTGCACCTATAATCCTAGCCCTTGGGAGGCTGAGACTGGAGGATTGCTTGAGCTCTAGGAGTTTGATGCTGCAGTGAACTAGGATTATGTCCCTGTGTTCCAGCCTAGGAAATAGATGGAGACACTATTTCAAAAAAAAAGAAAAGAAAAAAAAGCTAGACACAGTGGCTCATGCCTGTGATCCCAGCATTTTGGGAGACCGAGGCAGGTGTATCACCTGAGGTCAGGAGTTCGAGAATAGCCTGACCAACATGGTGAAACTCTGTCTCTCCTAAAAATACAAAATTAGCCAGGTGTGGTGGCACATGCCTGTAATCCCACCTTCCTGAGAGGCCAACGCCGGAGAATAGCTTGAACCTGGGAGGCAGAGGTTTCAGTAAGCTGAGATCAGGCCATTGCACTGCATTCTGGGCAACAAGAGTGAAACTCTTACTCAAAAGAAAAAAAAAAAGCTTTACTTTTTCTACTGTTGCAATGGTAATAATAGAGGCTTTCCTCTCGAGGAGCTCTATACACATACGCTGGGTGCGGTGGCTCACGCCTGTAATCCCAACACTTTGGGAGGCTAACGCAGGCAGATTGCTTGAGGTCAGGAGTTCAAAACCAGCCTGGCCAACATGGTGAAACCCTGTTTCTACTAAAAATACAAAAATTAGCCCAGCATGGTGGCATGTGCGCCTGCCGGGTTCAAGCGGGAGGCATCCGCCTCCCCGGGTTCAAGCGATTCTCCCACTTCAGCCTCCTGGGTAGCTGGGATTACAGGCACCCGCCATCATGCCCGGCTAATTTTTGTATTTTTATAGAGACAGGGTTTCACTATGTTGGCCAAGCTGATCTTGAACTCCTGATCTCAGATGATCGGCCCTCCTCAACCTCCCAAATTGCTGGGATTACAGGCATGAGCCACCGCCCCTGCAGAGCTCTCTTTTCTTTGCGAAGGACAAGGCAGACTGGAATGGATTCACCTGAGAGCGGTGCGCATGCCCTGGAAAGCATTATGGTTAGACCCATGTGAGACAGGTTAGTTTTACTGCGTGTGTTCCCCATGTGTTGTTGCCCATGTGTTGTTCCCATGGTAATCCTGCTCATTAGTAGAGAAATCACAGGTTCAGACATTTGGTGTATGTCCTTGTCTGAGGAGCCAATGGGGTAAAGCTACTATAAGCGGGATTAGGACTGAAGGACTCTAAGAATCCCGCCCATGAGGAATGATAAGGCAGCGCCACGGAACCTTTGTTGGCCTCGGGTAGGCAGTCTTCTGCAGTCCCCTCCGGTGTGCCGCTCCGCCCCGCGCTGGGCGCATGTCCTGCCGTGCTCCGGAAACCGGGATCCGGTGCAGAGAAACCCCCATCCTGGGAAACGGGCTGCTGCCAGAAAGGCGGTCACCCCCTGACCCATCACATAACGTGTTTGTGGGGAACCTGATGCTAAACTATTCGCAGACGTCCTGCTTCTGGGTCAGGGTTTTCCATGGAGCAGAGCAGCTCCCTCGCTGCTATCTATTGAAAGTCAGACCTCCACACAAGGCTCTCTGCACCCGTGTGCGGAGGACCTGGTGATGTGGTGTGTGATGTGGTGTGTCCTGTGTAATTCAGCCCTTGACATATACCTTCCTTCCTTTCTCCTGTTCCCGAGAACCTCTTCCCTGGCCCGCTCATGCCCACCCACCCCTGAGCCCCGGATCACGCAGTGGGTGTCTCTCGCGAGAGCTCATCGGCGCCCGCTGTGCATTGGGAGGCTCACGTCCCCACCCTCGGGCTTTCCAAGGTGCCGCGCCAGGGGTTGCTGAGGTAGAGGTGGCTCCCCTGCTCCTCCTTCCACCTCTCCGATTCCACCTCCTCCTCGCACCCCGCTGGGAACTCCTCCAGGGGCTGAGATTGGATTCACCGAGCCTGGTGAGAATGACTCAGGAGTGGTTGTCCGAGGGTGTGCCCTGCGGTTCCTGTCCGAGTAGTGTTCACGCGTGCCCAGTGGTGGCCGATGGGGTCACGGCCCCTCTCCCCACCCCAGGCGCGCGGCGATGGGATATGAACCAGTCACTGCCTTTGTGCTTTCCTCCTCTCTCCGCTGCCCCGGTCAACCAGCGGAGAGTGGGGAACTGCGGGCAGGTCGGCGGAGTTAGATGGCAGCAAAGGTGGGCCGGCTTGGTGTGATAAAGTTCCAACTGGGTCCTTCCGCGAGCCCTGGGTCCATAAGATGTCATCGGCGAGCGCTGGACTTGACCGTCAACTTGGGATTGTTAAGGTAGAACGGGTAACTCTGGTCAGCAGCACTACCACCTGCATCCACTAGAGGCTGCTCTTTCACCACGTCATTTCTTCCTCTCCAACTGTTTCCACAGTATTTTCAGCTGCTCTTCATTTTGTTTTTCTTTTTCCTTTTACTTTTCTTACTCCCCTTTCTACACACTGAAGTTGCTGTTGTTTTATGTTTACTTCTTCTCCTTCTAATTCTTCTTTTCTTTTTTTTGAAAAGTTGGAGTGTGAGATTGCATTCTCGGCTCATCACAGCCTCAACCTTCCTGGGCTCCCGCAGGTGTTCTTGCCATCTCAGCCTTCCAAGTGGCTGAGATTGCAGGAATAGCTTGATTCTGGGATGTCGAAGCTGCAGTGAGCCATGATCACGCCATTGCCCTCCAGCCTGAGTGACAGAGAAAGACCCTGTTTCAGAAAGTAAGAGAGACAGGTTAAAGAAATAACTCCTTGAAATTACTGCAATTAATTGTGATCTAAATTACCTTTTTTATTTTTATATTTTTCACTCTCACTAGTTTGTTTATTATTATTGCTGTTGTTTGTTATTTATTTGTATTATTGTTTATATTATTGTTATTGTTTTTATTAATTAGATATTTAGAGATGGGGTCTTGCTTTATCACCCAGACTGCAGTACAGTGGCATGACCTTGGCTCACCGTAGCCTCAAATTCCCGGGTTCAAGTTCAAGACCAACCTGGGCAATATGGCATAACAACCATGCTTACTAAAGTCTGTCACTGATACCCCCAGGGCCGTTGAATATGGCAGGTGCAATTTCGGAGGCTGAGGCAGGCAGTTGGCTAGAGTTCAGGAGTTCAAGACCAGCCTGGACAACACGCTGCAGTGCATTACCTGACCAAGGCCCAACGCAGCCTCCACCTCCCGAGCCCAAGGGATGCTCCCACCTCAGGCTCCAAAGGAGCTGAAAGTACAGGCGCCTGCCATCATGCCCGGCTAACATTATTATATTTTATTTTATTTTATTTTATTTTATTTTATTTTATTTTATTTTATTTTATTTTATTTTATTTAAGTAGAGGCATGGTCTCACTGTATTGTCAGGGCTGGTCTCAAAATGGTGGGTTCAAACAATTCTTCCATGTCAAACTCCCAAAGTGTTGGGATTACAGGTGTAAACCTTGATGCACTTCTCTCTTTTTTATTTCCTTTATTTTTCTTTTTTCTTCCTCTTTCTTTCTTTCATTTTCTTTCTTTTCTTTCTCTTTCTTCTCTCTCTTTTTCTTCCTCCCTTCTTTCTGTCATTTCTTATTCTCTTTTTCTGTTTCTCTGTCTTTCTATTTTCTTTATCTTTCTTCCCTTTACATCTCTGTCTCTTTTTCTTTGCATTTATTTTTCTTCATCTTTTTGTGTGTCTCTTTTCTCAATTCGTTTCCTCCCATCCCTCCGTCTGTCTTTGTTTGGATTCTGGAAGTCTCCTCATTCTGTATACCCCTGTGTATCACAAGCCTCTGAGACTTTCGCTTCGTTGTTTTTCTCCTTGTTTCATAAAATGCATTCATTCTTCTTTTATTTAGGTACTGTATGGATGGTCAAGTGCTGGAAAGAAAAAAAAATGGCCCATAAATTTGTTTGGTTTCACAAGAGACATGGGAGACCAAATAACGCACGATGAGTACTTTTCTAAATATCCTGTTTATTCTCCCAACGGGGCTCATAAAAATACGGATGCATTCAGTGGGTTGAGAGATCTCTGTGCAGTCGTGACCCTGCAATTATATTTGACAAGGGTGGTGATGACAGATGGGTGGCACAGAAGCCTACCCTTCTTTGGCACCAATTGAGCATGGTGACAACAGATTCAAAATGGCCTGTGTCTGAACTTGATGGTCCTGTTTTTCTGCTCTGGTCTTTAGGAATGAGGGGAGCCTTCCCGAGTTCCGCCATTTCCTTGCATTTTTCTTTTTACATATATTCGTTCACTTATTTATTTACTAATTTATTTTAAATAGAGTCTTGTTCTGTAGCCCAGGCTGTGGGGTTTTTTTGGCTGGCTGCAATCTCCACCTCCCTGGTTCCAGCAATTCTCCTGCCACAGCCTCCTGAGTAGCTGGGATTACAGGTGTATGCCACCCTGCTCACCTAACTTTTGTTTTTTTAGTAGAGACAGGGTTTCACCATGTTGCCCAGGCTGACCTTCAGGGATCTGCCTGCCTCAGTCTCCCAAAGTGCTGGGATAACAGGTGTGAGTCACCGCGCCCAGCCTAAATTGCAATTTTTCAAAATAAATGTTTTGTTTTGCTTTTTTTAAAAGTAGGTCATCACCTAGTGACCACTGTTATTGAAAGGCCACTGTTATTGAAAGTGGCCACTGTTATTTAAAGGTGGCACTGAGGGCCGCCTGGCCACTTCACAGAGCCTGGGGCAACTGCTTTCTCTCCTTCCCTTCTGGAGGCCCCTCCCTCTCTCCCTCACTGCCTAGGGAACTTCCATCCTGGTGCGGACCCTGTTGTTCTTTTATCCCTCTAGGTAAATGGTGTCTCCTTCTGTCGCCAAGGCGGTGGCATGGTCTCGGCTGGCTGCAATCTCCACCTCCTTGCTTCCAGCGATTCTCCTGCCTCAGCCCCCCGAGTAGCAGAAATTACAGGTGCGTGCTACCCTATCCAGCTAACCTTTGTTTTTTTAGTAAATACAGGATTTCACCATATTGGCCAGGCTGATCTCACAATCCTGACTTCGTGATCTGCCAGCCTTGACCTCCCGAAGTGCTGGGATGACAGTCATGAGGCACTGCACCTGGCCACCATCATTGGTTTTAACTGGAGAGTCTAGATTCGAGGCATATCTCATTCTATGTCACAGAATGACTTCTTTATCCTGCCGACTCAAGAAAGCTGGGCCCCTTGTGATTCATTTCAAACAGAGAGTCACCTCATGTTTGGAAAACAGATCTGCTCCCAAGTTGAGTGGAGGGATGTGGCGTGTAGGAGGAAGGACTGTTCCTTCTGACTTAATCTGCATGGTGGGGTCTAGGGCTGGAGCTCAGTGTGGATGGATGGCTCCCTCTACCTTGGGTTCCATTGTCCCCACCGTGGAACACCAGCCTTGGCAGATCCTGGCCCTTCCTGGCCCTTAAGATGCTGTCAGAAACTGTATCCCAAGCTTGGATGCCCCGAATGACTGTGGCTCCCACCTCTCTGGAAACATTTGAAATCTATCCTCTACGCATGGCCACCTAAAACCACAGGAGCCCAGGACACTCAGCCGCCATCCACCTCACTGGTTTATGGAGAGAATGCTGAAAGTCTCTTGCTAACTCTCTTGAGTTCTTCAAGGGCATGT
This sequence comes from Homo sapiens, assembly GCF_000001405.40. Lineage (NCBI taxonomy): Eukaryota > Metazoa > Chordata > Mammalia > Primates > Hominidae > Homo > Homo sapiens. The sequence goes on from NC_000024.10 coordinate 18,330,004, forward strand.
AGTCAGGACGTAGTGAGACCAGATGTATTAAGTCAGGCTGGGTGCGGCGACTCAAGCCTGAAACCCCAACACTTTGGGAGGCCAAGGCGGCAGGATCTCTTGAGCCTGGGAGCTCGAGACAAGCCTTGGACAACACAGCCAAAACCTGAGGTGCATGCCTGGGGTCTTAGCTACTCAGGAGGCTGAAGTGGGAGAATCACCTGACCCTGGGGTGGTTGAGGCTGCAGTGAGCCATGATGATGTCACTGCACTCCATCCTGGGCTACAGACAGAGCGAGACCCTGTTGCAAACAGAGAGACAGATAATACCTATATTATGTCCTTCTCACGATAGGATGCAAAAATAACAGAATACAGCAATTAAGATATTTTTACATTTTAAATTTCAAACTATTTATTTATTAATTTTGAGTCCAAATTATGAAGCCAGCTAATTTTTGTATTTTTGAAGAGATGAGGTTTCACCATGTTGCCAAGGCTGGTCTTGATTGCCTGGAATCAAGGAATCCACCCGCTCTCAGGCTCCCAAAGTGCGGGGATTAAAGGCATGAGCTACTGCTCCTGACGGCATTGTTTTTTGTTTGTTTGTTTGTTTTTTACTTTGTTTTTCTTTTCTTTTCTTAATCGCTTGTCTTTCCAGGAGTTTCATGGCAGGGCGCTTGGCTGGCTTGTTTAAATTCATTCTGAATAAGAACTGAGGATGTCAGCTTCTGGCCTCATGGACTCTGGACTGAAGAGTCCCCTTGTCTATCTATCATGAGACTGTACACGTAAGAAGCAAAAAACTAGTAACATTTAAAATAAATAATTTTGTTGTACAGAAATACACGGATGCACCTAAAACACAGAAATGATTCTTTTAAAAGTTGTGTTAGTCCTGGTGGGTGTGGCAGTGATTCTTTTAGGTTTGGAGCTTGACTGAGAGAATTTCCAGTCGGTATTTGGATGGAAGTTCCAGATGATCTGATGGGTGGGGACTTAGGCTGTGTCCCCCCCCCAGGGGCCCTGGTTGATTAGTTATGGGGACTGCCTGCGAGGGTGCTGTGACCCAGTGTACTGTGGGGACTTCCATCCTTCCCCTCCTTTCCCCACTCCGGGTGATGCCAATTCATTGCGGGCTGACACTCTCATTGGCATATGCCACCCTATTCACCTAATGGGCATCACCTAGCAGCCATTGTTACTCTGAAAACCGAGGCCTCAAGGAGGAAGAAAGCTCATGGCACCTGGGCACAGCCCAAGGCAGCTGTGTCTTCTCCACTGCCCCCACCCCCACCTCCAAGTTTCTCCCTCCCTTGTTGCCAAGGGAATTGCCACCCTGATGAGTGGTTCTGATTGTTCTTTGATCAGTTAAAAAAATGAATATACATGCCGGGCACTGTGGCTCATGCCTGTAATCCCAGCACTTTGGGAGGCAGAGGCAGGTGGATCAAGAGATCAGGAGTTCAAGTCCAGCCTGGCCGATGTGGTGAAAACGTATCTCTACTAAAAATACAAAAAATTAGCCAGGCATGGTGGTGTGCGCCTGTAATCCCAGCTACTTGGGAGGCTGAGGCAGGAGAATTGATTGAAACTGTGAGATGAAGCTTGCAGTGAGCTGAGATAGCACCACTACATTCCAGCCTGGGCAACAGAGTGAGACTCCATCTTAAAAAAAAAAAAAAAAGAGGCCAGATGCAGTGGCTGATGCCTGTAATCCTAGCATTTATGGAGTCTGATGCAGGCGAATCACCGGACATTCCTGACGTTGGACGTTCGAGATTAGCCTGACCAACATGGAGAAACCCTGTCTCTACTAAAAATACCAAGTTAGCTGGGCATAGTGGCACTTGCCTGTAATCCCAGCTACTCGGGAGGCCAAGGAAAGGGAATTACTTGAACCCGGGAGACAGAGGTTTCAGTGAGCTAACATTGCACCGTTACTCTCCAGCCTGGGCAACAAGAGCGAAACTCCCTATCCAAAATAATAATAATGATAATAATAATAATAATATAAAAAGTAAGTGTTTCCGGTAAAAAAGGAAAAAAAAATAAAACCAACAGTGACATAAACATACTTCTCTGTCCTTTCAAGGCAGCAATGATGCTACAAACTGATCCACCTGTCTCAGGCTCCCTAATTGCTGAGATTACAGGTGTGAGCCACTGCACCCAGCTATGTATAATTTTACGTGTACTTTCTTTTTTTAATTAAATTAAATTAAGTTTTTGTTGGTTTTGAGACAAAGTCTCACTGTGTCACCCAGGCTGGAGCACAGTGGTGCACTTGTGGCTCACTGCAAACTCTACCTCCCAGGTTCAAGCGATTTTCCTGCCTTAGCCTCCCGAGTAGCAGGGACTATTGGCTGGCATCACTGCACCTGACTAATTTTTGTATTTTTAGTAGAGACAGGGTTTTGCTGTGGTCACCAGGCTGGTCTCAAACTCCTGACCTCAAGTGATCCACCCATCTCAGCCTCTCAAAGTGTGAGAGTTTCTGGGGTGCCAGATGGGTTGGTCTCCCCTGTATGAGACATCCATGTGGAGCCATGGGTGGCCTCTGAGGAGAAATATCTCCTTATTGCCTTCATGTCTTTATGCCCTGAAAGCATAACAGCTCAGAGGCATTCCACAGGTTGGCAAGGGAGATACCTCCTTTGAAGCAGTGGAGTATAACCAAACGTGTTGGCTCCTCCTGAAACCCACTCACACCCATTTCAGTCCTGATAAGTTAAAGATCTTGAGTAGTTTAGACACACGCCTTTGCTCAAGGAAATTCACAAAAAACTGCTGCTACACATCTTATTGAGTGACACTGATTAATCCTCTACCTTATCCCTTTCTACCCCTCCCATCTGCCCTAAGAACAAAGAGCTTGTAAACCAACAAATTCAGCAGAGCTCGAGAGCTCTGGGCTGTGAACAAGCCTCAGATGCTCCGGTCCCCTGGACCCGCCTTTTAAACATTTATTTTTTTCTCTTTACAACTCCTTTGTCTCTGCTGGACTCGTGGTACCTGCTGGCTGGTGTAGGGCTGGTTTCCCCAACACAAAGTGATAAGATTACAGGCATGAGCCACTGCGCCCGGCTATGTGTAATTTCTTAACTCGGCTCATTTCTTGACTAGGCATCATGGGCATTTGGGCCACTTTCTCATGGAACTTACTTGTGCTTCAGGATCTGTTCGGACCCAATCAGGTCCACAGCATTTCTGTGTCATGCTGGAGTGCTGCTGTGCACACCCACTTACGCCCAGTGTGTGATGAGCGGCTCAGCTCACATGGTAACTTCGTGGCCCCATGGTTGGGCATTTGGTTTCTACTAATAGCCAGAGGCTAGCTGGATAGAAAGAATGGTTATCTGCAGATAATGGCAGGGCCTTGCTCTTCCACTTGCTTATTCCACTGTGATTTGGAATAGCTTATGTCTCACATGGATGGTCCTGTTTTTCTGCTCTAGTGTTTAGGAATGAGTCAAGCCTTCCCGTGCTCTGCCACCTCCTTGCATTTTTTTACATTCATCTATTCATTTATTCATGTATTTTTTAGAAACGGGGCCTTCCTGTGTCGCCGAGGCTGGAATGCAGTGGTAGGACCATAGCTTACTGTGACCTTGAACTGCTAGGCTCAAAGCAATATTCCTCTGCCTCAGCCTCCAGAGTAGCTGGGCCTACAGGCATGGGAATGAGCCACAGCACAGCACAATGCCCCGCTAATTATCTTCGATTTTTTAAAAAATGGTTTTCTTGTTTCTTTTCTGAGACAAAATCTCCCTCTGTCACCCAGGCTGGAGTGTAATTGTTCCCAGACCAAACTGAGGGTGGGGCTGCTTATTCTCCCGACCTGATAATGACATACAGATGAACTAAAAAAAGGGAGTTTTTATTTCTGTGACCACTTACAGGGAGACGGCCTGATAATATCACCAGATTGACTCAAAATTACAAATGTGTATAAAGCTTATATACCTTCTAAGCTATCTGCGTAATCTTAACAGTGCATACATTTAAAGGTGGAATCAATTTATTTATTTATTTATTTATTATTTATTATTATTTTTTTTTTTTTTGCGATGGAGTCTTCCTCTGTTGCCCAGGCTGGAGTGCAGTTGTGAGATCTCAGCTCACTGCAACCTCCACCTCCTGAGTTCAAGTGAGTATCTTGCCTCAGCCTCCTGAGGAGCTGGGATTACAGGTGCCCACCACCATGCTCATCTAATTTTTGCGTTTTTCTTAAAGACGGGGTTTTGCCATGTTGACCAGACTGGTTTGGAACTCTTGACCTCAGGTGTTCTTCCCGCCTTGGCCTCCCAAAGTGCTGGGGTTACTGGCTTGGGCCGCCAAGCCCAGACTGCTTCTTTTGCACTAGAAATGGGCTCTCTCATTATCACGGTATAAACGTGTCTATATTGTGGGATATGGTGTGCGTGTGCACGTGCATAGGCACATGTGTTTCTCCATGTTTTCCCGAGCCATGGTGCTTCTTCCCCCGCAAGGGCTGTGGTGGATTAGTTGTTGGGAGCTCCTGAAAGGGCGCCGGGCTGACACTTCCATCCGTTGTCGTCTCGTGTCATCTAGCTGTCACCGTTTTTGAAGTCTAGGAGGCTCACAGGATGCCGTGGCCGCCCGCCCATGGTAAGGGGTGAGTGTGTCTTCTCTCTGCTCCCCTCAGTCCTACCCCAACCCTCAGAGGCCCGCCCTACCTCCATCCGTTCATCCCCTCCATCGTTGCCTAGAAAACCTCTGGAGATTCTGGCTGGGCCAGATTGTTGATCTTCTTCATCAGTTGCTTCCTATTCTTTGTGTGTTTGACCCGCGTGGACTCTTCTGCCTGGGTTTTACAGACGGCAGTTCCACCCTAGGCCTTTTCTTTAGTGGGGACTTTTCTGATTCTCCCCAGATGTTGTGAAAGCAGGTAGATGTCAGGCGTTTGGGACTAAAAGACATTTCTCAGGATTAACTGAATGAGTGTGGAGGAAGCAGCATGCACTTCACACCTTTCAAAGCAGGGATGGCAACACTATGAATTCGGTGTCTTTTCCAGAATCAGCTTGTTTCCTGAGTTGCCCTCCGTGTCCCCCCACCCACCCCAGGCTAGAAAACATTCCAGAGTGAACTACTGTGCCTCCTTCCCTTCCCCGTCCTGTTTTGTCCCCTCCCCCTCACCTCGGTTTCTCTCCTTCATGCCGGCAGCTTTCCTCTTCCTCTCTCCCTCCCTCCTTAGGGAAACTCAAGTACCTTGGCTAAGCCGCCATAGTCAGTTTTTACCGTTAAGTTATGTTTAATATTTGTCTTTCCCCAGCCAGCATATTGGTAAAGTGGAAAGTGCATCATAGCCACCGATCCCCCACCCACCCCGCCCCCCACCGCCCTCGGCTATTTTTTTAGAGTTTTTTAGAGTTTTTTAGAAAAATAGTTTTACTATTTTTTTAGTTTTTTTCATCTATCTTTCTCCTTTCATTTCTTTCTTAAAGTTTATTTCTCCAGTTTTCTTTCTTTCTTTCTTTCCTTTCTTTCTTTCTTTCTTTCTTTCTTTCTTTCTTTCTTTCTTTCTTTTTCTTTCATTCTTCTTCTCTGTCTTTTGTTCTTTTACATTTTCTTCTTTCTTTTTTCTTTCCTCTCTCTGTTTTTTCCGCCTGGCTTTCCTTCATTTATTTCCTCCTTCTTCATCTCTTTCATTTTTCTTCCCTTGCTATGTCTCTTTCTCTTTTTTTTTTTTTTTTTTTTTTTTTTTTTTGACGGAGTCTCTGTCGCCCAGGCTGGAGTGCAGTGGCATGCGTGGTGGGATCTCTACTCACTGCAAGCTCCACCTCCCGGGTTCACGCCATTCTCCTGCTTCAGCCTCCAGGGTAGCTGGGACTACAGGCGCCTGCCATGGCGTCCGGCTAATTTTTTTGTATTTTTAGTAGAGACGGGGTTTCACCTTGTTAGCCAGGATGGTCTCAATCTCCTCACCTTGTGATCCACCCGCCCCTGCCTCCCAAAGTGCTGGGATTACAGGCGTGAGCCACCGCGCCCGGCCTCTCTCTTTCTTTATATTTCTTTGTCTAGATTTTAAAAATCCTCTCTCTCTCTGGTTCTCATTTCCTTCTTTCCGCCCTCCCTCGCTGCTCCCTTCCCTCCCTCCTTGCTTTCCTCCGTCTGTCTCTTTTCTCCATTCCCTCTCTCCCTCCCTTCCTCCGTCTTTGTCTGGATTCTAGAAGACTCTCCTCATTCTGTATCTTACTGTGTCCTAACCGACCTGCAACCAAGTCCCATTTCTTCTTTCTCAGTCCGAGATGCATCTTCAAACTCTCATGCGCCACGGGTTGTCTTTTGACTCAGTCGCAGTCTATGCAGAGACACGTTTGGAGAACGGTTTCTGTGAAGTTGGGGAGGAGGGGCTGCGTTTTCGGCCTCAAAAAGACTTCGACTCATGGTTTGGGTTTCCCAGTCATGGGCTGCCCTGCCATCTGGGACTCTGGCGCGTCACTTGTGAGTCAGAGCTGGCAGTCCAGGGCTTTGCTGGGGGAGGCTGTCGCGGTGCTTCCGTGCCCCAGGGCAGTGTGGGGCTGCCCTGGCTGGTCGAACAGCATGCCACAACTCCTGAGGCTTGGCCCGAGATCCACAAGGACGTATTGGGCATGGCGCTGGTGGCTGGGGATGCCCTTCCCGGCCCAGTGGCAGGCCAGTGCAGGTCTGATGCACCTGCCAAGCCCTAGTCCCTCTGCCCTGATCTTTTTTTTGAAGTCCCCATGCAGAGTTGGAGAGCGGTCCCTGAGCATGCATGTGGTCCAAGAGGTGGCACCTGGCCAGGCTTTGGTCCCTCATGTGATCCAGTCATGCTAGGGGCCAGCCAAAAATAACTCCCAGTCTAGCTCTGGAAAAATGGGCCAGCCCCTGCATTGTACGGGTAACCAGGAGTTTGTCCCTGGCCCAGTGCTGCTCCTGTGTGTGTCCTGGGGTCAACCAGAGGGCCCTGGGTGTTCCGTGTCTGGCTGCCATGGTGGCCTTTTTTTGGGAAAGATGTCCAGGTCACGCGTTTCTGCTCAGGTGGTGTGGTCACTGACTCGACACCCCTCCACCAGGCAAGGTATATCTTTCACTCTGAGTCGACATTTTGGGCCACCAGGTTGTTGCTGACACGCTGCCTGGCAATTACATTGGGCCTCTAGATGCGTGTGAAGCTCTGGTATACTGGTAACCCAGCTAACCGGCCCTGTTCCAGTTTTAGCTGATTGCTGGGACCTGTGTGCCTGCTCTCACGCATCCTAGTGTCATAACTGTCCGTGGTGCCCCAGGTTTCTGGGCCTTTGACCCTGGCAGGGAAGGCAGCTCGGGCTCCCGTGACCAGTGTGCTCCCGGCTGCGGGCACAGGGTGGTCAGAACAACCCCACTCTGTTGGCTCTTCGCTGTGAATGTCAGGCATTCCACCTTAAATTGTCTGCTGTCCCTATCCCGGAGTGAGCCTGGCTGGGCTGTTATGCTCATCAGTTTCTTCAAGACTGACCCCAGCTCAACCACCGCCCATTATTGGGCTTTTCACGATGGATGTGGTGACTTTACGCTCTCCCAGGCTGGGAGTAAGCCACGAGAAGCAAAGGATGGAAATACACAGTTAATGGAAGAGTTCTTCTTCTTCTGCTTGTCGGGCCCCTTGTCTCTCTTCCCCACTCACGGGTAGTGTGTTGGGAGGCATGGGGCAGGGAATTTGCGGTGACCTCGCTGCCCTCACGCCTTGAGCCTCGTGACTTCAAGAAGATTGGTGGGGTCCTCTGACACAGCGGGCACCTTTGCTCTGGCTTCCTGTGGTTGTTGCCTTGCGGGTGGACACTGCACCTCTCCGGGGCCATGGGGCATGTCCCTACCAAACATCATGCTGCCCTTTCTGGGATGCGAGAGGGTTGACACGACCAGGGCCTTTGTGGTGATCCAGGAGTGCTCCAGACTGCCCGAGACAAAATGGTGGCGGGTTGTGCCAACCCCAAGTGGCCTCTCGTATAACCGCCACCACGGTGTTTGCAAGTGCATCCTGAAGAGGTCGTTGAGCGGGGCGAGGCGGATGAGTGAGGCAGGTCCCTCCCACTCGATAAGAGATGCTGCCTCCTCTGTTGAGCGCCAAGTTCCTTGTTTCACTCTGCCAAGTGCGCCCACGACGCAGGAGCGAGTGCGGTAAGATTCTGTGTACTATCGTGTTGTGTCGGCCTCGGAGAGGCCTTTTGCCCCAGAGAGAAAGGTGGATAAACAGCGGGACTTTGGGGGTGAGTGCATGCATGCCAGGCAACGGCCCTGATAGAAAGCACTCAAAATTTTCCAGTCTTTTGGTCATAAGGCAGACCACTATCTTCCCCAGGGGTCCATGAGCGAATCTTCAGGAAGGGGTAACTGGTGGGGAAAGAGTGTGACAAAAACTTGGTGAGAAAGCCTTCGCTGGTAATTCGAAAGGTGAGCCAATGAGGTTCAAGCGATTCTTCTGCCTCCCCCGCCCACCTCCACCGGGTAGCTGGGACTGCAGACGCTCGCCATCATGCCCGGTGTCTTTTCTGGAATCAGCTTGTTTCCTGAGTTGCCCTCCGTGTCGCCCCACTCACCCCAGGCTAGAAAACACTCCAGAGTGAACTACTGTGCCTCCTTCCCTTCCCCCTCCTGTTTTATCCCCTACCCCTCACCAAGGTTTCTCTCCTTCGACGTCCAAATCGTCTGCGTATAATAATGATTCCGTTGATGTGCATAAGCAGAGTTCCCTACTTTTACCATAAATAAGAACAGAAACCGCGGGGGTCGTGCAGTCCCTGGCTTACACCCAGGGTGCGTGTCACCCCCACGAGGGGCACCAGAAAGCGTCAAGAAAACCCCCGAGGGAAAGGAACAGGAGGGACAGCCTTTAAAGGGGAAGATGAGGCAGTCCGGGAAAAAACTTCCCACGGAAAACAGTGCCTGTCCAGCCGACCCTGGGCCGGGATTTGGGAAGTCGTGGAGTCCTTGACTTGCACCCAGGGGGCATGCCGTGCTCATGGGGACACCCCAAAGTGGCAAGAAGGCCTCTGGGGGAAGGGAACAGGACGCCAATCTTAATAGGGGACATTGAGGCAACACGGAAAAAAAAAAAAAAAGGCGGGCCGGGGTCGTTCAACAGATGGCAGTGCCTTCCTGGCAGCCCCTGTGTTGGGGCCGGGGTGGTCGTGGAGTCCCTGTCTTGCACCCAGGGTCCGTGTCAGGCCTATGGGGGGCACTTCAAAGCGGCAAGAAGACCCCCGGGGGACGGGAACAGAGCTCCAGGCTTGAAAGGGGACGTTGAGACAGTACAAGGAAAAACTTCCCATGGCAACAGTGCCTTCCTGGCAGACCCTGCTCCGGGCCAGGCGAGTGGTGGAGCTTCTGCCTTGCACCCAGCTGCGGGTCACGCCCAAGGGGGGCATCTCAAAGCAACACGAAAGCCCCTAAAGGAAGGGAACAAGATGCCAGGCTTGAAAGAAGACTTCTGAGGCAGCACAGGGAAAAAGCGGTGGGCAGGGATCCTCCCACGGACGACAGTGTCTTCCCAGCAGCCTCTGCGCCGGAACCGAGGGACCGTGGATACCTGGTGTGCACTCAGGGTGCGTTTCTCGCCCACGGGGATAACCCAAAACGTCAAGAAAGCCCCGGAAGGAAGGGGAGAGCATGTCAGTCTTCGTGAAGGAGGACATTGAGGCAGCCCGAGGAAAAAAGTGGTAAGGCTGGAGTCCTCCCACGGACGATAGTGCCTTTCCTGCAGCCCCCGAGTCAAGTGCCCGGTGGTCGTGGAGTACCTTGCTGCCACCCAGCGGACGTGTCTTGCCCATGGGGGGCACCCCAAAGCGTCAAGAAGGTCCCCAGGGGAAGGGAACAGGACGCAAGGCTTGAAAGGGGACGTTGAGGCAGTCCAGGAAAAAACTTCCCACGGAGGACAGAGCCTTCCCAGCAGCCTCTGTGCCAGAACCAGGGAAGTCGTAGAGTCCCTGGCTTGCATCCAGGGTGCGTGACTCGTCCACAGTTGGGGGGGTGGGGGGGTGCCTCCAAGCGGCAAGTAGGCCATAGGTGGAAAGAAACAGGATGCCAAGCTTGAAAGAGGAAGTTCAGACAGCATGAGGAAAAAAGCGGCGAGCCGTGGGCGTCCCATGGATGACAGTGCCTTTCTCGCAGCCCCTGCATCGGGACGGTGTATGTGTCGGGAGGAGGGTCGTGGAGTCCCTGGCTTGCACCCAGGGTGCGTGTCTCACCCATGGGTAGCACCACAAAGCTGCAAGAAGGACCTCGGGGAAGGGGACAGCACATCAGGCCTGAACGGGAAAGTTGAGGCAGCCTGGGGATAAAAGCAGCGAGGCTGGGGTTGTCCCACAGACGGCAGGGCCTTCCCGGAAGCCCCTGTTCCAGGCCTGCTTGTGTCATTGAGTCCCTGGCTTCGCCGCTTTTTTCCCCGTTGATCTCTCCTTACAAGCCTGGCATCCAACTTCCTTCCCCCGGAGGCCTTCTTTGCCGCTTTGGGGTGCCCCCCGTGGGCGCGACACTCAGCCTGGATGCAAGCCAGGGACTCCACGACTTCCCTGGGTGCAGCGTAGAGGCTGGGGTCTTCCCATGAACAACAGTGCCTTCCCGGCAGCGCGTGCACCTGGCCCGGGAAAATGGTGGAGTCCCTGGCTTGCACCCAGGGTGCGTGTCTCGCCCACTGGGGCTCCCCAAAGCGACAAGAAGGCCCCCGGGGCGGGGGGAAAGGGACAGCACATCAAGCTTGAAGGGGGACGTTGAGTTAGTCCGAGGAAAGAAGCGGCGAGGCTGGGGTCCTACCATGAACGACAGTGCCTTACTTAACATCAGCCCCTGCGCCGGGACCGGGTGGTCGCGGAGTCCCAGGCTTGCACCCAGGATGGGTGTCTGGCCGAAGAGGGACACCCCAAAGCGGCCAGAAGGCCCACGGGGAAGGAAACAGGATGCCAGGCCTGTAAGGCGACGTTGAGGCACGCTGGGGAAAAACTTCCCGCGCACTACAGTGCCTTTTCAGTAGCCCCCCCAACACCGCGCCAGGGGAAGTCGTGAAGTCCCTGGCTTGCACCCAGGGTGCGTGTCGCATCTAGTGGGGACACGCCAAAGCGGCAAGTAGGCCTGCGGGAAAACGAAACAGGACGCCAGGCTTGAAAGGGGACGTTGAGGAAGCACGAGGGAAAAAGCAGCAGGCCGGTTTACTCCCACAGACAACCGTGCGTTTCCCCAGCCCGTGTGCCTGGCCCGGGACGGTCATGGAGTTCCTAGCTTGCACCCAGGGTGAGTGTCGCACCCACGGGGGAACCCCAAAGTGGCAAGAATGCTTGTGGGGGAAGGGAACATGATGCCAGGCTTGAAAGGGGACATTGAGGCAGCACGGGGAAAAAAGCGGTGGGCCGCAGTCCTCCCACCGATGACAGTCCCTTCCCGGCAGACCCTGCGCCGGGCTTGGGGTGGTCGTGGAGTCCCTGGCTTGCAGCTAATGTGCGTGTTGCGCCCACGCTGGGCGCCCCAAAGTGGCAAGAAGGCCTCCAGTGAAACGAAAGGGGACGTTGAGGCAGTACCGGGAAAAACTTTCCACGGAGGACTGTGCCTTCATGGCAGCCTCTGCATCACGCCCGGAGAAGTCGTGTAGTCCCTGGCTTGCACCCAGGGTATGTGTCGTGCCCACGGGGGAGGCACCCCAAAGCGGCAAGAAAACCTCTGAAAGAATGGAACAGGACGCCAGGCTTGAAACCGGACGATGAGGCAGCACGGGGAAAAAAGCGGCGGGTCAGAGTCACCGCACGGTTGACAGTGCCTTCCCGGTCTCCGCTGCGCCGAAACATGGGGGTGGGGGACGTGGAGTCCCTAGCTCGCACCCAGGCTGCGTGTCGCGCCCACGCGGAGCACCCTAAAGCGGCAAAAAGGCCCGCGGGAGAAGGGGACAGCATGTCAGGCTTGAAGGATACGTTCACGCAGCCTGGGGAAAACAGCGGCGAGGCTAGGGTAGTCCCACAGACGACAGTGTCTTCCCAGCAGCCCCTGCGCTGAACCCGTGTGTGTTGTTGAGTCCCTGGCTTGCACCTAGAGTGCGCTTCTCTTCCACGGGAGGCACCCCAGAGGCAAGAAGGACTTTAGGGGAAGGAAACATGACGCCAGGCTTGAAATGGAACGTTGAGGCGGCACGGAGAAAAACGCGGGTGGCCGGGGTCCTCCCACGGACGATAGTGCCTTCCCGGCAGTCGTGCCTTCCCGGCAGCCCCTACGCTGGGCCCGGGGGAGTCGTGGAGTCCTTGTCTTGCACACAGGATACGCTTCTTCCCCATGGGGGGCACCCCAAAGCGGAAAGAAGGCCCCCCGGGAAAGGGAACAGGCAGCTAGGCTTTAAATGAGACATTGAGGCTGCCCTGGAGGAAAAGCGGCTGGCCGGGGTCATCCCATGGATGACATTGCGTTCCTGGCAGCCCCTGCGCCTGGCCCCGGGGAATCGTGGAGTCCCTCACTTGCACCCAGCGTGCGTGTCGCGCTTAGACATGGGGTGCCCCCATGGGCGCGACCAGCACCCTCGGTACAAGCCAGGGACTCCAAGACCACCCCGGCCCAACATAGGGGCTGCCGGCAAGGCACTGTCTGCCCTCAGACGACCCTAGTCCGCGGCGTTTTTCCCCGGACTGACTCGGCTATCCCTTTCAACCCTGGCGTCCCATATCCTTCCCACGGTGGCCTTCTTGCCGCTTTGTGGTGCCCCCTGTGGGCGAGACAGGCACCTTGCGTGCAAGCCAGGGACTCCACGATATTCCCAGACCCACCGCAGAGGCTGCCTGGAAGACCGTGTTATCCATGGCAGAACCCCAGCATCCCCTCTTTATTCCCCAGGCTGCCTCAACGTCCACCTTCGAACCTGACGTGCTGTCTCCTTCCCCTGAGAAGCTACTCGCTGCTTTGGGGTGCCCCCCATGGGCCCCTGGGTGTAAGACTGGGACTCAACAACCCCTCCGTGTCCGGCAAAGGGGTTGCACCCCAAAGTCGCAAGTAGGCCTCCGGGGGAACGGAACAGGAAGACAGGCTTTAATGGGGACGCTGAGGCAGCACGGAGAGAAAAGAGGCTAGCCGGGTTCCTCCCATGGATGACAGTGCCTTCCTGGCAGCCCATGCGTAGGGCCCTGGGGGAGCGTGGAGTCCCTGTCTTGCACCCAGGATGCGTGTCTCGCCCACGGGAGGCACCCCAAAGCTTCAAACAGGCCCCCAGGGGAAGGGGACAGCACGTCAGACTTGAAGGGGGACGTTGAGGTAGCCTAGGGTAAAAAACCGTGACGCTGGTTCTCCCACGGACGACAGTGCCTTCCTGGCTGCCCATTCGCTGGGCCGGGGAGGTCTTGGCGTCCCTGGCTTGCATCCCGGGTGTGTGTCTCGCCCAGGGGTGGCACCACAAAGCATCAAGGAGGCCCCGGGGGAAGGGTACCAGACGCCAGGGTTGAAAAGTTTAGTTGAGGCAGTCCCGGAAAAAAGCGGCGGTCCAGTGTCCACCCAAGGACAACCGTGTCTGCCCAGCAGCCCCTGCACCGGGCCCGGGGTGGTCGTGGAGTCCCTGGCCTACACCTGGGGTGCGTGTCGCGCCCACAGTGAGCACCCCAAAGCAGTAAAAGTCCCCCAGTGGAAGGCAACAGGAAATCAGCCTTGAACGGGGACCTTTAGGTAGCCCAGAGAAAAAAGCGGCGAGGCTGAGGTGATCCCAGGGATAACAGTGCCTTCCCGACAGCCCTGCGCCGGTCCTGGCGGTGTCGTAGAGTCCCTGGCTTGTACTCAAGAGTGTGCATCTCGCCCTCAGGAGGCACCCCAAAGAGGCAAGAAGGTCCCCGGGGGAAGGGGACAGGATGTTAGGCTTAAAAGGGGACTTTGAGGCAATCCAGGGAAATAAGCAGTAAGCCAGGGTCCTTCGAACGACAGTGCCTTCGCGGCAGCCTCTCGCCCTGCCCAGTGGGGTTCTGGAGTCGCTGGCTTGCACCCAGGTTGCGTGTCGCTTCCACGGGAAGCACCCCAAAGCACCAAGAAGGCCTCTGTTGGAAGGGAAGAGGGCGCCAGGCCTGAAACGGAACGTTGAGGTAGCACGGGGAAAAAAGCAGCGGGCCGCGGACGTCCCACAGACGACAGTGCCTTTCCGGCAGTCCCTGCACCAGGCCCGGGGTCGTCGTGGAGTCCCTGGCTGCACCCAGGGTGCATGTCGCACTCACGGGGGACACCTCAAAGCCTCAAGAAGGCCTCCGGGGGAAGGAAACGGGACGCCGGGCTTGAAAGGGGACGTTGAGGCAGTCCGGGGTAAAAACTTCCCACGGATGACAGTGCCTTTCTGGCAGCCCCTTTGCCCTGCATGGGGATGGTTGTTGATTCCCTGGTTTGCACCCAGGGTGAGTGTCTCCCCCATGGGGGGCACCCCAAAGCGAAAAGAATGTTCCCCGGGGAAGGGTACAGCACGTCAGGCTTGAAGGGGGACGTTCAGGCAGCCCCGGGGAAAAAAGCGGGGATACTGGGGTCCGCTCATGGACGACATTGCCTTCCCGGCAGCCTCTGCGGTGGGCCCAGGAGCTGCGTGGAGTCCCTGGCTTGCACCCAGCTTGCATGTCTCACCCACGGGGCGCACCACAAAGAGGCAAGAAGGCCACCGGGGGAAGGGCACAGGACATCAGGGTTGAAAGGCATAGTTGAAGCAGTACGGGAAAAAAAGAGGAGGGATGGTGTCTTCCCACGCACGACAGAGCCTTCCCGGCAACCCCTGCGCTGGGCCCGGAGGGATCGTGTAGTCCCTGGCTTGCACCCATGGTGCGTGTCGTTCCCACAGGGGCACCCCAAAGTGGTAAGAAGGCCTCCCAGGGAAGGGAACAAGACGCCAGGCTTTAAAGAGGACGCTGAGGCAGCACGGCGAAAAATGCGGCCAGCCGGTTTCCTCCCATGATGGCAATTCCTTCCCGGCAGTCCCTGGCTTCCTCCCAGGGTGCGTGTCTCTCCCACTAAGTGCACCCCAAAGCGGCAAGTAGTCCCCTGGGGGAAGGGGACAGCACTTCAGGCTTCAAGGGGGACATTGAGGCAGCCCGGGGAAAACAACCTCGAGGCTGGGATTCTCCCACGGACGACAGTGCCTTCCTGGCGGCCCCTGCGCCGGGCCGAGGGTTTCATGGAGTCCCTGGCTTGCACCCAGGGTAAGAGTCTCGCCCACGGGGGCCACCCCAAGGCAGCATGAATACCTGCGGGGGAAGGGAACAGGAGGCCAGGCTTGAAAGGAGACGTTGAGGCAGTCGGGAGGGAAAACAATCCCATGGAGAACAGTGCCTTCCCGGCAGTGTCTGTGCCGGACTCGGGGTGGTCGTGGAGTCCCTGGCTTGCACCCAGGGGGCGTGTCTTTCAAGCGGGGTACTTTTCCCCAGGGGAATTGTTGTTGCTATGGGGTGCCCCCTGAGGGCGAGACACACAACCTTTGTGCAAGACAGGGACTCCAGGGCCCCCCAGCCCGCCGCAGGGGCTGCCCGGAATGCACTGTCTTCCCTGAGAAGTTTTTCCACGGACTGCCTCAACGTCCCCTTTAAAGCCAGCTCCCATCCCCCGCTGCCTTCTTGACACTTTAGGGTGCCCCCGTGGGTGAGACAGGCACCCTGGGTGCAAGCCAGGGAATCCTTGCCTGAGGCCTGGGTGTCTCTCGTGTCCTCACAACAGGAGTTTACACGAAGTTGGTGGCCATGGGAATCCGGGTTCACAAGGATGTTTCCCTGGTAGCTGGCAAAGGCAATGTTCTTCCCTGGAAAAAGCAGCCCGTGCGTTCTGGAGGAGGTCTTGGCTGGCGTCTGTGGGACCCTCTGCCCCTGCCCACCCCTTCCCCAGCCTCGGGCGTTTGCGGCGGCGCCAGATGAGTGAATTAAATTACCTAGGCCTTCCTGGAGCAGGAAGACAACCAGCATGGCAGGGAACCTGGGCCTGCGCCTTTGGGGTCTGGTGCTGGCCTGCCCCGCCCTGCCTAGAGCTGGGGACCTTGTGGAGCTGCAGCAAGGCAGAAGAGGTGGGATGCTGCTGCCCGGCGGTGTACGAGGAGGTCCTGGTGTGCGGTGGGGACGCAGGCAGGTGGAAAATGGGTAGCAGAGTCAGGGAGTGGTTGGGAAGTAGGGCACAAAAGGGAGAAAGAGGGAGCGGGAAGCCAAAAGCCTACAGCACCTTGTATTCCCAGGCGGTCTCTCTTCCAAGTACTGAACCAGGCCCCACCCTGCTTAGCGTCACAGGCCAGAGATCAGGTGTCTCAGGGCGGTAAGGCCTTAGACACCCGCAGTGATACCTGGCTGACACAAGAGCCTGGCCCACCATGCCCGCCAGACTCCAGGCATTACCGCCACTCCAAAGCCACGCGGCTTGGATCGGGACAACTCTAAGCCACTCCTCGCCTGCTGCTCGGCTGCTCTCCCCCTCCACGCCGGAGCACTGTGGGCCACCGCGCTGCACCTTCTGCCGGCTTCCAAGGGCTCCAGCCATAGCAGACAAGGCCATGCACTGGACCATCTCGGCGCCGCCCTGCTGCTGAGTGAGGACGCCAGAGGTGTCCATCCGCTGCACAGACTTCGGGCTCTCTGGTTGGTCTCCATTCCTCCGACGCTTCAGGGCTTCCCCAGGCTCATGAACTCCCAAGCTTCCACCACATCGGGCTTGCTGAGCTTGTGCTCCCAGGAGTCAGGGATACCCTTCTGTCCTCCTTGCCACGGAGGGATTGTTTTGGTTCCCTCGCCGCCCCTCCTGCAAGGCCCCCTCTCTCCTCACCCACCCAGTGCTGCCAGGGCTGCTCAAGGGTGAACAGGTGGCCTAGCCCCATGGGCCCTTTCTCTTACAACGTCCCTAACAGGGTCGCTTGTCCGGACAAGGACATGGCCCATGGCCAAGTGAGTGGGGGGAGCTGCTTTGCCCCGCGCTGCCACTGGAGCTAGCCGACTGATTGCGGGAGAGAGAGGCTGATGGACAGCCAGACACACCTCACCAGCACCAAGAAGAAACCCACCCCCACCCCCACAGACACACATGGATGCACGCTCGCGGGCACACAGAGACACACACAGATACACAAAGATACAGATAGACAGCTTGAAGGAGATCAAGGGAAAGAGGGATGGAGAGATAGAAACTGAGGGAGAGAGAGCTAGAGAGAGAGAGAGAGACAGGAATGAGAGGGAGAAAGAAAGAGAGAGAAGGTGACAGAAAGAGCATGAGATGGAGGGAGCAGGAGAGAAATAGAGAGAGGGTGACAGAACTAGAGAGCCAGAGCATTAAAGCCTGGGAGAGGGAGCTCTCTGCTCTCGTAGACAGGGCTCCTTCCAGCAGGGGTAGGGTGGAGGGTGCTTGAGCCTGGCGGGAACAGGTGGGCAGGCCGCCCATGCAAGAGGACCAACAGAACCCTGAGACGTATTTTTGCTTGGATTGGTTGCTTGCTTTTGGGGTGCGTTTCATAGGGTCCTTTTGTTGGCTACTCCCTATCTTCTTGGTGCAGTGGGCACCGAGATTTGGAGAGTGCGTCCTTCCCTCTGGTGGGAGCCCTGGCGCAGAGCGTGCCGACCGGGCCGAGGCCTGGGTCTCTCTCGTGTCCTCAGGACTGGAGTTGACACGAAGACGGTGCCAATGGGAATCCGGGTGCACAGAGACGGATTGCCTCGTGACTGGCGAAGGCAATGTCCTTCCCCTGGGGAAAGCAGCCCATAGGTCCAGGAGCAGAGGTTTTGGATGGTGTCTGTGGGACCTCTGTCCCTGGCCGCCACTTCCCCCACCGGCTTGAACTATTGCATGGTGCCAGATGAGTAAATTGAATTGCCTGGGCGTCCCGGGAGCGTGAAGACACGGGTCACCTCAGGGAACATATACCGTCCTGCCACGGCTGGAGCCGGGCACCTGGTGGGGCTGCAGCAAGAAGGAGGATGTGGGATGCTGTTGCCTGGCGGTGCTGCAGCGGTGGAACCCCACGAGGAGGTCCCGGGTTGCTTTGGGGCCGCAGGTGAGAGGAAAAGTGGGAGCAGAGTTAGGGGAAGTTTGTGAAGCATGGCGACAAAAGGGGGAAAGAGGGAGGGAGGGGGAGGACAAAAGCCTACAGCACCCAACATTCCTGGGCGTCCTCCCATCCAGGTACTAACCAGGACCCACCCTACTTAGCTTCCGAGGTCAGACGAGACTGGACAGGGTGATATGGCTGTAGGCGCTGGCAGAGGGGCCTGGATGCCTCAAGAGCCCGGCACAGCCACGCCCCGCTCGACTCCAGGCGTCATTGCCACCCCGGGGCTGCTGGGCTTGGATCCAGGATCCCCAAGCGCTCGCCAGTGGCAGGGCTGCTCTCCTCTTCTATTTTTCTGAGCACTGCTGGCCACCCCTCTGTGCCTTCCTCTGGCCTCCTAGAGCCTCCTGCCGTCGCCGGTGGCCTGGCCTCCCGCAGGACGGCCAAGGCGCCGTGCTGCTCCTGCTCGGGGGAGCCAGAGGTCTCCGTCCCATGCCCAGTCTTTGGGCTGTCCGGGCGGCCCCCTTCTGCTCACGCTCCAGGCCTTCACCCGGCTCCCGAGCTTCCATCACAACAGGCCCCTCAGGACGGGTGTGCTCATCCCTTCACTTTTTGCCTTTTTGTTTTTTCTATTTATATTTTTTTGTACTATGTTTTGAAACGTTCCTTTTTATTTTGTTTTTGTTTTTTGTTTTCTGTTTTTTGTTTTTTGTTTTTTTTGAGACGGAGTCTTGCTCTCTTGCCCAGGCTGGAGTGCAATGGCTCGATCTCGGCTCACTGCAAGCTCCGCCTACCTGGTTCACACCATTCTCCTGCCTCAGTCTCCCGAGTAGCTGGGACTACAGGCGCCCAGCACCAGGCCCGGCTAATTTTTTGTATTTTTAGTAGAAAAGGGGTTTCATCTTGTTAGCCAGGACGATCTCGATCTCCTGACCTCGTGATTCCCCCGCCTTGGCCTCCCAAAGTTCTGGAATTACAGGCGTGAGCCACTGCACCCGGCTGAAACGTTCTTGTAGTTATTACTTTTGTTTGGTTTATTATTCAGTCTTCCTACTTAGAATGAGTAGTTTACACACCACAGCTATAGTGTTATAATATTGTTTTATTTTGTATAGTTACCATTATCAATGAGGATTTTTTTTTTTTTTTTTTTTTTTTTTTTTTTTACCTTCAGTTGATTATTTCTTGCTCATTAATGTCCTTTTCTTCCTGATTGAAGTACTCCCTTCAGCATTCCTTGTAGGACAGTCATGGTATTGATGAAATCCTTCAACTTTTGTTTGTCTGGAAAAGTCAGTATTTCTTCTTATTATTTGAAGGACATTTTCGCTGTATATGCTATTCTAAGGTAAAGCTATTTTCTTTAGTGCTTTAAATATTTATTGCTTCTTTCTCCTGGCCGGCAGGGTTTCCTCTGTAAAGTCTGCTGCCTGATGTGTTGGAGCTCTCCTGTATATTATTTCTTTCTTTTGTCTTTCTTTTTTAGAACTTTTCTTTTTCTTTGACTTTTTGAAAACTGGCTATGGAATGTTTTGAAGTAGTCTTTTTAGAATTTAATCTGTTTAATGTTCTATAATATTTCTGTGATTGGATTTGGATATCTTTCTCTAGGTTTGGAAGTTTTCTATTATTATCCCTTTGAATAAATTTTCCTATCCCTGTCTCTTTCTATACGTCTTCTTTAAAACCAATAACTCTTAGGCCTATCTTTGTGAGGCTATTTTCCAGATCTTGTAGGCATTATTTGTTGTTTTTATTCTTTTTCTTTTGTCTCTTCTAAATATATATTTTCACATAGCCTGTCTTCAAGTTCACCATTTCTTCTGCTGGATCCATTCTGCTGTTAAATGGCTTTAATGCATTCTTCAGCATGCCAGTTGCATTTTCCAGCTCCTGAATTTTTGCTTAATTTGTTGTAACTATTTCAATCTCTTTGTTGAGTTTAGCTGATAAAATTTGGAATTTCTTTACTTTGTTATCTTAGATTTCTGTGAGTTTTTAAAAATACAGCTATTTTGAATTTTCTGTCTGAAAGATTACATATCTCTTTTTCTCCAGGATTTGTCGCTGATGCCTTACTTCATTCACTTTGTGAGGTCATGTTTTCCTGGATGGTGACAATGCTAGCAGATGTTCTTCAGTGTCTGGACATTAAAACTTTGGCATGCAGCACCACATAAGATGTGAAAAAAAGATTTTTTTTAAAAAAAAGATGAGCATTAATTGTAGACTTCACTGTGTGGGGTTATTCGTAGCTATCTTTCTTGGGAAGGATTTCCACATATTTGAAAAGGCAGGTGTTGTGATCTAAGCCATATCTGCTTTAGGGGGCACCGTATACCCAATAGTGCTGTAATTTTTGCAGTCTCATTGATGTACCACCTTGACAGTCTTGGACAATATCCAGGAAAATTTTCTGGATTAGTAGCCAGAGACTCTTGTTCTCTAACCTTATTTTCCCTCAAAGATACAGAGTCTTTCTCTCTATTCTAAGCCACCTAAAGTTGGGAGGAGAATGACACGAGCACCCCTGGCCGCCACCACTGGCTGCCCTGGGTCAGACCTGAAGCTGGCATAGCACCGGGTCTTGCTCAAGTCCTGCTGCACGCACTTTCTGACAACTGTCTATGTTCACTCAAGGCCTTTGGTCTCTGCAATTAGCAGGTGGCAAAGCCAGCCATATCTGTGCTCTTTCCTTCAGGGCAGCGAGTTTCCTCAGTCCCTGGCTGGGTCCAGAAGTGCCATTCGGAAGTCAGGGAGTAAAGTCAAAAATTTCAGAAGTCCACCGGACATTCTATTGCATTCCAGCTGAGCTGGCATTCAAACCACAAGACACAGCCCTTCCTATTACCTCCTTTCCTTTTCCAAAGGCAGAGTAGCCCCAAGCACCCCAGGCCACAAGGAGTACTGCCATGTTACCACCTTTGTTCCTTTAAGGCCCAAATCCTCTTTTCCGCTTGTGATGAATATTGCCTGGACTGGGACTTGCCGTTTTCAGGCCACTGGTCTCCCCACTGGCCCTGGGCAGGTTCATATATGCCAACCAAGAATCAAGTCCTAGAATCAGGGATCCCAAAACCTTTCTTGGTGCTCTACCCACCTCTGGCCTTGCCGGTACTTAAGTGGCATGAAAAAGTCCCCTTTACTTTTCCCTCTGCCTTTCCCAAGCAAAAGGAGTTTTGCCCCTTAGATACCACAGCTTGTAATGTGCTGAATCTCACCTAAATCTAGTAAGTCTATGAGGCTCACACAAGCCTCTTGATGTAGTATCTGGGTATGGCTGCTGGTTATTCAGGGCCCAAAGGTTGTTAAGTTTGCAGGTGATAAATGCTGCCAGCACTGGGTTCTTTCCTTCAAGGCAGCAGGTTTCCTTCTGGCCCGGGGTGTGTCTTGGAATGTCTAGGAGCCAGAGCCTGGAAAGGAGGACTCAGGACTCTGACCAGTGCACTATCTTGCTGTGGTTGAGCTGGTATCCAGGATGGAAGACAAAGTCCTCCCTACTCTTTTTCCTCCTCTCCTCAAGCAGAAGGATGGGGTCCCTTTTGGAGCTATAAGCTGTGCAGCCTGGTATTAGGAGAGTGATAATTCCAGAACCCCTTTGGCTGCCCCAGCTGGTGTCTCAGTATGTTGCATGACCTCCCACCTTAGTTGACTGTTCCTGGGTCCAGTTCAGCCCTAGGCCTCACCTAAGAGTTGCAGTCCTGATGGCCTAGGCTGCCTTTCAAGTTTTCTTAGATACATGGAGCTCTGGAGCCCTCAGTACCCAGATTTCCAAATGCTCAAGTTCCAACCACCGAAATCTCATTCCCCTCTGGCCAGGGCTGGTTTAAATAATCCCTCTGTGGATGGGCTTTAGCTGCATTTGGTTTGGTTTTCCTTTCTGGTCTAACAGGGCAGCACAGAGTTCAATGTCTTAAAATTTCTGTGTTCTCCCTCC
The DNA here is from genome assembly GCF_000001405.40 of Homo sapiens. Taxonomy (NCBI): domain Eukaryota; kingdom Metazoa; phylum Chordata; class Mammalia; order Primates; family Hominidae; genus Homo; species Homo sapiens. The sequence continues at coordinate 18,351,879 of NC_000024.10, forward strand.
TGCAGAACCCAGAGTTGATCTCTGCACCACGCCATCACTGCTGGTGGTGAGGAAATGGTGCCTCTTTCAGTGATATGAAGTTAAAACCAGGTACTTTGAGTACTCAACTGATTTTTGGTTCTTATGAATGTATTTTCTATGTAGACGTTAATAGTTGTGCATCTGGTGTCCTTGCAGGAGGGAAGATCAGTGGAGCCTTCTTTCTGCCATCTTGTGTTACCTTTGCAGCCAAGAATCAGAATGAAGAACTTTCAATAAGAAAAGCTTTCAGAACCAGGAAGGACGTAGAAGATGTCCTGGTTCTGTACGTTTAACATTGGACTGTTTCTTCAACTTAGGTGCATAACAGTGACTAATCAGGGATTATCATAGATAATTTGACTTGGAATATAGAGTTCATTCAAATACTTTATCTAGACAATTTAAGTACTGGCTGATTTGGCATGAAAATCTGACAAACTATTTTCTTGGTATTCAATTGATTTTTACTCTGTTTGCTGTAGTAGTTTTATAAACCAATCAGTCTTCATTAAAGTTCTGGGAATTCTTACCCTGTTCAAATGATATGATTCTAACGTTGTCAAAAATCTGTATTCAAGAATACTTCTCAGGACCTTTTCCATCCTTTCATGAAACTCCTTAAAGATACAGTATTCTATAATTTTGCAAGCTTGTAAAGTTTTCAGAATTTGAAATGCCTCACAATTAAGCAATTTACTGTAGAAATGATTTTAAATTTTCATAGACACAGTTGACAAGAAAATTTTATTATTTACAGGAGTGACCCACCACACCAGGCCTCTGAAGTTCATTTAATAAAATTTTATAAATAAATTTATCAAATGTGTCATCTTTGAATCCCAGATTTTTGTGAGCCTATGCTTTAGATTTTCCCCCAACTTTCTCTATTTATCTAGTTGTATCTATTTTTTACTTCTTCAATTTGAAACCTTAAGTAACTTAAAAAAATTAAAACACATTTTTTGCCTTTATAAGTTTTCTAATCAAAAGTTTATCTTCACAAGTCTGTAATCCCAGCACTTTGGGAGGCCAAGACAGGTGCATCAGTTGAGGTCTAGGGATTGAGACCAGCCTGGCCAACATGGTGAAACCCTGTCTGTACTAAAAATACAAAAATTAGCCCAGTGTGGTGGTGAGCACCTGTAATCCTAGCTACTTGGGAGGCTGAGGCAGGTGAATCGCTTGAACCCAGGAGGCAGAGTTTGCAGTGAGCTGAGATCATGCCACTGCATGCCAGCCTGGGCAACAGAACAGGACTCGGTCTAAAATAATAATAATAATAACAATAAAGAATCATATCTTGCTTTTTCATACAGTCTGATTACAGAATTGTTTCTCTCATATCTAGTAATTAAGTCTTAGTAACCCCAATTTTCAGTGAAAACCCTAAAAAGTGATTTTCAACTGTCTTATATCAGTATTTTTAGATAGAAACCATTTTATACTTGTAAAGAAATATAGTTCTTCAAATTATTGTTTATTAACAGAACCAAAGATATTTAGGTTTTCTATACCATATACAAGTAGTATATCATGGCATATAGACCTAATTTTTAGTGGTGACTATTTCATTATTTTAGCTTACAAATGACTCAAGACATTTTATAATTATCTATTACTTAATTTAACATGACTTTAAGGTTTTAAATTACGGAACAGAATTTTGGAACTATGACACAGGTAGCATCACTAATGTCTTCCCCTGGTAATTCTAGGTCCCAAGTAGCCCCATGGCACCCAGGAAAACTATGAAGATCAGACTCTGCCTGAGTCCATTAGGACTAAAGACAGAGCCGTGAAGGCTATACCTGGAGGATCCAATCCCTCCTAAAATAGCCAGGAAGCAAAATAGGAAAAGCATAGAAAGAACAGACTAATTGGGCTTGATTCCGGCTTGTAACTGCTGGTCAAGACACAGAGAACATGTCTCCAGACTTCATGATGGACACCTATCGAGACCCCCTGAATCCAGAAACTCTCAACAAAAGACACAAGCTCACAGTTAAATAAAGCAAGTACCTAATTATATTTAACTGATAATTGTAAAGCCATTTCTATTTTACTAATGATGTAAGAACTAGCTTTATTTACAAAGTGTCACATACATGTAACAGATATAGACATACAAACACACAGGAACAGATCTTATAGCTTTCATGAAGGATTTAATTTTTTTCAATTGTATGTTCAGGGGTACGTGTGAAGGTTTGTTACATAGATAAACTCATATCACAGGGGCTTGTTATACAGGTTATTTCATAACCCAGGTATTAAGCCCAGTACTCCATTGTTATCTTTTCTGTTCCTCTCCCTCCTCCCACCCTCCTCCATCAAGTAGAACCCAGTGTGTGTTGTTTCCTTCTTTGTGTTCCTAAGTTCTCATTATTTAGCTCCCACTTATAAGTGAGAACAAGTAGCTGCATAGTATTCCATGGTACATATGTGTGTTCTGTGTGGAAAATGTGTAAGGAGAGAAGAAAAGAAACACACAATACTTTTAAGGGTAAACAGACTTTATCCCAAGTATATGGCAACACAGATATAATAAACAAATCATCTAATAAGCCAATGATATAATAAACAAATTGTGATGGGAAGGGGAGAAGGGAAAAGACATATTATATATAATATATACATATACATATGTATGTGTGTACTACACACACACACACACACACACACACACACACACACGCACACACATATATATATTCACCAGATAATGGAGGATTCATCACCAGATGGGGAAGCAACTACCTGGCCTCCAGAGTTGGCCACTAGTCCATGTACAGATGAAGAGAGGTCCCATGAAGCTTCGGCGTGGTCTTGGAAACTAGCTCTTCTTCTTAAAAGTTGTTTAACATGAGGCCCAGTCATGTGGGCCCTTCTTGACTGGGCTCAAGGAATACAAAATGGTCATCAAAAGCATACCTTCACAAGCCTGTAGTCCCAGCACCTTTGGAGGCCAAGGCTGGTGCATCACTTGAGGTCAGGTGTTCAAGACCAGCCTGGCCAAACTGGTAAAACCCCATCTCTACTAAAAATACAAAAATTAGCCCGGCGTGGTGGTGCAATTGTTTTTGAAATGTCTGTTGTTTTTCAATAACTATTTCTCTGAAAGAGCACTGAATGAATGCCTCAAGGGGCTCACACAACTTGTTCCATGTCTCAGTGACCATTGTTTGTGTCCATGTTCAGTTGAATTCAAATTTAATATTTAACTTTTGCTCCATTATCTTGTCCCACATTATCTTTATTCAATCTGTCATTGATGGGCATTTAGGTTGATTCCATATCTTTACTTTTCTGAATAGTGCTGCAATAAACATGTACTTGCTTGTGACTTTATGATAGAACAATTTATATAACTCTGGGTATATTCCCAGTGATGAGATTACTGGGTCAAGTGATGGTTCTGCTTTTAGCTCTTTCGAGGAATTACCATACTGCTCTCCACAACGGTGGGACCAATACACATTCCAACCAACAGTGTATGTATTGTTTTTCTCCACAACCTTGCCAGTGTCTGTTATTTTTTGACTTCTTAATAATGGCCATTATGGCTGGTGTGAGATGGTGTCTCACTGTGCGTTTAATTTGAATTTCTCTAGTGATCGGTGATATTGAGCTTTGTATTCTATGGTTGTTGGTCACATGTATGTATTCTTTTGAAAAGTATTCATGTCTTTTGCCCACTTTTTAAATTGTTTTTTATTTCCATAGGTTTTGGGACAACAGGTGGTATTTGGTTACATTAGTAAGTTATTTATTGGTGATTTGTAAAATTTTGGTACATCCATCACCTCATCAGTATATACTGAACCAAATTTGTATCCCTTTGTCCCTCACCCCTTTTACCCCTTTCCCCGTGAGTCCTTAAAGTCCATTGTGTTATTCTTATGCCTTTGCCTCCTTATAGCTTAGCTCCCTCTTATAAGTGAGAATGTAAGATGTTTGGTTTTCCATTCCATTACTTCACTTGAGTTAATAGTCTTCAATCCCATCCAGGTTGCTGAAATTGCCATTGATTAATTTCTTTTTATGGCTGAGTAGTGCTCCATCCTACATCTATACCCCAGTTTCTTTATCCACTCATTGACTGACGGGCAATTGGATTGGTTGTACATTTTTGCAATTGCAAATTGTGCTGCTATAAATATGCATGTGCAAGCATCTTTTTTGTATAATAACTTCTTTTTTTCCTCTGGGTACATAGCCAGTAGTGGGATTGTGGGGTCAAATGGTTCTTCTCCTTTCAGTTCTTTAAGGAATCTCCACACAGTTTTCCATAGTGATTGTACTACCTTACATTCCCACCAGCAGTGTAGAAGTGTTCCCTTTTCACCACACTCACACCAACATCTATTATGTTTTTATTTTTTGATTATGACCATTCTTGTGGGAGTAAGGTGGTATCGCATAATGGTTGTAATTTGCATTTCCCTGATTATTAGTGATGTTGAGCATTTTTTCATATATTTGTTGGCCATTTGTATATCTTCTAAGAATTTTGTATGACCATATTGCCAAAAGCAATCTACAAATTCAATGCAATTGCCATCAAAATACCACCATCATTCTTCACAGAACTACAAAAAACAATTCTAGAATTCAAAAAAGAGCCCGCATAGCCAAAGCAATGCTAAGCAAAAAGAACAAATTAGAAGACATCACATTACCTGATTTCAAACTATAGCATAAGACCATAGTCACCAAAACAGCATGGTTCTGGTATAAAAGTAAGCACATAGACAAATGAAACATAATAGACAACCCAGAAATTAACCCAAATATTTACAGCCATCTGATCTTTCACAAAGTAAACAGAAACAGAGTGGGGAAAGAACGCCCTACTTAACAAATGGTGCTGGGATAATTGGCAAGCCACATGTAGGAGAATGAAACTGGATCTTCATGTCTCACCTTCTACAAAAATCAACACGAGATGGATCAACGACTTAAATCTAAGACCTGAAACTTAAAAAATTCTAGAAGATGACATCAAAAAACATTCTAGACATTGGCTTAGGCAAGGATTTCATGACCAAGAACCCAAAAGCAAATGCAAGAAAAACAAAGATAAATAGGTGGGATTTAATTAAACTAAAGAGCTTTTTCACGACTAAAGGAACAGTCAGCAGAGTAAGCAGACAATCTACAGACTGGGAGAAAATCTTCACAATCTGTATATCTGACAAAAGACTAATATCCAGGATCTACAACAAGCTCAAACAAATTAGAAAGAAAAAAAAAATCCCATAAAAAAGTAGGCTAAGGACACGAGTAGACAATTATTTGGCAACTCTTTAATAGGGTTGTTTGTTTTTCTCTTGTAAATTTATTTAAGTTCTCTATGTTGAATATTAGACCTTTGTCAGATACATAGTTTGTAAATATGTTTTCTTATTCTGTAGGTTGTCTCTTCACTCTATCGATAATTTCTTTTGCTGAGCAGAGGCTTTTAAGTTTAATTAGACCCCACTTGTCAATATTTGCATTTGTTGTAATTGTTTTTGGTGTCTTTATCATGAAATCTTTGCCTGTTTTTATGTCCAGGATGGTATTGCCTAGGTTGTCTTCCAGGGCTCTTATAGTTTTGGGTTTTGCATTTAAGTCTTTAATCCATCTTGAGTTGATTTTTGTGTAGAGTGTAAGGAAGAGGTCCAGCTTCAGTCTTCTACGTATGGCTAGCCAGCTATCCCAGCAACACTTATTGTATAGGGAGACTTTTCCCCATTGCTTGTTTTTGCCAGCTTTGTCAAACATTAGATAGTTGTAGGTGTGCGGTCTTATTTCTGGGCTCTCTACGCTGTTCCATTGGTGTGTGCCTCTGTTTTTGTACGGGTGCCCTGCTGTTTTGGTTACTGTAGTGCTGTAGTATCGTTTGAAGTCCCGTAATGTGATGCCTCAAGCTTTGTTCTTTTGCTTAGGATTGCCTTGGCTATTTAAGTTCTTTCTTGGTTCTATATACATTTTTAAATAGCTTTTTCTAGTTCCATGAAGCTTGTCATTGGTAGTTTCATAGGAAGAGCTTTGGGCAGTATGGTGATTTAAATGATATCAGTTCTTTCTCTCCATTAACATGGAATAATTTTCCATTTCTTTGTGTCTCGTGTGACTTCTTTGAGCAGTGTTTTGTAATTTTCATTGCAGAGATCTTTCACCTCCCTGGTTAGCTGTATTTCTAGGTATTTTATTCTTTTTGTGAAAATCGTGAATACAATTGCCTTTCTGGTTTGTCTCTCAGTTTGGCTCTTCTTCGTGTATAGGAATGCTAGCAAATTTTGTACATTGATTTTGTACACTGAAACCACGTGGAAGTTGTTTATCAGCTTACGGAGCATTTTGGGTCACAACTATAGGTTTTAGATAGAGAATTATGTTGTCTGCAAACAGAGGTAGTTGGACTTCTCTTTCTATTTACATACCCTTTATTTCTTTTTTTAATAACCTTTATTTCTTTCTCTTCTCTGATTGCTCCAGCAAGGACTTCTAACACTATGTTGAATAGGAGTGGTGAGAGAGCACATCCTTGTCTTGTGTGCTTGTGTGGGTTTCAGGGAGAATGCTTCCAGATTTCGCCCATTTAGCATAATGTTGGCTGTGAGTTTGTCATAGGTGGCTTTATTATTTTGAGGTATGTTCCTTCAATACCTCACTTATTGAGAGTTTTTAATGTGAAACATTGTTGAATTTTACTGAAAGCCTTTTCTGTATCTATTCAGACCATCATATGGTTATTGTCTTTAGTTTTATTTATGTTATGAATCACATTTTATTGATTTGCCCATTATAGAACAACCTTCCATTCCAGGGAAGAAGCCTAATTCACTGTGGTGAATTACCCTTTTGATATGTTGCTGGATTCACTTTGCAAGGATTTTGTTGTAGATTATTGAATGGACATTCATCAAGGATACTGGCCTGAAGCTTTCCTTTTTTGTTGTGTCACTGCCAGGCTTTGGTATCAGGATGATGCTGGCCTTATAGAAGAAGTTGGGAAGAAGTCCCTCCTTCACTATTTCTTGAAATAGTTTTAGTAGGAATGGTACTAGCTCTAATTTGTACATATGTTAAAATTTGACAGTTAATCTATCAGGTCCTGGGCTTTATTTTTTTCCTTGGTTGGTAGGCTGTTTACTACTGATTCAATTTTTGGAGCTCATTATTTGTCTGTTCAGAGACTGAATTTCTTCCTGGTTCAGTCTTTAGAAGGTGTATGTGTCCAGGAATTTATTCATCTCTTCTAGGGTTTTTTGTTTGAGTGTGTAGAGGTGTTCGTAGTAGTTGTTGATTGTTATTTTTATTTCTGTGGGGTCAGTGGTAACATTACCTTCATCATTTATAATTACGTTTATTTGAATCTTCTCTCTTTTCTTCTTTATTCATCTAGCTAGTGCCTATCTATCCTATTAATTTTTTTCAGAAAACGTTGATTAAGTGACCATTTGAACAGTTTTTTATGTCTCAATTTTTTTTCCAATTCAGCTGTGATTTTAGTTATTTCTTATCCTCTGCAAGCTTTGTGGTTGATTTCCTCTTGCTATTCTAATTCTTTCAGTTATGATGTTAGGTTGTTAATATGAGATCTTTCTAACTTTTTGAATTGGGCATTACTTCTTATGCCCTATACTAACTTTTCTCCTTCTCCTAGAAAACTCAGGACTGTGCTTTCTAAACTAATTTAAACTTTCTCAGTGAATCAGCCTGATCTCCCTGAGGCAAAGTTAGCAATTTTCCATTACACATGTTTCTCTTTCTCTGTAATAATATCTTGTGCAACAATGCAAGTGTTTCATGCCCTCCTGGATATTCGGGGACCTCATTTTGGCTGAGACCAAGACTTAAAACTTTGTTCTTTCAACATTAATGAAGATCTATTTAGAAAGGCTCTATTTTACAGAAAAGGTATACAAATACCAATGAAAATAAATATAACATTATATGACATACAATTATATTGTGAAAGATTGAATAAATAAGTGAAGTAAGCTCTAAGAAAAAAAGATGATATAAAGTGATACATAAATGAAAAACCTGGCATGGTATAGCATAATTTATGTACCAGTACAGTGTGTACATTGCAGAAGTGGCAGGAAAACTGCATACAGAGTGAAACCTGACCAAAAGCTTTAAGGAAAGTTCAGCTCTTTGTATGGAGATTGGTAGGGGAGAAAAGGAGAGGAAATAATATAAATTATTTGATCTATGCCCTTAAAAGAGATTAAAGTGGACTCAAGAAAACATGGTCCACTTTAGAAGAAGGACACAGGTTCAATGCTGGCCAAAGCTCAGAGCATCCCTACTTTCTCCAGGAGGAAAGGGGATACAAAAGAGCAGGCAGACAGCAGTACAGCCAGGTCAGTACAGGGCACCCAGGCCAAGCCAGTTGGGCTATACTGTACAGGTAGTAAGGAGCCACTGCAGGGTGGGCTTTATTCATTAGTTTGTTATATTTTCTTTAGTAACTAAGACACATGATCAAAGTTGATCTTTGTAAGTATTGCTGCAGCTGAACATAGGATGGATAAAACCAGTGTTTAAAAAATTGTGTTGTATAGAACACTAGCCTCAGTGAGATATTAGTGGAACCCACAGGTGCATGCACACTCATACACACACACACTTGCACACACTCACACTGAGCCCAGATTATTCTGGCAAATGCTGGGTTAAGCAAACTAAAAGAAACATCTCTATTGCTGGACATCTCAGAACCTGGAATGTGGCTATATGACTCATAAAACAGCAACATTAAGACAGATCATGTGATTTTGTTTTCCAGAAATGTTGAAACACTTTCCTCTCCTTGGCTTCAGTGTCACCTTCTTTCTCCTCATTCTCCATCAACATTTTGGCTGCTCCTTCTTGGTTTCCTTCTTGACACTCTGCTGCTGCTCACCCATTCTCTTTTCATTCCCCATGAATTTCTCAAGTGTGTTTCTATTGCTGCAGATCTTTCCTTGTTTTTTCCTGACAATTCTCCTTGCCTGACCCTCCCCCATTCTAAGGCATGTGTTCCATCTGTGTGCACTTTTGGCATCCTGGGATGCTCCCAGAGTGTTCCATGCCACACTCCATCAGGTTTTCTCCCCCAGACTCTGTGAGGGCAGTGCCCTTGTCTCTACTGTTGCTTCAGTACTCAGCACATAACACATAAGCTGATTCCTAAACATTTACTGGGCCAACTGAGACTAAATGTGTGTTCCTCCAGATCTTAAAAAGTTACAATAATAAACATAGCACAATAGTCCAAAAATGTCTCTTCAGTCAGGAGTTCTCTATATATGCACAACAGTTTGAAGTCATTATAAGGCAAAGTTAAACAGAAACTTTCACAAAGTTCCCTATTTTGCTTTAATCTTCAATTCATCAGGTGAGATAATCAAGACCATGTGTTATTGTACATATTTCTAGCTTGCAACATAAGAAGCTGATTTTTATTGTTTGAAATAACCACAATATAAATCTGTTAACTAAAACTTGTGTAAATATTCCTTTCAGATAAAATTCTGCCTAAATTTTATGTTATTCATGTGTTCAAATGATAATGAGCTCATAGGCTTTTCCAGTACCTCAGTCACAACATTGTACTGATTCCAGCTGTGGGAATAGCATCTGAGAGTTATGTTACAGATGGGGAAAAGGTACTTATGTGACATTGGCCTTTGCACTACTGTGTCCGTTTGGTTCAGGAAAAAGCTGTTTCCTTAAAATTCTAAAATCTCTTCTGTCAGGTCTGTATGGTAGGTGGGAAACACAGTTTTTTAAATTTTAGACACAGATGATTTATTCCTTGCTAAAAGCAGTGAATAGATAAAGGCCACCAGGAGAGCCTCTGATGTTGCTTCAGAAGCAGTGTGTCTGAGAGCATCTTCCTGAAACACTCTCCTATGTCTGCCCAAAATCACGTTAGGTAGGAAAGTCAAAACTTAGCAGGCTGAGGAGATCCAAGGGGATCACTGAGCTCTGAGACTTATGACAGAAGAGAAGAGAGAGAGGTCTAATACTTTTGGGGTATAAATTTATGGGTTACAAGTTGTAATTTTGCTCTAAGCATGGATTACATAGTGGTGAAGTCAGGGCTTTTAGGGTATCCATTACCGGAATAATGGACATTGTAACCATTAAGTAATTTCCCACTATTCACCCCTTCCATCCCCTCACCCTGCTGAGTCTCCATTATCATTCCACTATCTACATCAATACCTAGACATCTTTAAGCATCCACTTATGCGTGAGAAATACAATGTTTACTCTGTGTCTGGCTGGTTTCACTTACAATAATGGCCTCCAGTTCCATTCATGTGTCTCCAGAAGTTATGATTTTATTCTTTTTTATTCCTGAACATTATTTCATTGTGTATATTTTCTACATTTTCTTTCTCCAATAATCTGTTGATGGGTATTTAGGTTGATTTGTATCTGTGCTACTGTGAATAGTGTTGCAGGAAACATGCAAGTACAGGTATCTTTCTAATAATTTTATTTCTTTTCCTTTGTGTATGTACCCAGTGGTGGAGTAGCTGGATCAGACAGAGCCAGTTGATGATCAGTAATGGTGGCCAATAATCAGCTAGAAACAAAGTACTTAGCAGAGCCTGAAAACACCAAGACTCTGAGACCACTGATCTTAAAAAACTTCAACAGCCCTGAGTGAAACATCCAAACACATTTATCCACAATTTAAATACCCTTTAATGCCTGTCTTCTGTGCATCTCAGAAGTCTATTTTTACCACACTGTATATGCTGCATTAGCCATTTATATGAAACTGCAAGGCATCTTATACTAAATATTCAACCATGTATCCCTAGTGCCTAGCACAGTCCTGGCATATAGTTTTCTACTAAACATTTGCAGAATGAAATAATTATCTTGTATCCAGTTTCCAAGTTTTAAGGTGATTTCTCACTAAAAATAAAGTACTGCAGTTCACAAATAATCTACTTCTTTTTTTGCAAGTGGGATATATTTTAATCTTATCCCCTAATGACATTATTTTCATTTACTTCCATCTAAATATACTGTCATAAGAGAGAAATAAGAAAGAGAGTTAAAGCTGGAACTTGAAGAATTGTACATGGTCCACATTGTGGCCTGACATTCATCGCTCACCTGAGCTTCATCTGTTAGGTATGTCAGGGAAGATAATTGGGGTGAGAGTGGCCTCAACAGAGGACCCCAGATCTCTGGCTTCCCCATCTGGCAAGTACACGCTGTGAACAAAGTCTTCAGAGCCATATGACAAGAATGGCCCAAGCACTCCACTAGGGAAATCTGAGCCCTGTGGACATCAATGCAGAGCATCAAGCAGCACATAACATGTAACTGAAGAGGACAGCAGGAGCAACAAGGAGGGACAACCATGACCTAGGAGGGCACAATGCCAGGGATGCCTGGACCCCACACTAGGCTCAGTGCCCATTATACTCTTGGGACCCAGTGCTTTCTCTCGCCATCACTTGGCATACTTGGAATTTTTTTTGTTGCTTAAAATAATGTTTTTAGTGTTCACCTTTCCTAGGAGACAGGTAGATTCTTTGACACTACAGCTTCTGGCACACAGTAGGTGCATCACAAACATCTGCTGAGTTCACACACTCTTGCCTTCTCAAACCTTCTTGTCAAGTCTTCAGTGAAGAGGAATTGCTGATTGAGAAAGAATTAAACTTCTAGAGACTTCTGGATCCACTGAAGTTTGAGGCAAGGTGAGATTTGTTTATTGCCATATTCCTAGCTCATAGCATAATGTAGTCACTTAATAAATGTTTGTTAAATAAGTGAGTGAATTGATTCATACGTCTTACTTAGCAATATATTTTCTGAGTAAAGTTGATACATGTAAGAGTTTACTTCTGGTATAATTTTACTTTACTTATTCAAGAAACTTGGCAATTCAACTAGGTGCCAGTCACACCACTGCCGAAGAAAAAGAGGTATAAGATATAATTTCTGTCTACATGAAAGCCACAGTTTAAAAATTAGAAACATATGTACAAATTTTAAAAATAAATTGGCTAAATTCAAAATCAGAGGGTTTTGTTTTTATTTTAAACAGCTCTACTCAGGAAGTGTTTGAAAATTCTAAAGAGGAAATCTTTCAACACACCACCTAAGCATGAAGCAGAAACCACCCATAATTGAGTTTGCTACCACCAACCTCAACAGCAAGAATTCCAATCTTGCTGCTGCAAATTAAGTGTCACTCTGATTTTATTACTGCTATGTAACCCAGTTTTAGACTCTCTGGTTCTCACTTAATATTCCATAAAAGTATTAAAGAGAAAATATTATTATGGTGATGAGCCCATTCACTGCAGCCATCTTAACATTATACCTATTATAAGCCCTATCACTTAAAAAGAAAACTGTTTGTTTAACTTATTTATGCAAAAGTCAGTGTAACATAAACATATTTGCCATCAGACTTCATATTTATGGGTTAAATAGCATACAAATATGATTAGAGGCTTAAAGTTTACACTTTTCTGATTCTCTCAAATGTTTTTTCAAAATAGCATGTGCCTTTCTTTTTTTTTAATTTATTTATTTATTTATTTATTTTATTATACTTTAAGTTTTAGGGTACATGTGCACATTGTGCAGGTTAGTTACACATGTATACATGTGCCATGCTGGTGCGCTGCACCCACTAACTCGTCATCTAGCATTAGGTATATCTCCCAATGCTATCCCTCCCCACCCCCCCACCCCACCACAGTCCCCAGAGTGTGATATTCCCCTTCCTGTGTCCATGTGATCTCATTGTTCAATTCTCACCTATGAGTGAGAATATGCAGTGTTTGGTTTTTTGTTCTTGTGATAGTTTACTGAGAATGATGATTTCCAGTTTCATCCATGTCCCTACAAAGGACATGAACCCATCATTTTTTATGGCTGCATAGTATTCCGTGGTGTATATGTGCCACATTTTCTTAATCCAGTCTATCATTGTTGGACATTTGGGTTGGCTCCAAGTCTTTGCTGTTGTGAATAATGCCGCAATAAACATACGTGTGCATGTGTCTTTATAGCAGCATGATTTATAGTCCTTTGGGTATATACCCAGTAGTGGGATGGCTGGGTCAAATGTTATTTCTAGTTCTAGATCCCTGAGGAATCGCCACACTGACTTCCACAATGGTTGAAAGCCCAAGGTAATTTACAGATTCAATGCCATCCCCATCAAGCTACCAATGACTTTCTTCACAGAATTGGAAAAAACTACTTTAAAGTTCATATGGAACCAAAAAAGAGCCCGCATCACCAAGTCAATCCTAAGCCAAAAGAACAAAGCTGGAGGCATCACACTACCTGACTTCAAACTATACTACAAGGCTACAGTAAGCAAAACAACATGGTACCGGTACCAAAACAGAGATATAGAACAATGGAACAGAACAGAGCCCTCAGAAATAATGCTGCATAGCTACAACTATCTGATCTTTGACAAACCTGAGAAAAACAAGCAATGGGGAAAGGATTCCCTATTTAATAAATGGTGCTGGGAAAACTGGCTAGCCATATGTAGAAAGCTGAAATTGGATCCCTTCCTTACACCTTATAGAAAAATCAATTCAAGATGGATTAAAGACTTAAACGTTAGACCTAAAACCATAAAAACCCTAGAAGAAAATCTAGGCATTACCATTCAGGACATAGGCATGGGCAAGGACTTCATGTCTAAAACACAAAAAGCAATGGCAACAAAAGCCAAAATTGACAAATCGGATCTAATTAAACTAAAGAGCTTCTGCGCAGCAAAAGCAACTACCATCAGAGTGAACAGGCAACCTACAAAATGGGAGAAAATTTTCACAACCTACTCATCTGACAAAGGGCTAATATCCAGAATCTACAATGAACTCAAACAAATTTACAAGAAAAAAACAAACCACCCCATCAAAAAGTGGGCGAAGGACATGAACAGACACTTCTCAAAAAAAGACATTTATGCAGGCAAAAAACACATGAAAAAATGTTCATCATCACTGGCCATCAGAGAAATGCAAATCAAAACCACAGTGAGATACCATCTCACACCAGTTAGAATGGCAATCATTAAAAAGTCAGGAAACAACAGGTGCTGGAGAGGATGTGGAGAAATAGGAACACTTTTACACTGTTGGTGGGACTGTAGCATGTGCCTTTCTAAACAATTGTTAGTTTTCTTTTCAAATGAACTTTTAAAAGTGTATTTTCCAAAAGCAAAATACAGCTCCCTTTGGTAAATGATGATTTTGAGATAGAATAGGCAACTTCTCTTGGGAACCATTTGATCAGTGCTCACTTTCACACTCTGTCCAGAAATGTCAATGGCTTTAAAATATAGAAGTATATTACACGACTAAACTTATACTCATTCAGTATTGTGAAATATTTAGAACTTATTCTAGCTCTCTGTTGCTGAATAGCAAGCCATTCCAAAACTTAAGGAATTATTTATTGTTTAATATTTTTATTGTTATTTTTATTTAGTAATTTTAAATAACATTATTTCTCAAGGTTTTGTGGGTTGATGGGAGCTACAACAGTTCTGTTTTGGAGTTTGTCTTGCAGCTGCTATTGGTTGCTGCTACTGAAGTTACCTGAAAACTCAACTAGGCTGAAGAGCCTAGATGGGTTACTCACATGGCTGACAGTGCCTATTGGCTGTTGTGTGTGGTGCCTATCTGGCCTCTCCATGTTACCTGGAGTCCTCAGAACATGGTAGTTGGTCCCAAGACACACAGAGAAATACTACAAAGCTTCTTATGACCTAGGCTTGGAGGTCCTAGAATTTGACTTCTGCTGCATCCTATTGGTAAAGCAAGTCATTGTGACCAGCACAGATTCAAGAACTGGGAGATTCAACTCCACTTGTCATTATATTTTAGACGGATAGTACTAGCTACTCATGTCTCCCCTAGAAACCCAAGCTAGGCATTGACATATTGAAAATGATGTCACTAACATTAAAAAACTCCAGAAAAATCACATGTGATGACAGGTTAATTCAGTCTCTCAGTTACATCAATATAATTCCCTTCTTTTAACCCTAAATATGGTAAAACAGAATTGAATTCTACAAAAGTCTTTCAACTGTTTTCTATGGAATAATTAACAAACCCAATAAACGTGGAAAGAGTATGAAGTCCAATTTATTTTAGATATATACCTCTTAATTTCAAAGCTTATAGAAATCTAAAAAACTAATCACCACAATCCATAATGCGTGGATCAGAAGACATCGTACTAAGAGTATCCTGTGGCATGCCAAAAATATATTACTAACTAGGAAATTTAAAACCCTTGTTGGTGATTTTAAGAGAGCTGACTAGCTCATCAGCACAATTCACACAGATTAAGAACGGAGGTTACTCTGCTGAGTGGATTCATAATGATCATAAAAAATTCACGAATAAGAAAATGAGATAGAGAAGGGGAAGCATACTGTCAATCACTACAATTAAAGGGAATTTTCAAATGGTCTGATTTTGTATTTTTCAAAAGAAAGACAGCTTATTGCGATAGAATAAGAATCCCACTCATATGTCTTCTTTTGAGAAGTGTCTGCTTATGTCCCTTGCCAATGTTTTAATGGCATGGTTTTCTTAATGTTCAACATCACTAATAATCAGAGAAATGCAAATCAATGTAAGATAACTTCTCATATTATTCAGTATGGCTACTAAGAAAAAGTAAAAAATTATAAATTCTGGTTAGACTTCAGAGAAAATAAAATGCTTATGTACTGTGGTGTAAATTAGTTTTCCCACTGTGAAAAGCAGTTTGGAGATTTTTCAGAGAATTTAAAACAGAAGTACCATTAAACCACAAATTCCATTATTGAGCATATATCCAAAAGAAAATTAAAAAATTTTTAAAAAGAAACCCCAAATGCACTTGTATGTCATCATATTGCTATTCACATTAGGGAAGGCATGAAATTAACTTACGTGTGAATCAAAAATTGGATAGAAATATCCAACACCATAAAATACTATGCACACATTAAAAAGAATACAATCAAGTCCTGTGCAGCAACATGGATGCATCTGTAGGCCATTATCCTAAGAAAATTAATACAGGAATGGAAAACCAAGTACCACATGTTCTTGCCTGTAAGTGGGATCTAAACATGAATATAAAGATGTCAGCAATTGACACTGAGAACTACTAGATGAAGGAGGGAAGGAGGAGGGCAGGGGGTGAGAAACTATGAGTACTATGCTCATTACCTTGGTAATGGGATCAGTAATATCCCACATAGCTCAGCATTACACAATATATCCATGTAACAAACCTGCAAAAGTACTTCCTGAATCTAAAAAATTTAAGGCAGAGACCAAGAAGACAGAATAGAAGTCTACGTCACTTGTCCCCCATACCCAAACACCAAATTTTCACAACTTATTATATTCAAGAAGCACTATCAAAGGGACCAAAAATGAGGCAAGCAATCACAGTACCTGGTATTAACTTCATATCACTGAAAGAGACTTTGGAGAAGACAAAAAAATGACAGTCTAGAAACACTGATGCCACCTCTTTTTCAACCACCAGTAGTGGCCACGTGGTGCAGAGATTGTATGTTTGGGAAAGGGAGAGCACAGATTGTGAGGCTTTGAAATAAACTCAGTACTACCCTGTCACAGTAAAAAGCAGACCCAGATTGTACTCAGCTGACATCTGCCAATAGAACATTTTGATTTGCCCTAGCAAGATGAAAATCTCCCATCTCAATGTTGGGAGCTTGAGTCTTTACAAGCCTTGCCACATGAGTCGAAGAGCTATTGGACCCTAAGAGAACTTAAGGGGCAGTCTAGGCCACAAGGACTTCAATTATTAGGCAAGTCATACTGCTGAGCTTGGCTCAGAGCGAGTGCAATGTGGAGCCTGGGGAGAATGTGGACTACTGAGACACCAGTCAGAGCAGCTAAGGGAGTGGTCACAATACCACTCCCCCTACCCCCACCCAGCAGCAGCCACACAGCACAGAGAAACTTGTGAATTTGGGAGAGGAAGAGCACAATGACTGAAGGACTTAACATTAAAGTCAGTGCTGCCATGTCAGTAAAGACCTGGCAGAATTCATCACCTGCTGACTAAAGAACCTCTGTACCCAGAATAAAAAACAGTGATACCCAGGTAATACCCAGTGATACACCATGGGTATAGGGCTCTGAGAAGTGCTAACTTCAGGTGTGACCCAGCACATTTCCAACTGTGGTAGCTATGGTGAAAGACTTCTTCCATTTGAGACAAGCAGGGGGGAAAGTAAAGGGAACGCTGTGTTGCACCTCATATACCAGCTCAGCCACAGTGGGTTAGAGCACCAAGCAGATTCGTAGAGTCCCTGAGTCCAGACCTAAGGTCTTGGTCAGCATTTCTGTACTTGCCCTGGGCCAAAGGTCGAGTCCCAGGCATTGCAGAATTTATCACAAGCTAACTAAAGAGTCCTTGGGCTTTAAGTGAGAAATTGATGATGATTTGGCAGAACTACCCCATGGGCCGGTGGTGTTGGCAGTCATAGAAGAGACTCCTCTGCCTGCAGACAGAGGAAAGAAGGGTAGAAAATACTTTGTTTTATGCCCTAAATGCCAGGTTAGCTACAGTAAAATAGAAGAGCAGGTAAATTTTGAAGATTCTATACTTTAATCTCTGGCTCCCTAGCATCTAGGGACCCCCTCATGGCTACAGGGAACTTGCCACGCTGTAGGCAGAGACACAAATCTGGCTGGCTTTGCCATCTATTAATCATAGAGTCCTAGGGCTTTGAGTAAACTTATATGGTAGCTAAGTAGTGGTTAGAATGGGCCTTGGGTGAGACTCAAGTTCTGTGCCTACCTGAGATGTGAACCAGCACAGTCTTTGTGCTGGTGGCCACAGGGTTTCTCATGTTGCTGCAACACCAGCTCCACATGCCTAAGCACAGAGAGAGAGACTATGCTGGTTTGAGAGAAAGTAAGGGAAGAGAACAAGGGACTCTACTTGATAAATCAAGAGAATTTTTCCTGATGTGAATCCAAGGCAACCAAGGCAGTACCTGTATGTGTTTACATAAACTACTGTGTTATTCGGTTGGGACCCAAGTCTCTTTGAATACCTGGAAAGCATTCCCAAGTATAATGGGCACAAACAAGCCCAGACTTTCAAGACTACAGTAGGAAACTCTTCAATGCCCAGATATAGATGAACATCTACAAGTATCAAGACCATCCAGGAAAACACGGCCTCACCAAACAAGCTAAATAAGGTGCCAGGGACAAATCCTGGAGAAACAGAGATATGTGACCTTTCATAAAGGAAATCCAAAATAGCTGGTTGAGGTAATTCAAAGAAATGCAATAGGACACAGCGAAAAATTCCAAATTCTATCAGATAAATTTAACAATGAGATTGAAATAAAAAGAATAAAGCAAAAAAAAAAAAAAAAGAAATGAAAATGCAGTTGTCATACTGAAGAATTACTTAAAACAATTGATCAAGAAGAAGATAGATTTAGTGAACTTGAAGTCAGACTATTTGAAAATATAAAGTCAGAGGAGACAAAAAAGAATAAAAAATAAAGCATGCTGCCAAAACCTAAAAATTAGCCTCAAAATAGCAAATCTAAGAGTTATTGGCCTTAAAGAGGAGATTGAAAAGAGATGAGTTAAACATTTATTTAAAGAAATAGTGTTAAATAATATTAAACAATTTCCCAGCATTCGATATCAACATTTGAGTAAAAGAAAGTTACAGAACATCAAGCAGATATAGCCCAAAGAAGACCACCTCAAGGCACTTAACTAAACTCCCAAAGGTTAAGGATAAAGAAATGAATCGAAAAGCAGTGAGAGAAGAGAGACAAATAACATTCAGTGGAACTCCAGTAGATCTGACAGCAGACCTTTCAGGGGAAAATTTACAGGCTGAGAGAATGGCATGCCATTTTTAAAAACCTGAAGAGAAAAAAAGACTTTTACTTTAGAATAATGTATCTGGCAAAAACATCCTTTAAACTTGATGGAGAAATAAGAACTTTTCTGGAGAAACAAAAACCGAGGGATTTCATTAACACCAGACATGTCCTGCAAGAAATGCTAAAGGGAGTTCTTAACCTGAAAAAAAAAAAGTGAATGAGCAATAAGAAATCATCTGAAGGTACAAAACTCACTAGTAATAGCACACGGAAAAACACAGAATATTATAACATGGTAATTATGTTGTGCAAAAATCTCAAATAGAAACAGTAAGCAATAAACCAATTACAAAAATAACTACAAGATATTTCCAAGATATAGACAGTAAAATCGGGAATGAAGAGAAACCACAAAAAGTTTAAAAGAATGGCAATGAAATCAAAGTGTAAAGTTTTTGTTAGTTGCTCTGCTTGTTTCTTTGTTTATGCAATCAGGGTTAAATTGTTCACAGTCTAAAACGATGTGTTATAAGATGTTATTTTCAAGCCTAATCATAATTTCAAATTAAAAAGCATATCACAGTTGTACAAAAAGTAAAAAGGAAGAAATTATATTATATTACAGGAGAAATCACCCTCACTAAAAGGAAGACTGGAAGAAAGAAAAGAAGGATGAGAGGACAAAAATCAATCAGAAAACAAATAACAAAATGGCAGGAGTAAGTGCTTATCAATACTAAGTTTGAATGTAAATGAACCAAATACTCCAATCAAAAGACAAATAATGGATTAATGGATAGAGGCACAAGACAATAATCTGTGACCTAAAAAAAAATACTTTACCTATAAAGATGCATTTAGACTGAAAATAAAAGCATAGTAAAAGTTATTCCATGCCAATAGAAACAAAAAAAGCAGAAATAGCTATACTTTTACCAGACAAAAATAGATTTCAACAAAAGACTGTAAGAGGAGATTAAGAAGGTCATTATATAATAATAAAGGGGTCAATTAATCAAGAAGATGTAATAACTGGAAATATATATGCACCCAACACTAAAGCACCTATATAAATGAAGCAAATATTATAAGAGATGTAAAGAAAGAGACCACAATACAATAATGGCTGGACACTTCAACACCCAACTTTAGTCATTGGATAGACCTTCCAGACAGAAAATCAACAAAGAAACATCAGACTTAATCTGCACTATAGTACAAATTAACCTAATAGATATTTACAGAAAATTTCATCCAACAGCTACAGAATACACATTCTTCTCCTCAGTACATGGTTTGATCTCAAGGGTAGACCATAACTTAGGTAACGTATCTAAAAACATTCAAAAAATTGAAGTAATATCAAGGATTTTCTCTGACCACAATGGAATAAAACTAGAAATCGATAAAAAAAAAAAAAAGAATTTCAGAAACTATACAAACACTTGAAAATTAAACAATATGCCACTGAATAATCAGTAGGTCAATAAAAAAGTTAAAAAGAAAGTAGAAAAATTTCTTGAAACAAATGATAATGGAAACATAGCATGGCAAAACCTATAGAATATAGTAAAAGAGGTACTAATAAAAAGGAAAATTTAAAACTATAAGTGCATACATAAAAATTAGAAAACCTTAAAATAACCTAACAATATATCTTAATTAAATAGAATAAAAAGGCCAAACCAAACTCAAAATTAGAAGCAAAGAAATAATAAAGATTAGAGTGGAAATAAAGTTAAAATGAAGAAAACAATGCAAAAAATCAATGAAACAAAATGTTGACTTTTTTGAAAAGTAAAACAATTGACAAATACTTACAGAGGCTAACTGAAGAACTGAGAAGATACCAAATTAATAAAATCAGAGTTGATAAAGAGACATTACAAGTAACGCTTCAGAAAATCAAAGGATCATTAGTGGCTAATGTGAGCAATTGTATGCCAACAAATTAGAAAACCTAGAGGAAATCAATTCTTGGACACAAACAACTTACCAAGATTGAACTAGGAAAAAATAAAAAACGTGAACAGACCAATAATAAATAACAAAATTAAAGCCATAATAAAAAAGTCTGCAGGACCAGGCATAAAATAGAGAAGGAAAGAACATTTTCAAACTCATTCTTTGAGGCTAGTATTAAACTGATATCAAAACCAGACAAAGACACATTAAAAGAGCAAACTATGGGCCAATATATGAGAATAATGATGCAAACATTTGCAAAAAACCTGGAAACCTGAATTAAACAATACATAAATAATTATATTTATGTATAATTACATAATATATTTACATAATAGATAATATACATAATAATAATTACATAATAGATAATCCATCATGGGCAAGTGGGATTTATCCCAGACATGCAAAGATGGTGCAACATGCAAATTAATCAATGTGATATATCATATAAACACAATGAAGCGACCAGGTGCAGTGGCTCATGCCTGTAATCCCAGCACTTTGGGAAGCTGAGGTGGGTGAATCACCTGAGGTCAGGAGTTCAAAACCAGACTGGCCAAGATGGCAAAACCCCATATCTACAAAAAATGCAAAAATTAGCCAGGCGCCATGGTAGGCACCCGTAATTTCAGCTACTCAGGAGGCTGAGGCAGGAGAATCACTTGAACCTGGAAAGTGGAGGTTGCCGTGAGCCAAGATCATGCCATTGCACTCCAGCTTGGGTGAAAGAAGGAGACGGCGTAAAAAAAAAACAAAAACAAAAACAAAAAAACAGAATGAGGGACAAAACCCATATAATCACTTCAACTATGCTAAAAATCATTTGATAAAATTTAACATTCCTTAATAATTAAAAGCCCTTTGAAAACTGGGTATGGAATGATACCTCAACATAATAAAAGTTATATGTGACAGACCCACAGCTAGTATCATACTTGGTGGGGAAAAAACTAAAAGCCTTTCCTCTAAAATCTCGAAGATGACAAGAATATCCATTTTTACCATGGTTATTCAACATAATTCTGAAAGTCCTATCTGGAGCAATCAGACAAGAGAAAGTAATAAAAGCCATCCCAATTGGAAAATAAGTCAAATTATCTTTTTTGCTGATGATATAATTTTATATTTGAAAAAATATAAAGACTCATCTGATAGAGTTTTAATATGTATCCTCTCCCAAATCTCATATTTAAATGTAATTGTCGATGTTGGAGGTGGGCCTGATGAAAGGTGATTTAACCATCTGGGTGGATTACTCACAAATGGCCTAGCACCATCCCATTTGGTACTATCCTCATGATAGTGAGTGAGTTCCCATAAGATCTGGTTATTTAAAAGTGTGTAACAACTCACCTCTCTGTTTTTTGCTCCTGCCTTTTGCCCTGTGATATGCAAGATTCTGCTTAAACTTCTGCCATGACTGTAAAGTTCCAGAGGCCTTCCCAGAAGTGTATGCTAGTGCTATATCTTCTCTATAGCCTGTAGAGACACAAGCCGCTTAAACCTCCTTTTTTAAAAATAAATTTTCCAGTCTCAGGTATTTATAGTGATGCAAAAATAGATAAATAGAGAAAATTGGCACCAAATTGTGGAAAATTATTATAAGAATACTTGAAAATGTGGAATTAACTTTGTTATTGGATAAACAGGCAAAAGTTGGAGGAGTCTGTAGGACACAGAAGAAGCCAGAATAATTAGGGAAAGTTGAGATCTTCTTAGAGCCTGGTTGTATGGCTGTGACCATAATGCTGATAGTGATCTGGACAGTGAAGGCTGAGCTGAGGAGTTCTCAGATGAAAATTAGAAACTTATTAGGTCTGAAGCAAAAGTTATGCATGTCATCTTAGCAAAATGGTTGTCTGAATGTCTGTCATGCCCTAGGGATATACAGAAGTTTGAATTTGAAAGTGATGATTTAGGGTTTCTGTTGGAAAAATGTCTAAGCAGCAAAGCATTCAAGATGTGTCCTGGCTGCTTCTATCAACCTGTGTTCACATGTTGGAGCAAAAAAACAAAACAAAACAAAAATTTGTAACTTATACTTTTGATGGAAGCATAGTGTAAAAGCTTGAGAAGTTTGTAGTCTAGTTAAGTGTCAGAAAAATAAATAGCTTTTATAAGAGAGGAACTCAAGCAGGCTATGGAGCAACCACTTGTTAGAGATATTTGTACAACCCAAAAAAAAAAAGCAATTGTTGATAGCCAAGACAATGGGAAAGAGGAATTGAAGGCATTTTAGAATTCTAAAAGCCAGCCCCCCATCACAGACCCTGGGGCCTAAAAGAAGACAATAGTTTCTGAGATCAGACCCAGCACCTGCTGCCTTGAGTAGCCTTGGAACATGGCTCCCTGAATCCTGGCCACTGCTCATGCTCCAGGTGTAGCTCAAATTGGCCCAGTTACAACTATACTCACTGCTTCAGAAGGTGCAATCCATAAGCCTTGCTAGCTTTCATGTGGTGTTAGGCCTGTGGGTGTACAAAATGCAACAGTTGAGAATTTGGAGCTTCCACTTTTATTTCAAAAAGGATGTATGAAAAAGCCAAGGTGTGCAGGCAGAAGCATGTTGCAGAGGGGAGCCCTCATGGAGAACCTCTACTAAATCAATGCAGAGAAGAAATGTGGGGTTACAGTCCCCATGTGGGCTCCCTAATGGGGCATGACCTAGTAGATCTGTGAGGAGAGGATCACTGTCCACCAGACTCCAGAATGGTAGATCCTGTACAGCTTGCACCTTGCACCTGGAAAAGCTAGAGGCACACAGTAACAGCCCGTGAGAGCAGCCATGGGGGCTAAACCATGCAAAGACACAAGGTTGAAACTTCCCAAAGCATTAGTGTGTCCTGGAAATGGGACACAGAGTCAAAAATAATTATTTTGGAGTCTTACAATTCAATAACTCCCATTCTGGGTTTCAGACATGCATGGGTCCTGCAGCCCCTTTCTTTTAACTGATTTCTTCCTTTTAGAATAGGAATATTTACCCAATGTCTATACCCAATTTATGTCTTCGAATTACCTAACTTGTTTTTATTTTATAGGCTTATAGGAGGAAGGAACTAGCTTTGTCTTAGATGAGACTTTTGACTTTTGAGTTAAGTCTGAAATGAGTTAAGACTTTGGGGATTATTGGGAAGTCATGATTGTATTCTGAAATATGAGAAGGATATGAGATTTGAAATGGCCAGGGGCAAAATGATATAGTTTGGGTGTGTGTTCCCACCAAAATCTTATATTGAAATGTAAACCTCAACGTTGGAAGTGGGCCTAGTTGGGAGGTGATGGAATCATGAGGGCAGGATTTCCATGAAGAGTTTGGCATCATTTGCTTTGGTGCCATTCCCACAACAGTAAGTTTTCATGAGAGCTGGTCATCTACAAGTGCGTAGCACTTTCCCTTTGCCTTTGCACTTACCATGTGATGTGCAAGCACCGGATTTTTTCTTCACCTTGTCAGTTGTCAGAGGCATCCCCAGAAGCAGGGGCCAGGGCTATGCTTTCTGTACAGCCTCTAGAAACATGAGCCAATTAAACCTATTTTCTTTATAAATTAACCAGTCACCAACTATTTTTATAGCAATGTGAGAATGGCCTAATATATCCACCAAAAAACTGTTAGAAGTGATAACTTCAGTAAATTTGCAGAATACAAAATCAACATATACAAATCAGTAGGATTTCTATATGCCAACCATCAACAAACTGAAAAAGAATTCAGAAGAGTAATCCTATTTGCAACAGCCATAAATAAAACAAAATGTGTGCGAATTTACCAAAGAAATAAAAGTTCTCAACAATTAAAATTGTAGAATACTGATAAAAGAAATGAAAGAGGACACAAAAAATGGAAAGATATTTATTTGTTCACAGGTTGGAAGAATCAGTATTTTTAAAAATGTCCATACAATCCAAAGGAATCTATACATTTCATGCCATCTCTATCTAAATAACAATGACATTCCTCACAGAAATAGAAAAAACTTCTGCAATGTATATGGAACCACAAAACACCATGATAGTCAAAGCTATGCTGAGTATATAAAACAAAAATGGAGGAATCCCATTACCTGGTTTTAAATTATACCATCAAGCTATAGTAATTAAAACAGCATGATGCTAGAATAAAAATAGAACATAAAGACCCAAGGAATGAAATAGAGAACTTAGAAACAAACTCATGCAGCTAAACTAAACTTATTTTCAACAGAAGTGCTAAGAACATACAACAAAAAATAAGACAGTTTCTGTAATAAGTAGGGCTGGGAAAACTGGCAAGCCATAGGCAGAAGAATGAAACTAGAACCATATTTCTTGCCACATAAAAAAATCAAATTAAAATAATTAAAGATTTAAACTTAACACCTCAAACTATCAAAGTTTCACACACAAAAAAATGGGGAAACTCTTTAAAGCATTGGTTTGGGCAAAAATTTCTTAAGTAGTGCCCCATATGCACAGACCACAAAAGCAAACATGGACAAATGGAATTACAGCAAGTCAGAAAGCTTTTTTAAAGTGAAGGAAACAATAAACGAAGTGAAGAGAAAACCCACAGAATAGGAGGAAACATTTGTAAATTACCCATGTGAAAAGCAATTTATAACCACATGATACGGTTAGGCTTTGTGTCCCCACCCAAATCTCATATTGAATTAATCTCCAGGTGTTGAGGGAGTGACCTGGTAGAAGGTGAGAAGGTGATTGGATCATGGAAGTGGTTTCCTCCATGCTCTTCTTCTGATAATGAGTTCTCATGAGATCTGACGGTTTTATGAGGGGCTCTTCCCCTTTTGCTTCGCATACAGGCTGTCTCACCTGCTGTCATGTAAAGGTGCCTGCTTCCCTGTCTGCCATGATTGTAAGTCTCCTGAGGCCTCCCCAGCCATGTGAGTCAATTAAACCTATTTCCTTAAAAATTACCCAATCTCACCAGGCACAGTAGCTCACGCCTATAATCCCAGCACTTTGGGAGGCCGAGGTCGGTGGATCACAGGGTCAGGAGTTCAAGACCAGCCTGGCCAAGATGGTGAAACACAGTCTCTACTAAAAATAAAGAAAATAGCTGGGCATGGTGGCTGGTGCCTGTAATCCCAGCTCCTCAGGAGGCTGAGGCAGATAATTGCTTGGACCCCAGAGGGGAGGTTGCAGTGAGCCGAGATCGCACCACTTCACTCCAGCCTGGGTGATGGAGCAAGACTTAATCTCAATGAATAAATAGATTAATAAATAATCCAGTCTCTGTTTTTTTTTTAATAGCAGTGCAGAAACAGACTAATACACTACATTATATTGAGTTAAAAAAATTCTATAGAAAAATATGTAGTAACCTAATTAAAGAGTGGACAAAAAATTTAAATAGACATTTATGAAAAGAAGACATACAAATGGCAAACAGGCAAATGAAAAGATTCTCCACATTACTGATTATTATAGAAATGCAAATCAAACCAAAAATGAGATATCATTTCACTCCAGTAAGGTGGCTTTTATCCAGAAGTCAGTCAAAAACAAATGCTGGTAATAGCCAAGATTTGGAAGACACCTAAACGTCAATCAACGATGACTGGCTAGAGAAAATGTGGTACATATACACAATGGAATACTATTCAGCTATAAGAAAGAATGAGAGTCTGTCATTTGCAATAACGTAAACGAAACTGAAAGTCTTTATGTTAAGTGAAATAAGTCAGGCACAGGAAAAACAAATGTCACATGTTCTCACTTATTTGTGACTGCTAAAATTTGAAACAATTGATGTCATAGAGATAGAGAGTATAAGGGGGGTTACCTGAGGCTGGGAAGGGCAGTGGGGGAAGAGAAGGATAGTGGGGATGCTAAATGGGTACAAAAAATTGTTAGAAAGAATGAATAAGGCAGTATTTGATAGCACAACTGGGTGATTACAGTAAATAATAATTTAACTATACATTTTATAAAAACTAAAAGAGTATAACTGGATTCTTTATAACACAAGCTATAATTGCTCAAGGGGATAGATAGCCCATTTTTTATTATGTATTACTCACTGCATGCCTGTATCAAAGTATGTCATGTACCCCTATAAATATATACACCAACTGTGTACCCACAAAAATAAATTAAAAATCAAAATTAAAATTAAAACCAAGGGGAGGAGAGTATAATGAGGTATGCGTGACCCATGGCTTGAACTTGCTTTTCAGGTTAACTTTGGAAGGTCCTTATCCAAGAAGAGGGGTCCATTTGGTGACTGGAGGCTTAAAAATTAATTTTTAATTTATAAGGGGAAAAAGAATTTTTAATCCTGAGCCATAGCTCTCAGTTAATCAATCCCTGCAGGGAACCCTGTTCTTTACTCTGGAGATAAACATTATTTTTCTTTTCCACTGAATAACACCACATTTCAAAATGATG